>NC_000002.12:238550148-238903659 GCF_000001405.40 Homo sapiens
AAGACACCTCCTGGTGCAGTGCTCTCAATTCAGGGATGATCCTAGACACCTCCTGGTACAGTGCTCACACCTCACTTGTGATGCAAGACACCTCCTCGTGCAGTACTCCCTCCTCAGGAATTAGCCAAGACACCTGCTGGTGCAGTGCTCACATGTCAGGCATGATTCAAGACACTTGGAGGTGCAGTGCTCCCACTTAAGTGATGATCCAAGACACCTCCTTGTGCAGTGCCCCCAACTCAGGGTTGATAAAAGACACTTCCTGGTGCAGTGCTCAAACCTCAGGCATAGTCCTACAGATCTCCTGGTGCAGTGTCTGCACCTCAGGGATGATCCAAGACACCTTCTGGTGTAGTGCTTCCACCTCAGAGATTACTTAAGACACCTCCTGATGCAGTGGTTATAACTCAGTTAACATCCAAGGTACCTCCTGGTGTAGTACTCCCTCCTCAGGGTTATCCAAAAAACCTCCTGGTGGAGTAGTCCCTGCTCAGGGATGAACGAAGACACCTCCTTGTGGAGTGCTCCCACCTCAGAGATTATTTAAGACACTTCCTGGTGCAGTGGTCACACCTCAGGCATAATCCAAGAGACCTACTGGTACAGTGCCTGCACCTCAGGGATGATACAAAACATTTCCTGGTGCATGAATCACACCTCAGGCATGATATAATGTGTGAAATGTTCACACCTTATATAAGGTTCACACATTTAAGGGTGAAATGTTCACACTTCAGGTATGATGATCCAAAGACCTCCTGGTGTAGTGCTCTTACCTCTGGGAATATTCAAAACACCTCCTCTTACAGTATTCGCCCCTCAGGGATGATTTAAGACACCCCCGGTACAGTGATCACACCTCAGGCATGATCCAAGACACCTCTTGGGGTAGTGCTCACCCCTCAGGGAGGATCCAAGACACCTCCTGTTACAGTGCTCACACCTCAGGGATGATCCAAGACACTTCCTGGTGCAGTGATCACACCGAAGGGAAGATCCAAGACACCTCCTGTTACAGTGATCACACCTCAAGGAGGATCACGCCTCAGGTATGATCCAAAACACCTCTTGGTGTAATGCTCCTTCTTCTGATGATTCATTCTGGCACAGTGCCTGAACCTCAGGGATCACCCAAGACATCTCCTGATGTAGTGTTTTTACCTCAGGGATTATCCAAGACATCTGGTGCAGTGCTCACACCTCAGGGATGATTCAAGACCCCTTTGGTGCAGTGCTCTTACCTCAGGGATGATTCAACATACCTTCTGATGATGTGCTCACACCTCAGGAATGATCCAAGACACCTCCTGGTGCAGTGCCTGCATCTCAGGGATGATCCGAGGCACCCTTAGGTGCAGTGCTCACACCTCTAGTATGATGCGTGGAATCTCACAAGCACCTAGTGATAAGAAAAGGATCATTTACTAAAGGAACTTGTGAGGCTGGCCTCAGAACTATCTGAACATTGTGTTAGGCCAGTATTTGTAATTCTTCAGGTGAAGAGTCTGTGAACCCAAGATTTTCTCTTAGCCAAAGTTCCTGCTTGTATAAGGCAGCAGAAGACAATATCTCATGTAGGAGAACTTGTTTCCTGTGTATGCACTTTCTCAATTAAACAATGTAATCAACAGCAACAGCTATTACTACTACATGAAGAATTATTTCAGCCAACCAAAAGATGAATCCAAATCATAAACTAAACATGGATTGGACAAAGAAAGGGTGGATGGTGAGCAGGGAATTCGTTTAAATGTGAAATTAAGTCCAAATAATAGTCTTGAGTCTGGACACACATCAGAACATAAACGTTTCCCTGATCACTAATCTAATCAGGTTTCCATGTGGCTGATGGAGATTGTAAAGTGCCACCAATGATAAGGTAAGTGTCACTCTCTAAGAAGCTGAAAAGTTTTATATTGCAATCTGAATGTTTGTGACCCCCCAGCCCCTATAAATTCATATATCGAAATTCTAACCCTTAAGGTGATACTATTAGGACATGGGGCCTCTGGGAGGTGAGTAGCTCATGAGGATGGTGCCTTCATAAATGGGCTTAGTGCCCTTCTAAAAGGGGCCCCAAAGAGCTTATTGGTCCCTTCCACCATGTGAGGACACAGGAAGAAAGCACTGTTTATGAGCCGGAAAAATGGCCCTCACCACACAATGAGTCTGCCTTGATCTTGGCCTTTCAGGCTCCAGAACTGTGAGAAACAAATTTTTATTATTTACAGGCTACTTAGTTCATAGCGTTTTGTTATAGCAGCTGAACAGACCAAGGCAGACTACACGTCTATTGTGGAATTAGTCACATCTCTCTTCCCTTCTAGACCGCAGTCTCTCTGAGGACAGATTATTTATTCCGAGGACATATTTTGTTTTGTGTATGACTGAGCCACTAGCAGCAACATAACCTGGAACTTAGGGAATAATCAATAAGTATTTTCTGAATAAATGTTAATAATTTTAATAAGATAAAAATCACAACAGATTAACCAAAATGGCAAAAAATGTGCAGAGAATACCAACCAAAAATAGGATGCTAGGGAAGTTGGAATAAGTGTAATTCTGCTAACTTATTCACTTTGTTTTGTTACAGTAGATCATAACGTTCAGAAACACAGGATAAGAAGTATTTTTAAAGTTATAAAAAGAATTAAGGCTGGGTGTGGTGGCTCATGCTTGGAATCCCAGCACTTTGGGAGGTCAAGGTGGGAGGATTGCTTGAGGCCAGGAGTTTGAGACCAGCCTGGGCAACATAGAGAGATCCCCTCTCTACAAAATTAAAAAAAAAAATTAGCTGGGTGTAGGTCTGTGCACCTGTGGTCCCAGCTGCTTGGGAGGCTGAGGCAGGAGGACCGTTTGAGCCCAGGAGTTCTGGGCTGCAATGAGCCGTTATGGGGCCACTGCACTTTAGCTTCCTCATGATCCTTTGGACATCCCACTCCACTCAGCAGAATTAACTTCTCCCCGTATTCATTTCCTTATATTTATATAAAAAAGAATTACAATGAAAACAACAACGATGACTGTATTCTTCCAAGGTATAGGAGAGGACAGAGAGAAAGAAGACAACCTAACAATATGTAAAACAACAATGGAAGAAAACCCCTAGGAAGCATTCCACCAGGAGATTGAAATAAGATCGTATAAGACAAAATGTATCAATTATAATTATAAATGTAAATGGGATAAATTTACCCATTTTAAGAAAAAGACTCTCGGGGGCCACATAAGCCCAAAGACTTTTTGTGTGTTTACAATAAGAAAAATGAACACAGAATCATGAGAATATTTCCAAGTAAATAAAAAAGAAAATAAAACCCAGAGTGAAGTAGGAGTCACGATATTAATACTAGAAAATTTGAGTTCAAAGAGGAAAAACTGCATGAAGAGTGTTTCTTTTTGTTGATAAAATGTTCAATCCATAATGAAGTTATATACTTCCATAAAACTAAATATAATAGACAGTATTAATATTTATTTGAGAGGCCGGGCGTGTTGGCTCACGCCTGTAATCCCAGCACTTTGGGAGGCCAAGGCGGGTGGATCATGAGGTCAGGAGTTCGAGACCAACCTGGCCAAGATGGTGAAACCCCATCCCTACTAAAAATACAAAAATTAGCTGGGTGTGGTGGAGGGTGCCTGTAATCTCAGCTACTCGGGAGGCTGAGGCAGAGAATTACTTGGACCCGGGAGGCAGAGGTTGTAGTGAGATTGCACCATTGCACTCCAGCCTGGGGAACAGAGCGAGACTCCGTCTCAAAAAAAAAAAAAAATATTTGAAGTGGGATTGGAACCACAGGGAGAAACTGGCGGCACTACAGCTGTGGGCACTCTTAATCTCCCAGTCCCTGGTAGGTTTTGGAGACGAAGGTAAGTGGGCTTAACAGGTAATAATTGCTCCGTATTACTCAGAGTGTGGATGATGTCACATTACCTTTTCCCTCCAAATCAAATAAAATTTAGCCAAAACGTCCATATGCAAAGACTGGTAGCAAGTCTGACATTATTATTATTTTTTTTTTCAATTGAAGCCTCACCCCTCCCTTGAACTCAACATGGGGACTTCTTTCTGGACAAAGGGGAGAGACCTGGTCCTCTGTCCAAGGTGCGTTCTGCCGCTGCTGCCCCCCTCCCAGGCCAGGCCTGTCCACTCAAAGCCTGGCAGCTCCAGCAGTGAGTCAAAGCCCCTGTGCCAAGTGGGGCCACAGGGATGCGGCCCCCCCGTCACCCCCACAGCCCCTTTGGCAGCCCTTCTACCCCAGGCCTGCAGCTGAGGGCCTGTCTGTTAGCTCTGCGGGTGGGCTGGAGGTGTGGTCAGTTACCTTTAGCTCCTATCTTGGTCCATTTGGGCTACCGTAACAAAATACCGTACACGGCGTGGCTTAGGAGCATCAGGAATGTGTGGCTCACAGTTCTGGAAGACGGAGGTCCGAGGTCGAAGGCCCAGCAGCTTCGGTGTCTGGTGCGGAACCGCCTTCCAGCTGGTAGGTGTCGTCTCTCAGGCCTCTTTGATGAGCCTGATCCCGTTCGTGAGGTTTCTGCCTCTGTGACCTCATCACCTCCTAATGTGAGGCCCCGCCCTCACTTGGGGATGAGGATTCCAGCATGTCCGTTTGCGGGGGACATATTCTGACCGTTGAACTCTTTAAAGCAAAGCCCTAATTTCTCCTCTTTCTTTCCTAGTGGGGCTGATGGCGCAGTGGGAAGAGTTTGACTGTCCAGATAGCCTAGTCCCAGACCCCAGACCAGAAATCCTGTTTAGGGGCTCAGTATTGAGAAAGGCAATGTCTGGGTCCCCCTTCCTCAAGGCTGGGCAAGCGGCCCTGCCCCTGTGAGAGGTGCTGCCCCTGCTACTCAGCCCTGCCCTGCGGACGCAGTCTGCTGCGGGGGTTTCTTGGCAAATTAGCCAACACATCAGGGTCTCGAGTATGCAAATAATGGAAGACTGACATGGAAGTAGTCTATGTTGTAACCATCCTTGCGACAGAGCCCACCTGACTTGCTGTGTCCCTGGATCCGCAATACATTCTAAATGCTGGAGACAGTAGAGGTCACATCTCCTAACTACAGTGTAATGACAGTCAAAATAAAAATTCAGGAATAAATTGGAACAAGAAGACTCGCTTCCTGGGAACTTAAAACAGTCATCTCATGGATAAAAGAGAAAAACCAAATCAGCAGTGACACAATATTTAGAAAAGAACAAAAAAGAAAAAGTTACATGCTAGAGCTTATTAGATGTAGCTTGGACTATACTGAGAAAATAATTCCACAGTTTAAAAACTGTTAAAGGAAATTAAGAAATCACTTGAAATGAAAGACAAACAAACCCAAGGAAAGCAGAAGTAAGGACTACAGATAACAGCAGAAATAATGAATTCAAAGATGGAAACAAGTGAATTGATAAATGAAGCCTGAGAGCTGACTCTAGAAAAATCGAATAGATAATCTACTAACTTGTTAACCAAGAAGAAATGTAAGAAAACACAAATTCCCCTCATAAGACTAGCCTTGGATAAACCAGAATTTACAGAGAACAATTCTTACCATTCTAAGTTAAAAGAGTTTGAAAACGTAGTTGAAGAAGGTAATTTTTGAAAAGTATGTATTATTAAAATTAATTGAAGAAGTGTTAACATATTGAAATGCACCAACATCTGTAGAAACATTTGAGAAAGCTGTAAAAGAATCAACGCAACGAAGTGTAGCTTGTGTGTGTGTGCATGGTGTGTGAGAGTGTGTGCCTATATGAGCATGTGTGCATACATGTGCATATTTATGGGATGTGTGTGCATGCTGTGTGTGTGTGCCTGTGTGCATGTGTGCACATGCATATGTGTGTGTGATGTGTATCATGCATGATGTGTGTGTACGTGGCAAGTGTGTGTTCCTGTCTGTGCACGCATGTGCATGTGTGCATGGTGTGTGTGTGTGTATGTGTGTGTGTGTGTGTGTTTTAGCCTTCTGTAATCTTTCTCATGCTTTCCAAGCTCCTTCAAATGCAAGTAATAATAATCAAAGGAAAACGAAGCCCCGTATGTTTAGGAACAGTGCCATGCTTTGCTGACTGGCGAAGCTCTGTATCTTTAGGGGCGGTGTCATGCTTTGCTGACTGTCAAAGCCCTGTATCTTTAGGGACAGTGCCATGCTTTGCTGACCATGGTGCTGGCTGTCTACCGCTGGTCCAGACCCACCTCCATCCTCGCCACGCTCTGTGTTGCAGGAGGCTGACTGCATGGGCCAGACCCCAGCGGCTTCTCTGCTCTTTGGCTTCTGGTCAGGTTGGCAGCCAGGGAGAGAGAGTAGAAGGGGGCAGGAGCTGGGCAAGGCCGCCTGGCTCCCACCCTGTCTGTTGCTGTCATTTGCCTTCTACTTCTGCCTACACTCAAACGTCTCAACTTCTGCCCTTCTGCTGATCTCTCGGCTCCTCTCGGCCTGTGTGACAGACTTGGAGATGTGCCACCCAGATGCCCCTTCCAGGAAGGACTTGCTCCCAGCTTTGGGGAGTGGTCAGAACATGGCTTCCACCTGTTAGCTCTTCAGGATCTTCCCAGTGATGAGCCCCAACCGGCCTGGGCCAAGTTTTTCATGCCCAGCTAACACCCGGAGACTGGGAGAGGGTCTTGGGAGACCCGAGGTGGGATGCTGGATGGGTACTGTGCACTTGGGAGCTTCCAGACAGGCCTGTACCACAGTTGAACGTCTCCCTCCACCCGCTTCTCCCTCCTGTCCAGGTGCTGGACCCTCATAAACATCTTGTATCCTGACTTTGTCTCAACTCCTGCTTCTGAAAAACCCAACCCATGACAGGCGGGTCTCTCTCCAGCTCCCAACCCACGACAGGCGGGTCTCTCTCCAGCTGCCATTAGCTACTCCGGCAGCCCCTTGCCTTTCAGGACTGGGGTGGTAACTCCCAGCTGTCACCAGCCCCAAGATACTGTGGAGGGTCATCTCAGCGATTCCCAGCACAGGCTGCTGGCTGACAGTGGCACAGTTCAGGTCGTCCATTAGCTTTCTCTGCACACCACGATCCTGAGACAAGCTTGGCTCGGGGGTCCCACAGAACTGGACAGCCTGTTGGAAACGGGCTCCCGGGGATCGTACACTCACTCCCTAATGTTGGTCTGTGGGGTCGGAGGGGGCAGCAAAATGGTGGATGGGAGGAGACCTCAAATGAATGCGTGCTTCACAGAAGAAGTCTCCACGATGTTTTGTTTAACTACTGCGTTCTGAGCAGTCACCCTGCTGGAAGAGAAGACCCTCGCTCCGGGCCCCACAGCTTCCCCACAGAGCTGGGATATTGGAATAGTGTAAATGACCTTCCTTTCCCCAAAATGCCCCCAGAAGGCCCTTGCCCTCCGCCTTGTCTCACTTGTGTCAGAGGGCCTGCTGTCAGCAGGGCTGCCTCCCAGGGTCTGTCCCAGCACAGGGCGCCCTTTAGGTTGTGTGTTTCACACTGCAACAGGCAGGGCCTTGCAGGCAACAGAGGAGCTTGCAGATGGGGTAATTTGGGAGCACTGTGCCTGGGTGTCTCTGGGTCAGGCAGGAAAGTGGTCAATGGCAGGGAGGCCCCACGAGGACAGTCAGGCTGGGGGCATGGGAAAGGCCCCCGCCGAAGGGGCAGACTGGCCTGGGCTGTGGGGATGTGAAGGAAGGAATGAGGCTGGAAGAAGAGGGCTAGGGTCTCTAGCTCATCTTGGTTTGACTGGGACTTCATTGGTTTTAAAAGGGAAAGTCCTGCATTCAGGGAAACAGTCCCCTCTCCACCCTGAGGTCCAGGCAAATGGGAGGGAATTGGTCACTCTGAAGCGGGGCTGGGTCTAGTGTGGTTGGAGTCGGGGAGATCCTAGGGGAGTGGCTCCGTGGGGCTGGGTGTGTGTGGGGTGCGGTCAGGGGCTGAGCTGTACTCCCAAGGAGGTCAGGCTGGAAGGGCAAGTCAGGGTGGGGTCCCCGAGGGCCTACTGATGGACCCCGACTTCATTATACATCGATTAAATAGGGCTGGGCGTTGCCCTGTCCAGCTTGGCGCAGAGTTCACACTAAGCTGTTCACATTGGGAGCAGCCAGTTGCTTGCATTGCATTCCTTAACTGGTCCAGCCTTGTGCAGACTGGCCTGCTGGAGTGGGCTCTGCCTTGAGGTGTAGGAACCGAGTGCAGACCCCAGCTCAGCCCCAACTGCCCGTGAGAATTGGGGGCCGTGCCTTGCCTGTCTGCCCCTTGATTTTCTCCTTGTAGAATGGGTGCTGGATTTTGCTGTCCAAGGCCCTGCCCAGAACAGCACTTCCTGACTCTTGCACTGGGTCTTTCTCTGGCCCAGCTGAGGTCCCTGAGCCCACACCTGCCGCCTGCAGAGCTCCATCGCCTTGGCGGCTACCAGGGCTCCAATCTGGCGCTCGGCCCTTCCTCCCCTGGCCTCCCTCTTTGTGTCCAGGAACTGGCTTCCCTTACCTCGCCTCTAGTCCTGGCCTCCCTCAGGGAGTGAGGGTCTTCTGGGCCCCTCCAGGGCTCCAGGGCTGGTGTCCTGCCCCTGCACCCCACTCCCCAGGCAGTCACCCGGTGCCCTGTGGGTTTCCGTTACCCTCCCATGGCCGGTCCTCCAGGGAAGCCCATCCCACCTCCGGCTGAGCCAACCTCGTTTTCTCAAGAGCTATTAACACACAACGGAAAAAGTGTTGTGGATGATGGAAATGAGGTGAAGTGAATTCAAGAGCCCGCTTTTAGAGGCTGTACTTTCAGAGGTCAACTCAAGTGTTTCTCTCATCTGCTTTTCAAAGTTAGAACAGAAGGTATTTAAATAATCTTGGATTTCATCCCTCAACTGAGGCTCTCTTGTGGGGCTGGCGCCTGAGTGCCAGGTTCGGCCGGCTCTGCTGCCCTCTGTCCTGGGCCCATCCAAGCATAGCTGGCAGCGATCCGGACAGAGGGGGGTGCCCACCGTGGAGAAGGTTCAGAGCCCATGACTTCAGCCCCTCCCCACCCACAGATGCAGGAGACTGAGGCACAAAGAGGAGGTGCCTCACTAGGGCCGGCTTGGGTTTATAGTGTGCCCTCGGAAAGCTCTGGAAGAATGGAGTCTACGTTTCGGCTCAAGCTGCAGCCAGAAGCAGCCATGGGAACCCAGCACCCAGCCAGACCCGAGCCTCCTGGGCCGCTGAAAAACAAACCAGACCAGAGCCCCCAAGACGGGACCCGTGTCAGCAGAGCTATGGGGAGAATTGCACGGCGCGTGCCTTCTGCTGCTTAAATCCATCCCGCTAAGTGCTGGGGGCTTTATGCGCTATGGGACTCTCAGTCCGGGGAAAGGCCTTTTAATAAGTTATTATTAAAACCATTTGCCTTTTCACTGTTTGCATATATAATTCTTGAAATATCTCCTTCCTAATGAGCCCGGATATTGATATTCAACAGAGTTCTCTCCCCTTCGAGGCCCATCATCCCTGTCATAAAGCTGCCCTGGCGAGGGCCCACCTGGGAGGGGAGAGGGGTTTACAATCCCCCCGCCAAGCTTGAGGGGCAGGAGCTGTAACGTGTCCACGGGAAGCTGCAGGGTGAGTTCCTGGAGTGGCCTGGCTTTTCTCAGCACATAGAGGGGGCTCCACAGCAGTGGGGGAGAGAAGCAAAAGGTGCTGAGCTTCTCCAGCACTTGCCTCCTGCGGCGGGGGTGGCCAATGGCCGCAGGAGTCCTCAGGTGTCTTCAGACTGTGAGGAGTCAGGCCAGCGGTCCCTGCAAGCCTGGTGCAGCCTGGCAGCCAGCGCCTTAGCCCTCAGCCCTCAGCCCACAGCTCTCTTGCATAGGCGCTCTCAGGCCTGGGTGTGCTGTTTATGGGGCCCAGGGTGAAATGGAATTGGAGGCCCCCAGTTCAGAAGGCCTTCAGACTTCCAAGGCAGCGATGGCCAGGCCTTGAACAGAGCGTGGGGTCCCTGTGGGCTCAGCCGGGCCCTATGAGTCTGCCCAGGCCTCACACCTGTGGAGCTGGCCCTGGGGGCCATCGTCCTCCTCTTCCTCCCCTTTGGCCATTTTTTAGGTTCAGAAACAGATGGATGGAGAGGTCACAGTCCTCTCCACAGTCCTCACCAAGCAGGTCCAGTCCCTGCTTGGCCTGGACCAAGACTAAGACCAGAGTGGCCTCTGGGCCTGTGGGTTGTTGTCTGGACACCCAGCATGGGAGGGACTGGGAGGACGCCCGGCCAGTGAGGGAAGGCCCGAGGTCCTGGGCCTGCACTGCCACCTCCAGGAGACACCAGGATGGCTGGGGCCGCCTCCTTTCTCCCACCCTCCCTCTCCCAGCACACAACACTGGCCATTCACATTTCAGCTGCCAGAGGGCAGGAGGCCCGAGTGTGCCAGTCATCAGTACTTACAGCTCCTTCCTCGTGCGGGACACTGCTGGGGTTGGGGCGTGGCAGGCGGTGAGGTGGAGGGTCCCAGCTCCTGAGCTCCAGCCTTCGAGGGAGACAGACTCATGAATCACCACCGTGCAAGTGCTGGGAATATTCCTGGGACAGGGAGCACACATGGAGGCCTCTCCACGCCCAAGGAAGGGAAGGGACAGCACTGGAGGCACCAAACGGACAAGAGTTCGGTGCAGCTCAGAAACTGAAACAGGTCAGAGGGGCAGGGCTGGGCCAGGAGGGCACTCAGGGTTTGGAGAAAGGAGGTTGGAAGGGCTGGTAGGGACAGACCCGGACAGTGTGGTAGGAACGTTTCATTCAAGTGCAACCGAGAAATGGTGTCGTGATCCGAGATGTGTTTTCAGGGGCTCCTGCTGGCTGCAGTGCATGCGATGGATGGAGTGGCAGAATGGGAGCCAGAGGACCCGAGAGGAGACCTGTGCATGGGTCTAGGCCTCCCGAGGACCGAACGAGTCCTCAGACAGCACCAGGGAATGGACCCTGGTCTGGGCCAGCCTCTCCTTCCAGGATGAAGAAATGAGGAAAATCCAACAGTGGAACTCATACAACTTTGAAGACCAGGAGGAAAAGAACTGTTTCCCTGAAAATGCAAGGCGGCTTTGTCTACTTAGCTTCTCCATTAGCTTGAATTCAACCTGAAGGGTCTTTGCATTTTGATTTTAATAGCAGTTGCAGCTTCCTAAAGAGGCCAGGATCTTAACACGCCCCTCAGCAGTGTATTAGAGACCTTTCTCCATCTCCCTGCCAGCAAAGTGTGTTACAGTTTTCGTTAAAATTCTTTATGTGGCCTGATGGGTGTAATGATGTCTCTGTTGTGCAAATATGCCCTTCCCTGGCTGCTCGTGACTTCAGGCATCTTTTCAGGTTTGCTGGATTTATTTGCTCTGACTCACTTCTGCCCATTCGTATCTCTTGCCCACTTTATTGCTGGTTGTCTGGCTTTTTCCTGTGGGTTCATAAACGCTTACTGTATATTTGAGGCATTAACACCTTATTGGTCATCTGCGTTAAAAATATTTTTTGTCAGCTACTTGGGAGGCTGAGGCAGGAGAATTGCTTGAACCCGGAAGGTGGAGGTTGCAGTCAGCCGAGATCACGCCATTGCACTCCAGCCTGGTGACAGAGCAAGACTCCGTCTCTCTCTCTCTCTCTCTCTCTCTCTCTCTGTCTCTCTCTCTCTCTCTCTCTCTCTCTATATATATATATATATATATATACACACGTACATGTACATATATATACGTATATATATGTTTCTTTTTTGTGATCTCTTTTGCCATAGACATATTTTGAGTTTGCTAAAGTAAACTTTAAAAATCAAAGCATATACAAATACAGATGAGTACACGCTTTAGAAGTGTATACTGTGATGAATTTTGACTGACTGAGCACACCCATGTGATCTCCAGCAAATCAAGATTTAGAAAGAACGCGATTGCCCCCTCCCGCCCTTCACAGCGATCAGCCCCTGGAGGTGAACCCTGTCCTGAACTCCTGGCTCCAAAGATTAGCTTTGAGCTTTACCTAGATGAATTCACACTGGCTGTACTCTTTCCTGATTATGAAAATAACATGGTCATTTACACAATTTAGAAAACATAGCAATGTATAAAGAAGAAAGCATTTGTGTGGTTTAATATACTTTCTACATTCATCATCCATTTCTACTTTTTTCTTCTGTGAGTTGCCTATGAGGTCTTTACCTCTTTTTCCCACTGAAAGCTTGGCTTTAAAAAATAATTGTGTTAAAGCACCCTTCCTACAGTAAGGATATGAACTCTCTGTTACCTTTGTTACTTGTATTTTTTCCTGACTTCTTATTTGCTTAATTTTATTATTTGAGGTATGAATACTTTCCCATTTTAGATAAAATTTTCCTTTGTTATTTGTTTTCATACTTGCTATGAAATGTTTCAAAGGGAAATATGTTTATTCCTTTTGAAACTCACGTTGAAACTGAATCCCCAAGGTAACAGTATTGAGAGGCGGGGCCTTTAGGAGGCGGGTAATCCCTTCGTGGATTGGTAGATCAGTGGGTTCTCACAGGAGGGGTTGGTTACCACAAGCATGGGGCTGTTATAATGGCCACGCTCTGATGCAGTACGAGGCCCTGGCCAGAAGCCCATCGGATGCGGCTCCTGAACCTGAGGCCTCCCAGCTTCCAGAACTGGCAGAAACAAATGCCTTTTCTTAATAAATTCCCCAGCCTCAGGTACTCTGTTATAGCAGCAGAAGATGCTCTAAGACAATAGAGTACTTTAAAAGATCTTACCCAGCTTACTATAAAGTCAGTTAAACGTTCACCTCTATTTTCTTTGAAAGATTTTATGGCTTCTTTTCAACGTTCAGCTTGTCAATCTATTTGGAATTTACTTTGGGATATGGTTTGGAGTGACACTCTTAACTTGATTTTTTTCCCAAGGAGTCACTCTTTTAAGCATTATTAATTGAAAATTCCATCCTCAGTCTAATCGTCCGTAACACAACTTTGTCCACGTGTTCAGCCTTTGCTAGAAGCGTCTTTTTCAGGGGCATCCTCTACCTGTCATCGGCTGCACCATGAAGTTCCTGTTTTGATTGCTTTCTCACTTGTTTTAATATCCCCAAAGGCAAGCCTCCTCCACTGCCCCTCTTTCCAAAAATGTAGAATTATTCTTATCCCTTTCTTCTTTCATCTTCAGAATTATTTAGTTAAGGTTTTGGAGTCGCATTAATTTGACTTATTTACAGTGTAGTTGGTCAGAAGTACACCCCATCTCTCCTCATTGTTTCTTCTTCGTCACATCTCATTTCAGCGAATCAAAGTTTTCTGTTTGCTGCAGCATCTTTCCTGCTGGAGTCTGTCAATGCTCTGAGTGCAAGATGAGATGGTCTCAGATATTTTGTCCTCAGGGACTTGTGCGGTGCTTGGCATGTCGTGGGACTCCATGGACAGATGGAGCGACACACTGGGGACTGACGAGGGGGCCCCCCACCCCTTTTCAGAAATCACATTGCTGTGTAAAATTTTATTTCACAAATGGCTCTCTTGCTTAAAACTGTTTGAGAACTCATACCTCTGTGCAAAACACTAAGCCGCCAGTAGTGAGATGAAGCTCTCAGCTCCAGGAAGGGAGATATTGGAAATCGGGGAATGTTTCTGGCAACCTCAGCTTCCCAACACGTGGGTGGTCTTCGGATCCACTTACACATAAAACCCAGGCAATGTTGAACTGTTTTAAAGGGAAAGGGGAGTAACGCGAGTGGAAGCGATCATGAAGTGTCTCTTTTCATGCGGAACATTCCAGTTGAGCCATCTCACCATTCTTAAGGAAGAAGGTTGAGGGAAGCAGTGGCGGATGGGTGGTCTGGGCAAGGTGAGGTCACCCGGGGGCTCCCCCACCAGCTGATGTAGGTGGAGAGACGGCCTTCACCTCCCTAGAAGCAGCAAATGGGGCATATTCTCTTTTCTTGGTGGCTTCAAAGAGCACAGAAGAGTATATTTCCTGGTGTAAATTCACTCGCAAGACTTGATTCTTTTTCCTCCTGCCAAAGGAATTTCCATTCAGTATCTTCTACTGGGGCAGAGTTTCTTTCAAGCAATGCATTTCCTGAGGAGTGAGACTGGCAAACTCTGTGGTCTTTGATGAGCCTCACTGTTGAAGGGAAAACAGCCCTTTTCTTTCTTGTTCCTTCAACCCTCACTGACAGTAATTGGCTGTTGCCTCTTACGATTTCTCCAGAGAAATGGAAATAGCAGCTCAGAGTCCTAAAACAATGTCCTTTGATCTAAAAGTTCCAGGAAATAAAACACCTTTGCAGTTATGGAGTCCAGACAGGGACGCATTTGCAGAAGGTCCCGGAGCTCGGCTGCTGCCCCTTGCACGTCAAGTGTGGCGTCCTCAGGCCACCATGGGGAGTCCTCCACGCAGTCTGGCTCTCTTTCTGCTTGCAGACGTCTGCAAATGACTCCACGGATGACATGCACCCTCACAGCCCACACCTCAGTGCGTGTCACAGTGACCTATTCCTAGGACTATTGCAACAGCCTCGAAGTGCCTCCTTTCCCAGACCTCTTCCTGCTCAAATTCACCTTCACCTGCATGGCAGAGCCTCCATGTGAAGTGTGGAGATTCCTCCAGAAGCAGCCAGGGAAAGCCAGCCGGAGCAGGGGCTGCTGGCAAGGTCTGGTTTTCCGGGTGCTGGAAGCCCAGCTCATCCAGAGGACGGCCCATCACACTGCATTCTCGGGAAGACAGCATCCCGTGTAAGGGGCTCCCCCCACCCCGTATTCACAGACCTGACAGCAGGCATGTTTGCTAGTCAGGTAAGATGTATCTGGCTGTTATGGGCTGAGCTGTGTCCCACTCAATTAATATATTTTCATATATTGAAGTTCTAACCTCAGTACCTCAGAGTGTGACTGTATTTGGAGGCAGGGTCTTTAAAGAAGGAATGAAGTTATAGTGAGGTCACTGGAGTGGGCCCTAGTGACTGGTGTCCTTATAGGAAGAGGAAATTGGGACACAGCACCCAGGGAGGGATGCCCAAGTGAGGACACAGCGGGAGGATGGTGTCTACAAGCCAAGGGGAGAGACCTCAGAAGAAACCACTCCTGCTGCAACCTTGATCTTGGACTTAGGGCCTCCAGAACTGTGAGGATACCTGCTGTTCAAGCCCCTCGTCTGGGGTATGTTGTCATGACGGCCTGAGCGGGCTACCACACAGGCTGACTAGACCTCGGGCTGTTCTTTAACTTCTCGCATAAGATTAAAGGATTCCTTTAGATTGTCTAAACCACTGGTAGAATGGGAAGTAGGTGTAGTGTATTTAAACCAGTTAGTTACACAGATTACACAGTGAACTCAAGTCATGGTCCTCAGGCTGGGCTGCCTGTGGGGCTATCTGGGGAGCTTTCACAAACACGAAGCTTGGGTCCCATTTTCATGGTTCTGGTTGATTGGCCTGAGGTGCAGCCAGGGCTCTGCAAGCTTCACAGATAATTGTCACGCATGGCCATTCTGTGTGTTCTACATCAGCCCCCAGGTCCCCATCAAGAAATGTGCTAGACACTCTCCTCCTGGAGGCCCAGATGCTCTGCTTGGAGGCTGGGACCTCTCCGGGCGGTGTGTGTCTGTGAGGGGCTCTGCAAGGGGATTAAAGACCCTTGTTGGCAAGAAGACTTATTTCCTGTGCAGTGGAACAATATTCTCCTAGGCCACACACGCAAAGTTTAAAAAGTAACTATTTTTTTATGGGTATCCCTAGTTCATGAAAAAAATTCAATGAGCCCAACACTTACGATATGTACACTTTTCTGTCTGTGTATTATACTTTAATACACACTTGCAAGAAGTGATTATTAGTTGTCCATAAGCAAAAGCTTATTTTTGGAGTCAAAGCTCCATGGAGCCTGATAACACAAGCGTAACCAAATGTCATCCGGATCAACCCAGTTGTGTAAACTCTGCCAATTCTGGGTTTCTTCCCCCCGTCTTTCTGGGCTGGGTCCAGACTCTGCTGGGATGGAGTGGCCCCTGCCTGGTGTATGCGGGGGAAGCCTCAGGCCCATCTCTCTGGGTCTCGGCTAGCCTCTGCCATGCCCTTTGCCAACTGGCATTGATCCTGGCTGGGCTGCAGGCCCCACCTCCAAATCCCAGCTTGGGAATCACATCTCTGCATCTCTATCTGGGATGAGCCCGAGCTACTGGGTGGGAGCCCCAGAAAATGGCTGAGTTCCAGCCAGCTTGAAGACTCCTCCCAAGGGGAAGGCAGGAAAGGTGGGAGAGTTGGGCCATTGGGGGCGCGAGCTGGGGTGGGTGGGCAGCGGTCAGCTGGCACAGCATGAGGACAGGCAGTGCTCGAGGTCCCCATGGCGAGCGTGTGGGCAAATGTCAGGGCAGGGCATCAGTGCAGGCGACAACAGCCCCTTGTCTCCCCTCCCACTCTCCCCCCACCACAGAGGACCTTGGTGGCGGGTGGAGAAGGAGAAGCGTCGGGGTAGAAGCAGATGACCTCCTCCGCTCTGCCCTGCTGTGCAAGGACTTTGTGCGTCAGGCCTGAGCTGAGGGTGGAGAGAAGCTTTAAACTGATGAGAAGTTCAAGTTTTAATTTAGATCAGACTGGACAGGGATGGGGACAGCACCCATCTCCCAGGTCGGGCCGCCCCCAGCCAGGCCAGCTCATTCAGGAATGCAGTGGCCACAGTTTCCACGTGAGACCTTGTCTGTGGCCTGTGGGATCCAGGAATCTGAGGCCTCTGCTGACTCCTCAGCCTCTGGACGTGCAGAGCCTCCTGGGGCTCCTGAAGCCCCCGGAAGTTCACCTCTCCGGGCTGCTGTGTCACGCCCCTCATCTGCATTGAACCCTGTTGGTGCAGATGCGAGGCCCAGCACCTCCTCGAGCCCCTCAGAACGCACTGCAGTGCAATGTGTGCATGGCATAGACCTTCCTGGGAGAGTCCTCGTGGACGCAGAGGAAGGTGTGACAGTGTGGTGGCCAAGCCCCCCCTCGTAGTCTTCCTGCTGGGCATCTACCTCCTGTCCCATAATGTGTCCCAGGCCCTGGCTTCTTGCTGATGTCAGGGCGAACACACTGGAATCCCCTGGGAATCAACGCTTGTGCCACTGGGGGTTTCTGGCCTCTGGCAAGTGCTGGTCAGTGGGAGATGGAGTCAGCCGTCACCTTTCCTCCATGGCCAGGTGGCCCTGGTCCCCTCTGTACACCGCCCGGGGTGTGGCCCGCTGCACTGCCGGTCTTGGGTGAGCTAACAACACGCCCTGGTGCCAGTTCTTCCTCCTGATATGGGGGAAGGGCAGGGAAGAGCTGGTAGGGAAGAAGGGCGGGTCCCTGGTGAGGGCTCCACCCCCGGGCCTGTGCCCACGGACCTAGGTGAGGACAGGCACTCCTGCCTTCACACCCAAATGTTGCATTTCCCAAGACCACCCTGGCCTGCCACGCCCCCATCTTGTGCCTATGAAAATGAAAAGGGCTGAGGCCCCAGCAGGCAGGCACACAAGCAGCTGGACGTGGAGAGGAGCACATCAGTGGGGGCACACACGGGTGGCCGGATGTGGAGAGGAGCACCCTGACACACACCGGCATGCCGCAGGCCACCGACGGGCAGAAGCAGAATGATGTGGAGTTTGGCTGGGGCAGTCAGAGGAGAGCCCAGGCCACTGAGCAGCCCAGCTCCCGGGGAAAACCTTCCCACTCCATCCCCCTTTTGACTTCCCCTCTGCTGAGAGCTACCTCCACTCAGTAAAACCTTGCACTCATTCTCCCAGCGCACGTGTGACCTGATCCTTCTGGTACACCAAGGAAGAACCTGGGATACAGAAAGCCCGTTGTCCTTGCGACAAGGCAGAGGGTGTGATTGAGCTGGTTAACGCAAGCTGCCTAGAGACAGCAAAACTAAAAGACAACACTGTGACACACGCCCACAGGGGCTTCAGGGGCTGAAAACATTCACCCCTAGACACTGCCTGGGGTTAGAGCCCCACAGCCTGCCCGTCTATATGCTCCCCTAGAGGTCTGAGAGCGGGGCATGAAGAAGTGAGTCACACACCCATTGCACACCCTGCAAGGGGGACGAGGGAACATTTCTCGTTTCACTCCCACTCTTGCTCTTACTCCTGTTAGTGGGGGTCACAGCCCCCAACAGAGGGCGGCCTGGAAAGCTCTGCGTCTTAGGCTCTGCTTTCAGCAGAAGCCGGCTGATGTTGTGCCTCCTGTCATTCTTGATTCAGCAGATGCAGGGCAGCAGCTTCATGGCCCGGGGGTGCTGCGTCTGGGGGGTGCTGCATCTGGGGGGTGCTGTATCTCGGGGGGTGCTGTGCCTGGGGGGTGCTGTGTCTCAGGGGGCGCTGCATTTGGGAGTGCTGCATCTCGGGGGATGCTGTGCCTAGGGGGTGCTGTGCCTGGGGGGTGCTGCATCTTGGGCGGTGCTGTATCTGGGGGGTGCTGCATCTGGGGGGTGCTGCGTCTCGGGGGGTGCTGCGCCTGGGTTTCCTGTTGTTCCACAGGCACTGAAGGTCCCAGGGCTGATCTGTCCACCTGGAACCAGCTGGGGCTATAGCCACACCGGGCTGTGCTCCAGCTTCTGAGGCCTCTGCTGGGGAGTCCCCGAGAGCCCTCTGAGCTCTGCCTTTCGCACGGTCTCTCTAGCAGGTGGAGAGGGGATGCTGGTGGCTGAGAACCACTGCGGGGCGGGGTGGACAGTGTGAGCCTGGGCTCTCAACACCAGCCATGCATTTCGGCATCCCTAATTCTTTGTTTTGCCTTTAATCTTTATTAAATTACTGTCGAAACTAACTCACTCTTCATAATTTTCACAAAGTAGTCTAGGTGAAATAAAACAGACTTTGGAGCCAGAAGAATCGAAATAAAATTCTCATTTCCCAATTACTTGCTGTGCTACCTGGTACAAATGACTTGGCCTGTCTGAGCCTGTCTGCATTTTTAAAAGGAAGTAACGACACCTGCCTCATGATACAGCTGAAAGGACTAAGTTAGATGAAATGTCTCTGGTCCTGAGCAGGGCACCAGTGGTGCCCACGGTGCCGGTTACTGGGGTGAGTGTCACTTGTGTTGAACTGAGCAGGGGGCCAAGCGCCAGTCCTGGGCTGTATCTGTATCTCCACGGAAGATCAAAACGTGGGGGCCGAGGAGTCCTCTATGGATTGTTTCTTCTGAACAGAAACAGTGTGTGAAGTCAAGCGGGGGAGCCCTCCCTTTCCAGAAGCGAGTCATTGAAGAAATGCCCCTGTGCGGACTCCCCACACGTTAGCACTGGCGGCCAGGCCGGCCTCCCATGGAGAGCCCCTCTTCAGAGCCACCTTGCCCCCATTTCCCCCTCAACTGCTCAGCTCACTGGGGAGGAAGGCAGCGAAGTTGTAAAAACTTACTTTTTGGAAAAATAAGAATTATGGGGAAGGACATTAATTTAAAAGCTTTTAAGGAGCCAATTCACCTGTGAAAGTGCTCCCCAGGTGAGGGCCTTCCTGTGTGGAGAACAGCCCGGTCTTTAAAAGCATTTTAATTAATGTTGCTGAGAAACACGCTGATGGTATTTAAGTCTGAAGAGCAAAGGTACCAGCCAAGAGTTTTATGACGTGGTGCTAGTTCTCTTAAAGGCTGTTGAAATAATGTTCCCGTGCACTCAGCCTCCCCACTTAGTGCGGGTGGCGGCCAAGAGGAAGTGCTGGAATCCTCGGTGGCCTAACCCCGGCCCTCAGGACAGAACAGAAGGCAGGCGGCCCCGGCCAGGACATGCCCAGTGGAATTTCAGAGGCACTTTCGGGAACACAGCGCCTTCGCACCTTCTGCTCGGTACACACCTCGAGGGGTGGCAGCCAGCTCTTGGCGGCCCACCCAGCACCCTGAAGCCTGAACTGCCTGGACTGTCGCTGAGCAAATGCCAGGGCCCGAAGAGGACCTGGAAGAGGGCGGGTGAGGGGCTGCAGGCGTGTGGGGCCTGGATGATCCCATCTTGACGACGAGCTGGGAACCGCAGACCGGTGTCATCCTGGCTGGAGATGGAGGTCTCTACATGGCTCCCTGTGTGGCCAGACCACTGTGGCTGGACCAGAGTTTCCCGATAGCCTCTGGGAATGGCAGGGACAGTGGGGGAGGAGGTCCCAGGGGATTTTATTAACAGAAGGGGGGAGAGAGGGTAGAGAAAGGTAATGGGAACAAGTAGCTGAAAATATGCCCTGGAGAGCAGGGGAGGAGGCTGAGCAGGCAACTTCAAAAGGGATGGAAGAAAATGGGGGCTGCGGAGAGTTGAAGAGTGACCCCAAAAGATATGTCCATCCAGAACCTCAGAATGTGACCTTGTTTGGAATAAGGGCTTTTGAGGATATAATTCAGGTAAGAATCTCGGGAGGAGATGGTCCTGGATTAGGGTGGGGCCTAAATCCGAAGACAGTTGACCTTATAAGGGATAGAAGGGGACACAGCAGCACAGGGGAGGAGGCCACGTGAAGATGGAGACAGCTCAGAGTGATTCGGCCACCAGCCAAGGGATGCAGGGGGCTGCGGGAAGCTGCAGGAGGCGGGAGGGATGCCCCTTAGAGCCTCTGGAGGGAGCAAGACTCTGTCTGCCCCTGGATTTCAGACTTTGGAGCTCCACAACTGTGAGAGAATAAATCTTTGTTGCTCTGTGTTACAGCAGCCCGGGGGCACAGGCACGCAGAAGAGACTTTCCCACAGCGGTTCCCAGAGCCCTGGATGAGGCGTCCTCCAAAGGATTATGTCACCAAGTTTCTGCAGGTGATGAGTTTGGGAGCTGTTGGGTCAACTGAAGGTCATATATGTGAGTGTGTTGCAAATCTCCAGGGGGCTTTAGAATGTGGGGTTTTCTCAAACTGTTTAACAAGGCGGCTTTGTTTCCACGGTATGTCTCCTTGTCCTTGTGTTTCTCGCAATGTCCCTTGGGAAATGCTGGTCTAGACCACCGGGGTCAGGGGCTCGGGGAGGGAGGGCACTGCAGCGGAACGAGCCTGGACTGGGAGTCAGGAGGCTGGCCCGCCCAGCTCTGCCGGTGACACGGAAGTGACTCTGGGCAGCCCCTGATTTTTCTTGACTCCACTGTCTTAGCCTAGGTCCTCCAGAAAACAGAGCCGTAAACCAGACTTCCCACATCACTGCTTTAGTGGGATGGTGAACCCAGGGAAGGAGTGAGGGAACAGCCGGGCGCGGTGGCTCACGCCTATAATCCCAGCACTTTGGGAGCCGAGGTGGGCGGATCGCCTGAGCTCAGGAGTTTGAGACCAGCCTGGGCAACATGGCAAAATCCTGTCTCTACAAAAATACAAAAATTAGCCAGGTGTGGTGGTGTGTTCCTGTAGTCCCAGCTACTCGAGACGTTAAGGTGTGGGGATTGCTTGAGCCCAAGGAGGTCAAGGCTACAGTGAGCTGAGATTGCACCACTGCACTCCAGCCTGGGTGACAGAGCAAGACCCTGTCTCAGAAGAAGAAGAAAAAAAAAAAGAGTGAGGAAGCAGAAGTGAGCCATGATGGGAGAGGCCAGAGCTGCCCCATCCAGCTGGCCCAGCTCCACAACAACCTCAGCTGGTTGCTTGGTCCTTGGGGGACGCCTGCATCGTGGCAGGACCAAGCACCTGCAGCTGCGGCAGCAACAGCGGGCAGTGTATCTGCTGGGGGCCGGCCACTGCCCTTTGCCTCCTTCTGCCCTCCATATTTTATCAGCCATGGTCTGGCCCATGGGATATCGACTGCCCCCTGCTCCTGGGCTGTGTTGCGGGCTGCTCCAGAGCCTCCGGGGGGCCCATCCAACCCTGGCACAGGCTTAGTAGTGGATCCTCTTCCATAGCTGTCATAAGAGGGGCCCTCAATTGGGGGGTGGAGGCCGCTCTGACAGCAGCAGGTGAGCCCAGTGACTATGGATTGCTGTGAGCTGTTGCTACGGTTGTCTCGCCTGGGATGAGCAGCCGAGGTGGGAGGGACTGAGTAGGCCCAGAGAATGCAGTGACTGGCCCAGGACAGTGTCCTTATCCCTGAATTATCAAGGTGTGAGAGGAGTCTCTGGGCTCCCTCCTGGCTGTAGCATTCTGGGAGTTGGTTGGATCTGTGTCTGTTATTGCTGCCCTGGGTTCTGGCAATCTTCCAGGACAGAAATCAAGAGAGATCACCAGACAAAGCAGCAAAGAGGACGAGAAAACTTTATTTTAGCTTGTGCACAAGAGGTCAGTACTACGAAAGGGAAGTGCAGGCGGGCCACTCCCTGAGAGTAGTCTGTGGGTTAATTTCACAGGGAAGGGTCTCACCAGGCCACGCATAGGAGGGGTTTCTCCAGCAGCTCTACATGCTTCTTCATACATCACATGTAACATTTGCATTTTAAATCTCCACCCCTAGACATGATTTTTAGCATTAAAATGAAGGAGGGGTCACTGCATATGTTGGATCCCGGGAAAGTCCCTAGCTTCCTAATGCAGGAGCTTCTGGGGTCTTTTGTTGCTGATTGGTTGGAAGCTAACGTAAGCCACAGCTTGAGTAAGGGGCTTTTGTCCTTTTTCTCTAAACCACATCGAAACAGGAAACCCACTAGCCTGCCTGCCTCAAGTCCACCAGGAAAGTACCTTGGTGAAGGCCAGAAGCCCTCCTGTCTTTTCTTAGGAGGCGGGAGGCCTCCAGGGACTAGCACGGGCCTGCAAAGGCACCTCATTTATTCAGTGGACAGATAAGCACTTTTTAATGTTTCATGAAGAACAAAATGCAATTACCTTTCCCTGAAATTCTTACCACCAGCTCTCACTTCCCAAGAGACAGCAGATCTCAGTGGTTAAGCTGAACCACTATTAAGTACGGAGCCAGAGGGCCCAGGTTGAAATCCTGGCTATGCCACCTAATAGCTGGGTGACCTTGGGAAAATTACTTCTCTGTGTGCCTGAGCCTGTTCCCACTTTTAAATAGGGATGAGAATAGTACTCCCTTTATAGGATTGTGGTGGGAATTAAGGGAGTCAATGATAAGTAAATCCTTTCAAACAGGACCTGGCATGTCCTTTGCAAATGCTATTGTAAGTATTTGCTAAAGAAATCTTGCTGATGGCACTGTTTTGAAGAAAAATAAAGGTTGACTGTTCCAGCAGTGCCCTCTTTCCTTTTGAAGGCAGAGGCAGATATCCCTGTGGAGGAGTGACAGAGGGGATGTATCAGTCAGGAATGGGCTAGTTTGTGTGTGGTAACAAACACACCTCAAGTCTTGGTGGCTCGAACTCCAGAGATCTCTCTGCCATTCACTCTTCACATGTTGGTGAGGGGCTCAGGCTGACCCAGGGTTATTAATCCAGTGTGTCATGGGTTGTAGTTGCAGCTGGAGGGGTGGACACGGAGTCACTCTCGGGCCCTTAGGAAGGGACGTGCACACACCTCATTGGTCAAGGTGAGTCTGGCTGCTCCTGGCTTCCAGGTGCAGGGAGGTGCAATCCTCCTGCATGGCCAGTAGGGGCAGCAGCAGACACGCCTGTGAGCATCGTGAGGCTAATGTCCCCTGCCCCAGGTGCCCTTGCCCCAGCTGACCTGGCCTGAGGTCTGCACTGAGGGCCAATGGCTTGCACCATGACGGCCCTATGCCAAGGGCAGGCGAGTGGTGGGGCTGGCTCAGCAGCTGTGCTGGGGGCTCTGGATCCCAGCTCCCAAGCTTCTCCTCATCCCAAGGCCCTTCTCCCACTGTCTGTTACTTGGTTCAGGTAGCTGCGCCTATCACTGGCCCCGCTGACATCTCCCTGCTGGCGGACCTCCCTTGCATTCCCTGTGCACACTGCCTGTCTGATAACACAAAGCTTATCCGAGCGCTTTTTTTTTCTTAAAACTCCCAATTGGCTGCGTGATGTGCTTTGTCCAACAGGGCCCCCCGCTGAGCCTCTTTGGGTCTCCCAGAGTTGGCCCTGCCTTCCCTGAGCCGGAAGTATCCCGCCAGCCTCCCTGTGCCCCATGCACACTCACTCCCTGCCCTGCCCACTCATAGCCGCCAGCTCCCTCTGGCTACGTCACCCTCATCTTTCCAGTCCCACCTTCTGAGCTTATTGGATCTCATTCCCGGGCAGTCAAACCTGGGTCCAGCCCTCACTGCTTCCATCCTGCCCCGGCACGGTGTCAGACCTACCCCCTGGCTGGCTACACACTGTGCTGGAGATCACAAGAGGACAGGAGACTGCAGCTCACATGCTGTCCCGAGGCCCGCATGGGCCAGGTAGGCGGTTGGCACGCCACCAATGCCAGCTGCTGGCTGAGCAGTTGGTCTGTCGGGTTCTGCTACTGCTTTTCTCATCCTACCTGATGCCTGAGAAAGACAACTTTTCTGCTCCCTGCAATAGGTACCCCACACATTTTTGAAGTGCTAGATTTTTCTCTCTTGAAATGTCCTTCGCCCCTCCCACCAAGAACCCAAGTCTTACACAGTCTGAGCGCTGGGGTCATTGTGTCTGATTTCCGCAAGGGCTGTAATCAGTCCCCTCTGTGGTGCCTCTTCTGTCACTAGGGTTGCTGTTCAGGGCTCGTGGTCTAGTGTCCAACAGGCACACCGGCCCACCCAGAGGTGAGGTGCCTCCCGGGCTCCACTCCCAGGAGGCCTCTCGCCTTGTTGAGGCAGCACTTTCCACTCCCTCTGCACTAAGCTGGGTCAGGTTCACCCCCATGGATGCTCCCAGAGACCTTGGTCCCCAGTGCTGTCAAGCCCACACCCCGCCATCTCCAAGCCTGATCCTCCCGGGCCTATGAGGGTCAGCTCTGGGCAACGGGACCCAGAGCCACAGTCGGTCCCTTTTCTTACCTGAAGATTTGTGCCTGCAGGGGTCGGGCAGAATTTCCTTTTCTCTTCCCCCCAACTTTTCAAACCTGCAGAAAGGTTGAAAAAATGAAACAGTGAAGGCTGAGATTGCCCAATGGTGAGCACTTTGGCCAGATTTTCTTTCTCAATCTGAGAGCATAGAGTTTCTGATCATGCCTTTTTCCTGGGCAATGGCGCCCCCTTCTCACCCTCTTCTAGGTCAGTGCCCCATACTGGTCTGAGGGGATCCGCATTCCCGGGACGCCAGCTGTCCAGGACCACCTCCCTCCACGTGCTTGTCTCTGTCTCCATGCCGTGTTGTTCTCTCCTTCCTGAGTTTTCTTTCCCGGGTGCTCAGTCCTTTTCTCTCCTCCTCCCCTTCTTAGGGACATCTTTTGAGTGTTCTGTACCAGGCAGTGTCTCCCCTCACTCACTTCTTCAGTCACTTCCCTGTCTCCAAAGGGCTTACCACCTTTCCTCACTTCTTTTCTTCTTTTTATAAGAGCGTCCGCTGTGTCGCCCAGGCTGGAGTGCAGTGGTGTGATCTCAGCTCACTGCAGCCTCTGCCTTCTGGGTTCAAGTGATTCTCCCTCAGCCTCCCCAGTAGTTGGGACTACAGGTGCGAACCACCATGCCCAGCTAATTTTTGTATTTTTAGTAGAGACAGGGTTTCACCATGTTGGCCAGGCTGGTCCCAAACTCCTGGCCTTAAGTGACCCACCCACCTCGACCTGCCAAAGTACTGGGATTACAGGCGTGAGCTACCATGCCCAGCCCCTTATTTCTTTTAAAACTCCTTATTCTCTTTCTATTCTTCAATCTCAATCGATGTCCTCACTTCTAATTTGGAAGACTTCGTTATCAATAAAACGCCCTCATCTCCCAGTTTGCAAACCCACTGGCATCTATACCCACGCATGCTTCCTGCCTGTTGAGGATGAGCTACCCCTGCCAAGGACGAGCCCCCTTTTCACACGTGCCTCACCTCAAGAACTTTCCTCCTCAGTCACCTACATCATCACGTTTTCTTTGGTCTTGGATCTTGCACATTACCTTAAAGACATGCATAACAGTTAAACACACCTTCTCTTAATACCCCTCCTCCTTCAGCCACTGCGCTATTCCCCTGCGTCCCTTCAGCCGCTGCCCCATTCCCCTGCGTCCCTTCAGCTGCTGCACCATTCCCCTCTGTCCCTTTAGCTGCTGCCCCTTCCCCTGCGTCCCTTTAACCGCTGCCCCATTCCCCTGCGTCCCTTTAGCAACATTTCTTGCAAGTGTTCCTGATCTTCCTCACCTCTCTCCACTTCTTCACTTCCCACCCATTCCTCAAGCCAGTCTAATTGGCTTCCACAGCCTCAGGGCCACTAAAACTGCTGTCAAGGTCAGTAGTGATCTTCCCGCCAGCTTCAAGGGTGAATTCTCACCCTTATCCCACTCACCCTCTCAGCATCTTTGGTCACAGCCTTTTCTTGAAACCTTTCCTTTGCTTCAAGGACACCCCCCACCGCAGTTTCTCCTCTCTGCCCTCTCCCCTCCGAGTCCATGCAGGTGGCTCCTCCTCCTCCTCCAGCCTCTCCAAGTTAGTGTGTCCCGAGCTCAGCCCTTGGCTCTTCTCTGCTCCAGCTATGTCCATTCTCTGGGAGACTTCACCCAGCCCGTGGTGTAATACAGCATCAGCACAGTGATGACTCCTGAATTTACATGAACTTTCCTCCTGAACTCCAAACTCAGATGCTAAATCGTCTACTCTCCATCACCAACTCAATGTCCAACTGACATCTCAAACTTAAAATACTCCACTTTGAATGCTTGATTTCCACCCCTGAATAAAACCCCACTCTCTCCTCCGTGGTCCAACCACAGCACCAGTCAGCTAGTGCTCAGGGCCACGATCTTGGAGTCAGTCTTGACTCCTCTTTCCTCTCCCACCTATAGTTTCCACTACCCGTTGCTATGCAACAAACTATCCCCAAATTTAGTGGCTTACAGCCTAGCATCCATTCATTATCTCTTGAATCCTGTGGGTTGATTGGGCTCAGCTGGGTGGTTCTTTAGTTTCTTGTGGTTTTGGCTGGAGCTGCAGTCACCTGGAGGATCACCTGGGCTGGAATCTCCAGGATGGTTCACCTCATGGCTGGCAGTTGGTGCTGGCTTTCAGCTGGGGGCTCAGCTGGAGCTGAGTTCCTGGTGGTCTTCCATATGGCCTTTCCACATGGCTTGGCTTCTTTATGGGAAGAGTGTCAGAGAATGTAGAGCCATCTTAAATCCAGCACAGTCTTCTCTATGACCACAAATTATTTATATCTCTCCTAAGCAAAGTCCTTTCATTCTATCCCATTACAGCATCAGACTCAGGCTTGAGGTCCAGGATCTCATCTCTAAATCAGGTCCAGATATGGGTGGGGCTCCTTGGTTGAAGCTACTTGGATGCTGCTCCTCTACATTAGGAAACTACAAAGACAATACTTGCCATAGTTAAATAACAGCCAGTATGTATTTTCTCTCATGACTCTTTGGGTTGATTAGGCTTAGCCAGCTGATTCTTCTGTTCCACTTAGTATTGGGAGGGCTGTAATTGTCTGAAGGCTGGGACATTCATTCACATTGCTGGAAGTTGGTGTTGGCTGTTGGCTGGGAGCTCAGCAAGGGCTATCAATCAGAGTTCCCTGGTTCTGCTCCAGGTGGCCTCTCCATCTTGGTGGCTGCATTCCAAGAACAAAGGTGAAAACTACAGATCTTAGGGCCCAACCTTGGAATGTATGCAGTGTCACTTCTGTCACAGTTTATTGGTCAAAGCATGGAGCCAACCCAGATTCAAGGAGAAGGGAAGAAGACTCCATCACTGTATTAGTCGGTTTTGCATTGCTGTGAAGGGATACTGGAGACTGGGTAATTTATAAAGGAAAAAGTTTTATTTGGCTCACAGTTCTGCAGACTGTACAAGAAGTGTGGTGCTGACACCTGCTTCTGGTAAGGCCTCAGGAAGCTTCCAATCGTGTAAGGTGAAGGAGAAGCAGGTGCATCACATGGCAAGAGAGGGAACAAGAGAATGAGGGGTGGGGGAGATGCCACATTTTAAAACAACCAGCTCTTGCCTAGAGGAAAAGAGTGAGAACTTACCCATCACCAAGGGGAAGGTGCGAAGCCATTCATGAGGGATCTGCCGCCATGACCCAGACACCTCCCACCGGCCCCCTTCCAACACGGGGGATCACACTTCATTGCAAGACTTGGAGGGGACAAACATCCAAACCATATCAGTCACTTGGATGGAAGAAATGGCAAAGAATTTGTAGTCATTTTTAACCTACCACATGAACTGTCAGTAAATCTTTTCAGTTTCACATTCAAAATATAGATGTAATTATAACTCTCGTCTTTTTCACTACATCCACCTGTCACCCTAACCCAAATTATCAACAATTCTAGCTTGGAGCATGGCAACGGCCTCCTAGTGTTCACCCCACCTCTTCCTTGCCACCGTACCCCCATCCCTACACAGCACATGTACCTGGAGATTGGCTGGGACTCTGATGGTCTCACTTGAGGTCAGAGTGTCTCCAGGTGCGCTCTGTGCACCTCCTCATCCTGGGACTGCTGGCTGCCCAGGGCGTGTTCCTCTCCCGGCAGAAGTGCAAGAACCACTTACATCCTCTGCTACCCTCATGCCTGCTTGCACCCCGGTGGCCAAAGCCAGTCACACAACCCAGTCCAGCACGAACAGGATGGGGAAGATGTACTCCTCCACGGATGAGTGGAGTCATGGCAGGGCAGGGGAGGAAGAGAAGAACGTGGACAAGCAGTACAGCCCAGCACAGACTGCATTTAGATTTGCTTATTCCAGCAGTCAGTGCTATGTCAACTATCTGATATGTCCACACATCTCTCTATATATTTCCCTCTTTTTCATGTCTCTGTCTCTGTCTAATGCCAATGTCACCCAGTATCCATAGAGTTAGGGACTAGATACACAGTTCTACTGACTGACAGTTTTCTAGGCAGCAACAAGTATATAAACTCTTGAGAATGTTTGTGCCATTTGACTCAGTAATTCCACTTCTACTTATTTTTTTTTATTTTTTTTATTTTTTTGAGATGGAGTCTCACTCTGTTGCCCAGGCTAGAGTGCAGTGGTGCAATCTCGGCTCATTGCAACCTCTGCCTCCCAGGTTCAAGCAATTCTCTGCCTCAGCCTCTTGAGTAGCTGGTATTACAGGCGCCCTTAACCTTCCCTGCTAATTTTTGTATTTTTAGTAGAGATGGGTTTTCACCATCTTGGCCAGGCTGGTGTTGAACTCCTGACCTCATGATCTACCCGCCTCGGCGTCCCAAAGTGCTGGGATTACAGGCGTGAGCCACCGCGCCAGGCCTCTACTTACTTATTTTTAAAAAACAATCAGAGACACACAGACATTAACATGCCAGTAGGTTCCTGGCCTCGTTGTTAACAATAGGAAAAATCTGGAAACAACTTCTTCATTCTCACTGCACTGCTTGGCATTTTCCTTCTGTGTGTCTGGGTTTTCTTGCAATGTGCAATTAATTGAGTACAGGAAGAACTCCTGAGATGCAGATTTTCTTGATTTGTTCATTTCTTCCTTCACTTACTTTTGCTTAGTGAGGGCATTTTCCTGAGCACTTACTATGTACTACATGCCAGATATTAAAAAGTGTTATGGAGTCTCAGGAACTTATGTTTAGAGTGAGGGAGACTTTTAATAAGTAGGTAAGCAGCCAGTAACATGCATACTTGTAATTTGTGATAAATGCTATAAAGGAAAGACAATGCACAGTAAAAACGATGGGACCTCACCTAGGTCGTGTGCTCAGGGCTGGCCACCCTGAGGAGGTAGCATTGAGGTTAACTCATAAAAACTTTTCCCAACCATAGTAAGACCAGAGGAAAGCATGACCGGCAGAGGAGGCAGGGCGTGCCAAGGTCCTGGGGCAGCACAGACCTGGGTGTGGGGGAGAAGCCGAAAGGGCTGGGGGCAGTTCTGCAGAGTGATGTCCATTCCTGGCAATTATCTTTTATCTGAGGACACTTGCCTGGAGACCCTGCAGCCATGAGCATGGTCCAAGATCCCTGCCTCAAGGAAGGGAGCCCTCCTAGGACAATGGAAAACAAAGGAGCCTATTTTCAGCATTTGGACTTCAAAATCAACTTTTGAAACTTCCCACATGAGATAGTATATTGATAACAGGTTTTTGCCGTCTTAGAAGGTTAAATTTTTCTGTCCCCAATGTTATGAACATATTCACACAATAAACAACAGTTTTGGAAGAATGCAGGATGAATGTGAGGCAGTTTCTCCACCTTACAACTTGATACACACTCCACAGGCTGGGGAGAGAGAGAAGATTCAGAGCAAAAGCAAATGAACCAGGACATGAAAACAGGGCGTGGGTCCTGCCCAAGGCACCGTCTTCCAGAGGGAGCTGAAGACTGTCATGGAGGCCCTGCAGAGGTGGAAGAAAACCATTTTATAACCTCAGTGGACCACCCATTTCCAGCCTACAAAAGAGGTGGAGAGGCTGAGGAGAGATGGTTGGAGACTGGAAGGAGGAGAGATGGTTGGAGACTGGAAGGAGGAGAGATGGTTGGAGACTGGAAGGCGATTCCTTTGAAGAGTGCCGTGCAGGGATTGGGGAGCCCTTCCCTGGAGGAGGGTTTCATTCTGACTCTGGTTCCAGGGCGGCACTGGAGATGACTCCCCTGCACTTGGGAGACCCTGAGACAGGCTGGAGCTGCAGAGTGGGGCCTTCATCTGGGAAACACTGCATCCCCAGAGTGCTTTGGGGCAGGTGGAGTGCCCACGTGCAGGCCCCCTACCATGAGAGAGCTGGCTTGGAGTCAACTGACGTCCTATCCACCAGGGGCCACCCAGAGGCTGGAAAGACCTGGGCAGACAGGAACTACAGATGGGGCCACCAGCCTAGGGCTAAGGGAGGGATGAGCCACACTGGCCTTGGCCAAGAGACTGAGATGAGAGATCCAGTAAAGGAATGGGAGGGAGATATCGGTGAACTCACCAAAGGTGAAGCCTTGGATTCAAGCTCCAAGCACTCTGACCCTATGTCCACAGGACAGGCCAGCCAGGAAGGACTGTTCCTGGGCCCCTCTGTCTCCTCCCTCCCCCGACCCCTTAGACCTGGCAGGAGCCTTCTCTGCTTCCATCATCTTCCTCCTCGTACACATCCTCACCCTGCCCTGAGGAATTCATACTCATTCTTTGGGACTGAGCTTGGCCATCAGTTCTAGAGACCTTTTCCAATTTCTCAGAGTCAGGCTTCTGCTCTAAGGCTTCCTAAGTCTGCCATGTTTGCCTGAATACATCACGTTATCCTACAGATGCCTGCGGACCTGTGCATGTCCCTCACTGGATTATAGACTCAGCGGACAGACAAGATTGCCTGTGGCTGGAACATGGGAGGCAGTGACATTTACTTTTTAAAAGACTGAGTGGTCGAAGGGGGTGTGATGAAATACCTTCATACCATTAGTAACATGTGGCCCATTAAAATCATGCCTTAGAAAAATATGTAGCAACACTAGAAAAGTTTCCTTCTATATACAATGCTGAATGTGGTGATTTCTACAGCAGTCTGCATTTACAAGAAGGACTAAAATGAAAGACTGACAACACCCAATGCCAGCAAGGCTGGGGATGCAGGATGCAAACACCCTTGTTGTGGGCGAGTACCTGGTGCAGTCACTTTGGGAAAGTTCTGGTGGCTTCTTATTATTTGACCCAATGATCCTCTGCTAGGTATTGATCCAAAGAAAGAAAAACATGCATTCACAAAAAAACATGTACAAAAATGACCACAGCCATTTTGTTCATCAGTGCCCCAAACTGGAAACAGCTCAGGCATACATCACTAATTACCTGGGTGCGCAGGTTGGGGCATAGCCCTGCAACGGGATACTCCTTTGTGGAACAAGGTGTGACCTGTTGATACGTACAACATAGATGGATCTCAAACTATTATGCAGATTGGAAGAAGCCTTACATACAAGTTACATACTTATGGTCCAATTATATAGTCTTCTAGAATAGCCAAAACTATTTTATGGTAAAATAAATCAGACCAGTGATTGTCTTTGTGGAATGCAAGAGAGGATTGGCCGGGAAGGGTGAAGTGCTATTCTATGGCTCGACAGAAGTTGGCTCACACATTTGTCAAAACTCAGCAAATACACATGTAAGATTTGTACATTGTATATAAATTTTACATCAAAAGAAAATTATTGAATTATAATTAATGCTAAGCATGCGGAGGTGTTTAGAAGTGCACGAATATCTGTAATTTACTTTGAGTTGCATAACAAAGAAGATGGATTAGTGCATGGCTAGAGGGGTGGATGGATGGATAACTGGTAAAGCCAGTGTAGTTAAGATGTGAGTGGTAACTGAGGGAGAGTATCTGGGTAGTCACTGTGCATGAATTTGCTGTGGTTGTTGTAATACATTAGAGCAACAGATGGTTGTGGTGGCTTAAAACAACAGAAATTGATTCTCATTCTGTGGACCAGAAGTCTGCAAGGCCACATTCCTTCCAGAGGCTTTAGGGGAGCATGTTTCCTGCGTCTTCCAGCTTTTGCTGGCTGCTGGCATTCCTTGACTTGTGCTCACATCACCTTTTCCTCTGTATCAAATCTCTCTCTGCCCCTTTCTTACAAGGATACTTTGTGATTGCATGTAAAGCCCACTTGTATAATCCAGGTTAAGTCCCAAGCCCCATCCCAAGATCCTTAACTTAATCACGACTGCATGAACCCTTTTTCCAAATAAGGTAAGATTTATAGGGATCCACAAATTAGGACCTTAGTGATAAGTTTTCAGCTCATCTGGATAAATACCAAGGAGCACAGTTGCTGAATCATATGGTAAAAGTGTGTTTAATTTTGTAAAAAGCTGTCAAACTATCTTCTAAAGCAGCTGTATTAGTCCATTTTCACACTGCTGTAAAGAACTGTCAGAGACTGGGTAATTTATACAGGAAAGAGGTTTAATTGACTCACAGTTCAGCATGGCTGGGGAGGCCTCAGGAAACTTACAATCATGGTGGAAAGCAAAGGGGAAGCAAAGCACTTTCTTCACAGGTGGCAGGAAGGAGAATGAACACAGGAGGAACTACCAAACACTTATAAAACCATCAGATCTTGTGAGAACTCACTATCATGAGAACAGCATGGAGGAAACCACCCCAATGGTCCAATTATCTCCACCTGGTCTCTCCCTTGACATGTGGGAATTATGGGGATTATAATTCAAGATGAGATTTGAGTGGGGACACAAAGCCTAACCACATTAGTAGCTATACCATTTTTTCATTCCCACCAGCAATGAATGGGAATTCCTGTTGCTCCACATCCTTGCCAGCATTTGGTGTTGTCAGTGTTTTGGATTTTGGCCATGCTATTAGGTGTGTACTGGTATCTCATTCTTTTGATTTGCAATTCCCTAATGACATATGATGTGGAACATCTTTCTATACGCTTATTTGCCATCTGTATATCTTCTTTGGTGAGGTATTTGCTCAAGACTTTTGCCTGCTTTTTAATTGAGTTGCACATTTTCTTGTTGAGTTTTAAGAGTTGTTCTTTGTATATTTTAGATAATAGTCCTTTATCAGATGTATATTTTGCAAATATTTTCTCCCAGTCTGTGGCTATTCTTTTCATTCTTAAGCATTAATCGATTTTCAAATGTTGAACCAACCTTGCCAACCTGGGATAAATCTCACTGGGTCATGGTGTACAATTCTTTTTATACATTCTTGGACTCAATTTGCTAATATTTGTTGAGAGTTTTTACGTCTATATGCATAAGAAATATTGGTCTGTAGTTTCTTTCCTTGCAACGTCTTTGGTTTTGGTATTAGAGTAATGCTGGCCTAATGCTGAAATGAGTTAGGAAGAATGAGTTAGGAAGTATTAAGTAGTATTAGAATGAGTTAGGAAGTATTCCTTCTGATTCTGTCTTCTGGAAGATATTATAGAGTATTGGCATAATTTCTTTCTTAAATGTTTGGTAGAATTCACCAGGAAATCCATTTAAGTCTAGTGCTTTCTGTTTTGGAAGGTTATTAATTATTGCTTCAATTTCTTTAACAGATAAAAGCCAATTTATATTGTCTGTTTCTTCTTGTGTGAGTTTTGGCAGATTGTGTCTTTCAAAAAACGGGCCCATTTCATCTGGGTTATCAAATTTGTGGGCATAGAGTTGTTCATAGTATTCCTTTATTACCCTTTTAATATCCATGGGCTCTGTAGTGATGTATCCTCCTTTATGTCTGCTATTAGTAATTCATGTCTCCTTTCTTTTTTTTCCTTAGCATATTAATCACAGTTATTTTAAATTCCTGGTCTGAGAATTCCAACATTCCTGCCCTATCTGAGTCTAGTTCTGACGCTTTGTCTATCTCTCCAAACTATGTTTTTTGCCTTTCGGTATGCCTTGTAATTATTTTCTTGGTAGCCTAACATGACATCCTGGGTAAAAGGAACTCTGGAAGACAGGCCTTCAGTGATGTGGTGTAAGGCATGGGGAGAGAAGTGAAGGGAGCGTCCGTCCTATAGTTCTATGAGTAGGTCTTGGTCCTTTGGTAAGACTATGTCTCTGGACTGTGAACTTCACAAGTGTTTCTCAGTTTTTCTCTCCCCTCCTAGCTAGGACATAATGTGTAGAGGGGGTTGGAGCTGGGTATTTCCCTTCCTAGGTAGTTAGGCTCTGCTAAAATCCCAGCAGGTTAGGCTCTGGTAATGTAGTTTCTTCTGAGGGCAGGCCTCAGAATGCCCCAGTGTAGTTTAAACTGGTTCCTTTTTCTCTCCCCCTGCCAGAAGCATGAGGAGATTCTCCCCTGATTTCATTGTGAGAACCTGGTGGAGCTCCTGGAGGTAAAATTCACAAAAGAGGCCAGGGCCCCCTGTGATTGGGCCTGCCTGGAGTTTTTAACTCTCAAACTTGCGCACCCTGAGCCTCTGGCAATTTGTCATTTACAGCCCAGGGTTTCGACGCAGGCCTGATTCCTGCAGATGTGTCTGCTCTGGTGGGCTGGGATTCTCTGTGTCCACCTGTTTTTTATTTTTTCTTTCTTTCTCATAGTTCAATTTTTTTTTATTATACTTTAAGTTCTGGGATACATGTGCAGAACGTGCAGGTTTGTTACATAGGTATAGATGTGCCATGGTGGTTTGCTGCACCCATCAACCCATCATCTACATTAGGTATTTCTCCTAATGCTATCCCTCCCCTAGCCCCCAACCCCCCAACCTTTTTTTATCTTCAGTTTGGAAAGCAGCAGTTTGCCCGGAGACCTCATTTCTCTGGTAGACCCAAGAATAGTTGTTAATTTTTCAGTTCATTAAGCTTTTCACTTGTTAGGATAAAGGGATGACTTCTAAGCTCCTTACGTGAGGAAAAGGAAACCTGAATTCTGACACTATTTTAAAATTTAAAATAGTGAATAGAAACCAGTAACCATGGAAACCACTTTCCCCCAAATAGATGGACTTGACCAAAAAATCATCATACAAAATTTATTTTTCTATGATGAGAATGTGTTATTTCTATAAAAAACTTGTTATTTAAATATTAAATTTTGAGGGAGGATCCTACCTTTGACCCACTACTTACACTTTTATGTATGATGCTAAGCCCAGAGCAGGGCCGGGACCTGGCTCTCCCCTCACCCTTGAGACCATGCTCCTTTCTGAGAGGGAGAATAAAATTCATGTAAAGGGAGATAAACTTCATGAGCAAAGATGTCCACAGTGGTCAGTCTTCAAGAATAGTCTGGAAACACCGTACGTGCTCTGATGTTAGAACAGAATGAGGGCAGCCGACGTGAAACCTAGGTTTAAAAAGAGTCTGAGAGCAACATGGAAAGGCAAGACCTGAGCTTGTAAATTCAGTGTTTCAAAGTTTCATAGATTCCAAATTTTCCATAATATAAATATTTGTTACATTTATATTTAGAAAACCTGTTATAAAATGTCACTGAGTGAAGGCCCTCTAATCTTTTTGCCCTGCTCACCCCTCTAGTGGTAGCCAGGCCCCTGCCCTAGAGCTGAACCTCGGTGAGGCTGAACTTTCCTGCATTGTGTTGGCTCCCAGCTGAGCCACATGTAGTTGGTAGCTGATTTTTCGGTCAGGTTGGTCTATTTGGGGGAAAGCGGTTTCCGTAGTTGCTGGGTCTACCCTCCAGGTTCCCTTGTTCAGCTCAGCAAAGTTCCTCATTTCCTGCCACTGCACTGTCAGCCCGGCTGTCCTCTGCCCCATGGCATTTACATTCTTCCAACCAGAAACTACAAACAGCAACAGCAAGAAGCTGCTTTGCACAATGACTGAAAAGCCACGAGGGTCTCCCCGCCAAGACGAGCAGGCTGGTGGGGCCAGCCCTGGAGTGGTCAGGCGGCAGGGCCAGCGCGGGGTGTCCAGGTGGAAGTGCGGCAGCCTCTGGGAGATGGGAGCTGCTGGGGGTGCGCTGGGGCGGATGACCACACCACGAGGCTCTGTGCACTGGCAGGCCCAGTCCCCGTCACATGCGGGTCCAAGACACTCCACGGCAGCATTCCTGCTTTGACAACACGTTTCCCACTTGGAGTGAAATCAGTCCGTGAAAATCTCTGCCTGGGACTGCCTGCTCTCTGCCCAAGTGCAGCAGCCGCAGAACAAGCCCGATTCTCCGAGCCCCGTCAGCCGTCCATGTGAATCCTTTCGAACATGAAAAGGAGGCGCGCTGGCCTCTGGCTTGTGTCTTGAGCCTTTGAATGAGCAATTCCCCTGCCAAGAACGTGTTCTGAATGGCTGTTTTGTGTGGTGGGGGATAGTTCTTTGCAGATTCAGAATCTAGATGACTACTAACGAGCGTGAAGCGCCTGGTGGTTTTGGAAGTAAGCCTTCCCAGACTTCAGAACCCACGTGAGTCCCCCGACTACAAAGAGCATATTTTAGCTGCTGAGTGAGGGAGCAGCCAGTGGAATCCCATGGCCGTGTGTTAGTCTGGGCTTCCCTGAAAACAGGGAAGGGAGACTTGGATGCAAGTGGTTTAGTTGGGAGGAGACGCCAGGTGAGGCTTGTGACCTGGGAGAGAGAGCAGGGAGGAGAGCTGAGTGGGAGGTCAGTGAGCAGAGTCCTGGTGTGGTCATTGGGACTCAGCCCCAGGATCCTCTGAGGAACTGTTGTTCCCCCAAGGGACTCTAAAGCAGGCTGCATGCTTCATTGGCTCTGGCGTTAAGTCCCTGGTACTTCTGGGCTGCCCTACGGAGGGCTAAGCAGTTCCTTTGGCCAGAGAAAGCCCCCAGGCAGGGAGCAGAGAATGCAATACGTAGCATTCCAACTGGTTCCTGGATGCAAACTCGATCCCCCATTGCATCAAGCTGGTGTGCCACAGAGCACCTGCCACGTGTCGGGCAGGGTCCCAGGGACCAGGAATGTCAGGGAGCAGGAGACCGAGCAAGCATGTTTCTTGGCGCTTCCATCCAGAATATAGTAAATATGAAAATCTCATAGTATACAACATGGTAATGAGAGCTACAGAAAAAAGGAAGAGCGAGGGTGGGTGAGGCAGGGGTACTGTGGGGGAGGGGGGACCAAGGGGACACTGAGAAGTGGACATTTGAGCCAAGACTTGAAGGTTCCATTTGAGGGCCATTTGGGCAGTGGCTGTTGGCCACGAGAACCATCACCAATGTGGCATCTCCTGGGCTGTGCAGGGTCACCTGGTGCCATCGCAGGACCTGCTGGTCACATCAGAGCTTCCTGCTGCAAGTGGGGCCGGGAGCCTGGGCCTCTGATGCCCACATGGACCCATCCAGGACTTGGCCCACCCACTGAGCAAACCCAGGCATCTCTTCCTGGTTTCAACGAGTCATGCACCCACCTCGAAGACTCCTCCCTCTTTTGTCCTCTCGCGGAGCCCAGTCACAAGAGAGTTCAAAGAAATCGGCAGGTCAGTCAGTGGGTGGGCAGGTAGAGACTCTCAAGATTAATCAGAGAAATCGCCCACTGAATGGGTGCTCTTAGGTCTGTGCCAAGGGCTTCTGTAACAAACTGCCCTGACCTGGGGTCTTAAACAACAGAAATGCATTTCCTCACAGTCCTGGAGACCAGCCAGTCCAAAGCCAAGGTGTCCACAGGGCCACGCTCTTCCCACAGCCTCTAGGAGAGAACTGGTTCCTTGCTTCTCATCCAGTTTCTGGAGATGCTGCCACCCTTGTGGTCCTAGGCTTGGCGACATGTCCACCCTCGTGGTCCTAGGCTTGGTGACGTGTCCACCCTCATGGTCCTAGGCTTAGGTATGTGTTGCTCCACCCTGCGCCTCTGTCTTCACGTCACCTTCCCTTCTCTGCATCTGTCTCCTTCTCTTTATGAAGCCTCCTGTCATTGGATTTAGAGCCCACCCTAATCCAGGAAGATCTCATCTCAAGATTCTTAATTGCATCTGCAAAGACCCTTTTTCCGAACAAGATCCCGTTCACAGGCTCTGGGCGGGCATATCTTTTAGAGGCCACCATTCAACCCACTACAGCCTGCATGGGAGACTGAGAAATGACAGGCTTTTGGGGACAATTTACACTTTTAAGCCACATATTATAGTACCAGCTTTCCTGCCGCAGGTGGGGCTGGGAGTCTGGGTCTCTCATGCCCACATGGGGCCCAGCCAGAACTTGGCCTACTGAACAAACTACAAAAATCTCTCTTCTTGTTTCAATGGATAATGCACCTCCCTTGAAGATCCATCCTTTATTTGTCCTTCAGTGGCACCCCATGGCAATTGTTCTGAAGTATTTACTGACAAAATATCCCTGCCTGTTGGTTCATCTTCCAGCTTGTCTCCATAAGTGACAATGATTTGGGTGAGCCAGGGTGGATTTCTGCAGGCTCCTGGACTCAAGCCTTCCTGAACTCATCCCCTCACTCTCTCTCCCAATCTCAGCCTGTGCATTTAGGTCCTGCCCTGGAATATGGTAAGATGGAAGACTTTCATAATTTCCGATGCACTGCACTGAATCTGGGATTTGTAGCCTATACTAGCATCCTTTCTTTAATTTAAACGATTAGCGTTTCAAATGTAACCAGGAACTGGGCACCACGAGATAACCCCTGACTATGACTACTCAGCCCCTTGGAGTTTCCCTTAAGGGGGGAATGGGGTGTAGCAGCAGAGCCCTGGGATTGGAGGCCTCTCCTGGTCAAGTGTAGTGAGGGTCAGAGGTCATGTGCCAGGTGTGCACTATGGAGGGACAGAGGCATCAAGAGGCATTCATGTCCCCATCCTTTGGTCGTGGGGGCGGGGGGTGGGTGGTGTCCTGCCCCAGGGTCCTTTTGTGTAGGGACAAGGCATGTAGCTGTCACACAACGGTAACAGAAGAGTGGATGACTGGCCAGGCTACCCCCAGGCAGCCACTGTCTGAAGTTTTCTATCCTAGAGCTTTGAAAACCCAAATTCCTCATGCCAAGCTCAGCTTCAGTGATTTAGGAGGCAGAAGGCAGACTGTACCCCAGTCTGCATATGTGCTGTTTAGGGCTCATTTAGGACCCCCAGGAAGTGCTTCTTCAGTGAGAGGATTCTAAATAGCTCTTACGTTGGTAAAACTTTTACAGTAAATACTGTCATTAGCATCCTAAGAATAGTCTACTGTCTGGAGTAAAAGTCCCCAAACCAACAGCCCACATGCCAGTACTGACTTTTGGCCAGGGGCCATGTAGGTTTTAGTTCTGCAGACCCTTCTCAGGGCCACCACAGGGAGGGCAGGCTGGCTTCCCACACCTGGCAGCTTCACCTGGAGGATAGGGTGCCAAGTCCCCACCCATAGGCCTATGCTGTCCAGCAGGGACGCCTCTTCCTAACCCGTTCACAGGCCGTTTTGCCTGGCAGTGGGCGCTGCCAAGCTCTACCTCTATACTCCCCCCTTACTGGAAGCACAGGGCAATCGGGGAAGCCCTCTAAGATCCAGCAGGTGACCCTGGGCCCTGTTTTGGGGTCTGGGCTGGGCTGGACTACAGGGTCACCAAGGAAACCAGGAGCAGCCCTTGCCTCAGCTCAGCTTTGTCCTGAAGAAGGGCCTGCCCTAGCACCTGGGGGAGGTGGCAGCTGCATCATCCCAGAGGGGAGGGCAGGAGTGGGTGACCCTGAGCTCCCTGGGGGGCTGGGAGAGGACTGGAATAAGCAGTTCTGGATGGAGACCCGCCAGGCCCGCTCACTGTGTCAGCTGAATTTGCAGGTAGATGGACACCTCTGTGTGGCCAGAGGCCCTGACCGCTGAGCCTGGCCCAGGTCCTCACAGATGCTCCGTTTGAGCACGGGGGTATAGAGCGGGGAGGCTTGTTTTGCAGACTGGACCAGGCAAGGAGGCAAAGGTTGGCTTCTGCAGGTCTCAGTGGCTGGCTCAGACCCCGAGGAATCTGCTGGTTTGTCACTGGGCCCTGCACTACACTACCCAACCCCCGGGGTGTCAGAGGCAGGCTGGGGGTCTGTGTGCTGATCCACTTCTAGTGGTCTACACCAGTGTTCCAACTGCTTCTTCTTCTCCTGCTTGTGAGATGGGCAGTTGATATCGTGAGGTCAAGAAGCAGGACCGCTAGCCCCAGTGGCGGCATTGGTGATGGCAGGGGCAGGGATTTTTAACTTCTGTGCACCTGGGTTTTCTCATCTGTAAAAAATAGAGATGACAATTTCTGCTTTACCCACTGTATCTATGTCAAACATGCAATAAAACTGTGTGTTAATGTGTTATAGAAATGAGGAGGTGCTATGAAAGCGCACTCTAGTTAGAGACCAAGCCTGGATGGAACTCAGGCTTTTCAACGGTGAAATGGGAAAAGTCTTTTTGTTATTTAATTCTTTGATGATGGAATAGGATAATTTGTGTGATGGCAGCTAATATATTGAAGGTGCTTCTGCAATATCAATATAATAATAATTTTAAAAAGTGTTGCATCTCCAAGATAATGTTTTGGCTTGTAAAATTTTGACTATTATATACGTATAAGAAAAAACACAAAATAGAGATTTAAGCAAAAATGAAATATTGTATTATTCACAGATAATCTATAATGTTTTGTTGTAGATCTTTTCAGATTTTTTCATATATGTGACTATAATTATTTTTTACAAAAATTGGATCAACACATATTTTCATATCATTTTTATTTTTTTGCTTTTATTTTTATTTTCTTTGAGACGGAGTTTTGCTCTTGTTGCCCAGGCTGGAGTGCAATGGTGCGCCAGGCTGGAGTGCAATGGTGCGATCTTGGCTCACCGCAACCTCCCTCTCCCGGGTACCAGCGATTCTCCTGCCTCAGCCTCCCGAGTAGCTGGGATTATGGGCATGCGCCACTATCCTGGCTAATTTTTGTATTTTTAGTAGAGACGGGGTTTCTTCATGTTGGTCAGGCTGGTCTTGAACTCCTGACCTCAGGCGATCCACCCGCCTCAGCCTCCCAAAGTGCTGGGATTACAGGCGTGAGCCACTGCGCCTGGCCTCATATCATTTTTAATGCTTGCCCAGAATTCTAATTCTTTCTTATTGCATATTTAGGTTGTTAAAAATTTTTTTTAAATAATAATATGGATAAGAACCTGCTTGTAGCTAGGACTCTGTAATTGAAAATCAATCAGGTAAAATAATAAACTAGAAGTAGAGCAGCCCAGACACGATGGCGAAACCCCATTTCTCCAAAAAATACAAAAAGGTTAGCTGAGCGTGGTGGTGTGTGCCCGTGGTCTTAGCTGCTCGGGAGGCTGAGGTGGGAGGATTGCTGGAGTTCAGGAGGTTAAGGTTGAAGTGAGCTGATATGGTGCCACTACACTCCCGCCTGGGCAACAAAGCCAGACCTTGTCTCAAAAAAAAAAAAAAGAAGTAGAAACGTTAGGTCAAATGATGTGCATTTTTTCCGGTTGTGATAAAATACACATAACAAAAATTTACCATCTTAACCATTTTCAAGTGCACAGGTCAGTGGCATTAACTATGAATACAGTCACATTGTTGCACTACCCTTATCGCACTCCACCATTCCTCCACAGAGGAGAGCTGGCTTGCTTCTAGAATGCTCATCAAATGCCTGGCACTTTGCCAGGGTTTCACATCTCTTTGCATTTTGGACAGCAGAGATTCTGTCCCCATTAAACACTAACTTCCCATTCCCTCTCCCCCACAGCCTCTGGCAACCACCATCCTAATTTTTGTCTCTATAGATTTGACTCTTCTAGATATCTCATATAAGTGGAATCATATAGTATTTATTTTTCTGTGACTTACTTCACTTGGCATAATTTCTTCAAGTTTAATCATGTTGTAGCATGGGTCAGAATTCTTCTCCTTTTTAAGGCTGCATACTATTCCACTTGGGTGGCGTCTACCTTTTGGCTGTTGTGAATAGTGCTACTATGACCATGGATGTACAAATATCTCCTCGAGACCCTGCTTTCTATTGTTTTCGTACATATCCAGAAGTGAAATTGCTGCATCATCTGGTAACTGTACGTTTAATTTTTTGAGGGACTGCCATACTGTTTTCCACAGCAGCAGGACCATTTCGCATTCCCACCAACAGTGCACGAGGGCTCCAGTTTCTCCCCATCATTGCCACCACTTGTTATTTTCTGTTGGGTTTTTTTTTTTTTTTTTGATAGTAGTCATCTTAATGACTGTGAAGTGGGATGTACATATTTTTAAGGCTTTGAAATCAATTGCTGAACTGTACAGTAGAAAGGTAATACTTGGCACTTTTACCAACAATGGATAGAGCACTATTTCCACCGTCCCTATGAACGCAGAGTACCCCTGCCAGTTTTTTGATGAGTATTTGAAAGAGGAAGCGTGCACGTGGTGTGGTAAACCCAGAGGACTGTGCCTACCTGCCCAAGAGGAAGACCTGGGTTTTCTCTGGCTGAGACCACCAGCTGACTGGCCCTCTCAAGTTTTAAAATCCTGCGTTTAGATCAACTCTGAAGCTCAGCTTCACGCATTACCTGATGTGGCCGATATAAAAAGAGAAGAATATCAGATATAAAGAAACCGTATATTTACATACAATTAGAAGCAAATATTTAATGCAAGCAAATGTTTTATAGGAGGTGAGAGAAACTCCTGTAAGGACCAGAAAAATAAGCTGAGCACTCCCAGGAAACAAACCTGTGTCTCAAAATTTGGTGTTAGCCTTTGATGGGAAAGAAAATGAATCAGTTTCTGCTTTTCCTTTGTTTCATTTCTATTTTTTTTTTTTTTTTTTTTGAGATGGAGTCTCACTCTGTCACCCAGGCTGGAGTGCAGTGGTGTGATCTTGGCTCACTGCAATTTCTGCTTCCCAGGTTCAAGTGATTCTCCAACCTCAGCCTCCTGAGTAGCTGGGATTACAGGCATGCACCACCATGCCTAGCTAATTTTTGTATTTTTAATAAAGATGAGGTTTCGCCGTGTTGGCCAGGCTGGTCTCAAACTCCTGACCTCAGGTAATCCATCCGCCTCATCCTCCCAGTGCTGGGATTACAGGCGTGAGCCACCACGCCCGGCCCTTTGTTTCATTTTCGAATTTGAATTATGATTGTAGGGCTCTGATTCCCCAAACCTTCACAACTTAAAACCAAGTGCCCATCTCACGTACCCCTCCTCCCCCAGCAGCCGGGGCCTCCCTCCCTCCTGGCCACACTCTGTGGCACGACCCTCTGAGCGTGGTCTTCCCTGTTAGTGGGGCAAGCCCTGGAGGCAGGGTCTGTGTCTTGCTCTCCAGGAATGGCCTGAATCTCCTCAAGTCCTAGCCCAAAACGTGATTCACAATCTTGGCTTAAGGTAATCCTAATGCTTCTAGAATGTTCTTCAAATGCCTGGCACTTTCCCACCTAAATTATCCCATTCCATCCTTTCAGCCAGCTTATCAGGTGAGCACTACTATTCCTCCTATTTTATAGATGAGGACGCTGAAGCGCAGAGAGGATAAGAAACTTGCTCAGTGACACACAGCTGGTGAGGGGGATCTGGGTTTGAATTCACACCTTCGGGCTCTAGTGTCAGTGTTCTGAACGTACACCCAGCAGTGCCTCTGACATGATGAACGGATGAGACGTTCAGTGAGGAGGGAGAGCAGGCACCAAAAGCCTGTATCGGCTATAACCAAGTAAGAGCAGCCTTGCTAAGTAGCAGTCGGTCTAGAAATCAGTTCTATTCGAAGACTCCTAATTGGGCTTTTCTGGGTGATGATAACCTTCTTGGTAAAACTGAACCCCAAGTTCTTTGGCCTGGTTGCCATTCCCTGGCTAGCACCACGTATTTACGCCTTTGTGCCTTTTCACATGCCTCGGCTTCTCCTTGGAAATCCTGTTCATATCACCCTTTTCTTCTGCAACTGAAACTTGCTATTTGTCATTCTGGGCTTAGCTCTGATTTCACCAGTTCTGTGGCTCCATTCTTAGCCATCGCATCCCTTCTCCTCTCCTTGGTCTCTCAGTCACGTCTCCTACCTCAGTTGAAATTCTTCCCACTAGTCTTGAGCGTAAATTAGTTCAACCATTGTGAAAGACAGTGGGGCAATTCCTCAAGGATCTAGAACCAGAAATACCATTTGACCCAGCCATCCCATTACTGGGTATATACCCAAAGGATTTCCGATAAATCATTCTACTATAAAGACACATGCACACCTATGTTTATTGCAGCACTATTTACAATAGCAAAGACTTGGAACCAACCCAAGTGCCCATCAGTGATAGACTGGATAAAGTCTACCCCTCTTCCAGAAAGTTTGTGAATAACCCACCCCTTATTTAGCATATAATTAAGAGTGGGTATAAATAGAGCCAGCCAGCAACCCACAAGTGCTACTCTGGGCCCCTCTGCCTGTGGGATAGCCCTGCTCTGCCAATGAAGCAGCCATCTTGCTGTTCACTACGCTATATAAACTTGCTTTCTTTCACTGTTGGCTTGCTCTTGAATTCTTCCCTGAATGAAGCCAAGAACCAACTCAGGCTGAGCCCCCGTTTTTGGGTTTGCCTGCATCACCTGCAGTGGAGATGGTTGGTTGTTTACCAAAATCATTTCTCCCTTCTCTCTGGACATACTGCTGGACTACATTTCCCATCCAACATGACAGGTGGGCACGGCCTGACGACTGGATTGTCCAACAAAACACAGAAAGTGTAGACAAGAGAACAGCAGAAAGTGACGCCTGCAGCCACAGAGATGTGCTCCCAGTCTCCCTCTTTTCTGACTGCTGGGGGTGCACACCACAGCGAGGCCCAAGGGCTGTGATGGAGGCCTAGGATGGAAGGTGGCTGGTCCCTGAATTACTTCTAGGAGAGGCACCATCTGCTGAGCAGGAACCCCTGCCTGGGACAGTTGCAAGAACAAGAAATCAGCTCCTTTTGTGCCAGAACCAGTATGCATGTTGAGGTCCAATCCTACAGTTAGTGATGTGGTAACAGAAATGAGCTTTGTGCTTCCATGCCCTGGGCAACTGCAGGCAGCTGAGGCCCCCATCTGCAGGTGGTCTCTGCAGGCAGAGGGTTTCTGGTGAAGGGCCCTATGGGGTTTCTGATGAGGGCCCCACAGAAACCAGAATCTCTTCCCTGCTGCTTATTTCAAATTCTGCTCGGTTGTCCCTTCCAGGCCAGGCGGGTAATCTTGCTTGTGGCCACACTCCTCTTCCTGGGACCTGAGCCTGCCCTCCTGCTCCTGAGTAGTTCATTGTGATGCTGTCTGCTGTGGCTGTGGAGTGCTACGCGCTGGCCAGCCTGAGGGCGACCTGTACCGCCTTGGCCAAACCCTTTACCCCACTGAGAGATACCTCCCTCATCTGCAGCGAGAGTCCCTACCTTGTAGGGCAGTGTGAAGGATGTCCTGAGATGGTCAGGACTTAGCACCCTGTAAGCACAAGAGCTGTTCTTGGTGGCGTTATGATCACACCCACAGATAGGGCCTCAGGCAGGCCTCAGTGTCCTCCTGGCTGGCCACGTGCTACGGATGTCCCCATGCACTTGATGTGTCAGCAGCAGAAGGACCTTCAGGAGGAGGCAACGATGGGATGAGACGAGGCTCAAAGGAGGATGTTGCCGCGCAGAGACGTTTCGGGAATATGAGGCAGGTCACCACCTATGATTCTTGTGGTAGTGGAGGAATGGTGGCGGCTGTCATTGTGACACCCACTTTAGAGACAGGAAACTGAGCTTCAGAGAGGGGGAGTCCAGGCCCCACAGCACACAGCCAGGAAAGGGCCGGGCAGAAGGGGCTTTGGGTTTTAACCTAACTCACCCCGACTGCCTGCTTCTTCACCCAGCCATCATGGAACGTCTCTGTGCCTCTTCCCTGCTCTCGTGGAGGCCTGGGTCAGGCAGCTGCCCAGAGGCAGACGTGCACTGTGACCCTAGAAGACTGTTCCAGACAGGCCAGCCCAGGCAGAGACAAAACAGGGACCTGCTCCTCATTGGTGTCACGACCAAATGCAGGGGATTTGCTAAGGGAGGCGCAGCCATGAATTGGGAGCCAGCTTCGTGCTCTGCCACTCCTTCTTGCTAATCCCTCGAAAATCCAATCAGAGCTGTTTCCCTCCATGAAACCAACTGGACACAGCACATACTGGCCGGACCTCTGCCAGCATGGAGTGGATCTTTTTTCTGTTTAAAGAACCAGGTTTCAAATGTTCTTAATAAAACGTTTATATATATCATGCAGGGTGCAAATAAATATTTTAATATAATTGGAAGAATGTAGAGAATTGTAAAAAGTTATGGAAGTTTTACTTCTGATTGGCCAAGACTCAATAAACTCTGGTTTGATGTACTCTAATTTATAGGCGTGCAAAGCCAACTCTTTGGCATCAGAGAGGCCGTTAACGTTGTAATGATGTTTAAACGCTGACAAATGAGCTGCTTGGGCGGCACCTTCAGCCCTGAGAATGGAACTGTTGGAGCTGGAGGACTTGCCTGTCCCCAGCTTTCTCCCTTCCTCCCGTGCTGGTGGAGCAGGTTAAGGGCAGGAGGACTGTTCATTGGGGCGACTGCTCCCCATCGGTTGAGGGGAGGGCACAAAGGGGACCCATGGCTTCTTTTTCACTGTTGTCCCTAATTATGGTCTTTCTCATTAAAATAACAAGGACCATTTCTGCTAGAAACGCTGACACATGTTTTTACTTTTCTGGGCCGATGGAAACCACATGTAGAATCCATTCCTTCCTTTTTTCCCTCCAAAATGCAAATGGAAGAGCTGGTCCAGGGGGTCCCCGGTTGCCCAGCCCTGAACAGAGGCTTGGGGAAGCCCCCTACTCCCACGCCAAGACGTGACTTGCGCTTCTCTGGGCACTTTGTGCCAGCCCTACCAGGGAGTGCTGCCCCGCTCCCCAGGTCTCCCTCTGCTTGCTGGCACTGGGCACTCCCAGCAGGCATAACCCGAGCAGAGCTGAGTGGTTATTTATAAACTCTCTTGAATGCCAAAGCGCCAGGAACAATCCATTCCCCCCGTTTGCAGGAACATACTTTCAGCATAACTCATCACTTTGAAGATGGGTCCAAACTTTTGTTCACATTTATTGACAGGAAGTTGTTTTTCAAAGCTCAAGTCAGCAGGCAGGCCCCGGGCCAAGAGGCTCCGCCACCTCAAGCTGGCGCGGCTCTGAGGGCCCATAAATTGTGTTAGCCTCCCACCCACCCCTCTCTCTCCCTTTTTCCGCTAGAATTTGCCCAGAGGTTGAACATTACGTTTTCCCTTTGTAAAGTTTCTTCTTAAACTTTTTCTTTCTTTCTTTTTTTTTTTTTTAAGAGAAAATCACCTATTGGAAGTGTTAAGAGGTTCTTTTCCTCTCTGAAATTCTAACCCTTTATGGTGCTCTTGAACTTCCTCTTTCCCGCATAAGCCACTCTGAGCCCTCCTTACTGCATGAAATTTCTCGGCCAAGGGTCCTCCTTCTCATCCCCCTACTTGAGCCTTGAAGCAAGAATGTCCTCCCGGGCTCTAAGAGCTCTGCCTCTCCCCAGGCCTCTCTCCCCTCAACTGGGAATCAGGAATCCTAGGGCAGGTTGTCCCAAGGCCTGGAGGGGCCATCAGGCAGGAGGACTCAGTGATGTGGGGTCTCCTGTGGCTTCTTAGCTCTCTACTCACCCCACACATTTACCCTTTGGGGCTGACCTGGGTGTCCATGACTTATAGATCTAATCCTCCCCCAACATCCCACTAATGTTCCCAAATTGTCCCGCCCCCAGTGGGACCCCTCCATTCCCCTTTAAATAGACTCTTCTCCCTACAGCCCTGAGCTCTTCCAGTTACCCCAACCAGGGACCTGGGGGTCATCCCAGACCTCTCCCAGATTCCTGCCCCTGGTTGGGCACTGAGTCCTAAGTGTTTCTGTACCAAATTTGTCTTCCTACCCCTTCACCACTGCCTGGTTTCAGGCCCTGCTCCATTTTCGGGGTCACTCCCAGACCTCGGCAGGCCAACTTCTCTGTGTCCCAGATGCCTTTTCTGTAAATCGGGGCAATGTCAGTGCCCACCCCACTGCGTGGTGGCAAGCATTTCATGGGCTCATGTTTGCAAAGCACGCAGGATGGCTCTGGGCATCTTAAGTGCCACAGGTTGTTCTCCTGCTGCCGCTTTTCTTGGGTCTCTGGGTCACCCTGTCACTCTGAGTCAGTCCATTCCTTATGCAGCCACCGAGAGGACCTTGAAACAATGCACAGCACATTCTGCCATGCCTGTGCTTGAACCCTGTGCCCGCTCTCAGTTCCCCGTGGGATCCCCCATCCCTGGCTCTGCCTGTCTGCCTCCTGTGCCCCGCTGTGTCCAGGGGCTCTGGCCTTTGGAGTTGGCCTTGTTCCTTTCTGTTTCTCCCCTGGTCATTCCCTCCCTCTCCTTCCCTGTGAGCCCCTCTGGAAGGTGTTCCTGACCCTCCACTGTCCCTTCTACCCTGTCCTGGCTCAGAGGCCCTTGCCTACCCCCACACAGGCGTGCCGTGTACTCTGCCACGAAAGCTGCAATTCTTTCTCACGATCTCTGTGTTTTCCTGCGTTTGGAGACAGGGTCTGTGCCTCAGGGATCTCTGGGCCCACGGTGCCCAGCACAGATTATGGGCATAGTAAATAAATGCTCATCTAAAACGTGTGAATGACAAAGACCAGGAGACAGACCATGGCGCATGCGTGAGTTAGGAATTTCCCCCATGACGTCACCTCTTTGACTATTCTGATTTTGTCTAGTGATGGGTCAATCCATTTTTTGGTTTTTAACCTTGACAAGAGCCCAAATACCAAAATGAACTGTCTCTGTGTACTGATATCATGTGAAACTTTTCAAACCCAGGAAGCATTGGAAGCTCACACTTTTAGTGGGACCAGGGAGGAGAAGGGAGAGAGGGACATGAGGGAAAAAGGTGAATGGGTCCATTTTGTCTTGGAAGAAATAGGAAACGCAGCAGTCCGTGGAGGAGCCTCAGGGGCCCAGGTGTGGAAGAGAGTGCATGAGGCTTGGATCTGCAGGGGTGCTGCCCCGCGTGGGTCTGCCCGGGAGTCCTGAAGTCCTTGCTGCTGGAGAAGAGGGGTTGTTCTGGAGCTAATGGCATTGGAGCAGTGAGGTCAGATTGCAGGGACTAGGCACAGCCAGTGCTGGGAGGGCTTTGCCCTTCCCGCGGCTTTGTGCATTTGTTTTCAAATACAAGTAATAAGACTCTGGGCTGTTTGGAGCCCTCACTGGAGCCCCTCAGACCAGGAAAGGAAGAGCTGCCGGAGGCAACGGATACTAACCCAAGCTAGTTGATGCCTAACTAAACACCTGCATCTTGGTTTGTTTGTGTGGGAAGTGATGGTTGGACCAGGTGGTCTCTGGCACCTTGTGGGGGTGCCTCACCAGCTGCAGGGCAGGGCTCCAGGCTGGCAGAGCCTGCAGATGTCCCCACCAATGCTGTAGCGATGGGCTGCCACGGATGCTGGGGCAGCAGCCACGATGAGAGCCTGGGGGTTGGCCTCCTTGGGGTAGCCTGGTAGCTGCCAGCCCTGAGTGGCAAGAAGGTGCAGTGGGCTGGCCCTGCACCCCACTGCTCTCCTGTCCCCCACATGCCTCCTGCTGGGGGTCTCGAGGCTCAGCAGCGGCACTGACGGCCTCCGCAGGACCCCCTCCTGCCTTCTCACACTGGGGGCTTCTCCACTCCTCTTTTCCTGGTGCGTAGCGTCCTGCTCTCTGGTCCCTTTCATCGCCTTGGGGGGTGTTCCCTCCACATTCTCAGGTGGAAGTGTTTAAGGCCAGTCCCACAGCCACCCCTCTGGATCTCCTCCACCCCAGCGCGGTGCCCCCTGCAAATGGGGCCCACATGTACAGCAAAGCAGGATGAGGCAGGCCCCGCCTGCCAAGAATGTGGCGCAGCCTCCTGGGCATGGGACATTGAAGGGAGCGATGCATGCAGGACAGCGTCCTCCTCTGCCTGGAGTCCATGGAGGAGACCTCCTCGGAGTGGGAGGCTCCGCAGGCCGCCAGATGCTGGGGAGGGCGCTGGGAAGCTGGGAGGAGGTGGCGGGACGTGGGTGGGGAGGGGCTCCCTGTTGGGGCGTCCCGTCCTGTCCCAGGGGCTGCGGGAGTGGTCCCACCATAGTGGTCTCACCTTGGCCCAAATAGAGGTGGTGTCACCCAGGCCTTGCTGGGGAACATGGAGCTTGGGGTCCCTGGGACACCGCGGAGGGTCCACGTTTCCCCGAGTCCATCGGCAGGTGTGGACACCGCCTTTTCCTTCCTCTCGCCTTCTGCTTGGCTGTCTCTTGAGATGACTTTAGAAATGTAACACCTTGAGAACACTGTATGTTCACTTCCCTTTGAGCCTCATGACGACCTCAGAGAATGAACGCTCCCCCCACGCTGGAGGCTCGGGTGGCTAAAGCCGTCCCCGGGTGGCGATACTGGGTGGGCCTGGCGCCCGCCTGGTCCCCTGTGTGGTTCCTGGCTTACTTCCCCTCCTCAGTGCCACGTCCATCTCACAGACTTTTTTTTTTTTTTTTTTTTTTTAAACTGGTAGTTCCAGATTTGGGGGCAGGAGGCAGTGATTTGGGTGTGAAAATCCGCTGAGCTGGGATTGAACATGATGGGGCTGGAGACTCTCAAATGGGACAGTGGCTCGTCCTAACTCAGAGCCCAGCCCACACCTGTCCCCAGCACCCAGCACCCAGCACCGTGCCCCCAGCGCTTACCCCATGGAGGGTGGGAAGACAGGTGAATTAGTGTAGGAAGGAATAAGGAGGAGTCCCGTTCAGTGGAGAGCAGGCTGTGCGCTACCCCACTGTGGAGAAGGGTTGCACAGGCACCTCCAGGGGTATGTTCTGGCCACTCCGTGCTGCAATCTTGGGGCTGCCTGCCCATCCCTAACATGTTAGACTCAGACTCACTGCTCTTGCATCGTGCCCCAGCCTCCAAGGAAAACCAGCCAGCAACCACAGCGCCGGTTCTAGGGACCCTCCTGGATCAGGCCCACGTGGTTACTGCCCCTCGGGCCTCAGATCAGTGGTTCTATCCCCAGCTCACCTGTCCCTACCCGCCCGTGGTCTGACTTCTGCTTCTGGGTTCTGCTCCTCCTTTGGGCCTCTGATCCTCCTTTGGGCCTTGCCCTGCAAGCTGCTTTGCTCTGGTTGGTCTCTGAGAGGAGCCCCTGCCCCTGGTCCAGTGCGGAAGGAGGAGGCTAGCAGCCAGCGCTTTCCCGCAGCTCACTTGCTGTCTGTGGGCCGACAGGAAGTTCTTCATGGGGAAAGCCAAGAAGCCAAGACTCACATAGCAAAGCCTCCGTTTGGAAGCCGGTGTTAGTCCTTTCTCCTTGAGGAGCAGTTTCAGTCAGTGCATCACTCCAAATGGGTTTGGTAACACTGAGCTTATGGTACAATGAAAATCACTCTTGCCAAGAGAGCAAATGCAGATGAAAGGCAGGGTGAGTCACACGGGCTCTCCATGTCCCTCTTGCTGCACCCCCAGCAGCCTTTGACACAGGAGCCAGCCACAGACAGTGCTGGACCCCAGCACGTTGCCCCAGACTATGCAATGTCCAATTTCTCCAGGCCTCACCTTCTAGGACCCACTTCCCGATGCCTGGACATCTCATTGTTCTTTTCTGGTTTACTTCCAAGCTCTGGGGAATCCACCCTTGGCTAGCATCACTCAGAAATTGCACAACTACCATTTTAAGACAAGATTTTAAGAGCTGTTTAATTTAACTTTTAATGTTGGTTAAGCTCCTATAGGTAGTGTCTGGGACAGTGTAGCAGCAGGAGAGCAAATTCTGGCACCTACCCTTATAAGAATTTATGAACAGTGTTTTCTGCTAAAAATAGTAAAGTTCTAGTTCTGCTGACTACATAACAATGACCAGGGCAAGCAACTTGCTTAATCGCCTCAGTCTCATATATTTTTTTTTCACTCGTCAGAGGTGGACACTCAACTTTCATAAGATAAGTGGCATGAAAATGCTCTTTGAGCTGTAAAAATATTGGCTGATTTACAAATGACTGTTTTGACGAAGGTATTGGAAAGAACTTTTATTAGAAGACAGTGAGTGCTTCCACAGGCACTAACCTCTCTGGTGTTTTGAAAATGCTCCAAAGGGCAAATTCTAGCACTGTGAAAGATTTGAGAGACGGCTACCTCGTTAGCTGTTCTATTTCCTCATTATTATTTTTGGCATCTCAGATGGCCACTGACAGGCATAAAGAGATTATTTCTCCCATATACCCATCTCTTTTTCAGGAATTAAAACTATAGAAAATCTCAGTGGCAAGACTGGGGCACAGGAGCCAGGGAATGGGATGAGAAATGTTCCTTGCAATGCCGGAAGCCCTTTCCCGAAGTCACACATTTTCATGAATAAACTAGGGATGAGTTAAGCTGGATGTTAGAGTTGGATTTATAATGTATGAAATAGTTTATTGTAAATGTTTATTTTAAACCTCAGTTTTCAGCAGTCTGATGAACCAGATAGCCTGAGAAACATCTTGATATAAAATGTCTAGGGATGTTGGCTAAAATACAGCAGTATAATAAACATTGCTCTTGAAAAGATAAGGGAAATCCCTTGTGGAGGCCCAAACCAAAGAGGAAACAGAAACCAGAAATATAAGATAACCGATGCTAGGGCTATGCTGGGGGAAGGCATGGGATGGCAAAGGTGGGAGTTGAGGTTACTTTGTATGTCTTTTTAACTAATGAATTTTTGGATTTTAATGGCCATGCAGAAATAGGAAATGAATCTTTGAGCCCATAAGAGGCTGGAAATTAGAACTGAGTTTCCTATACAAGAGTTGTCTTCTGCCTTTGAAGAATTACACTTCCAATGAAAAGGTGGACCAGAAGAACAATCCAGCCATTGGCACAGGGAAATAACAGAAAGCCTGTCAACCTTGGCCTGATTCTGAGTAGGAGAAAATGGTTGTCCTTGAGAATTTGTATGTAGTGGCTATCCTCAGGTGTATTTGGGGTGTGAATTTATACTATCTGAGTGACATGGAGCCCCCAATCTGAGCAATTTAGATAAAATTAACCCTGGAGCACCTGGCAGGAGAAAACACAAAATCTCTGTGGATGTACACAAAGCATTCCTACAGAAAAACTGCAATGAAGATGAGCTCACAATCCAAAAGTGCCAATCCAAGGGAGAAAAATAAACTCTGAGCAAGTTCAAAGATATAACAAACAGTGGGATTAAATTCCTAAGAGCTTCAGGCAACAATATTATCAAAATAAAGATTATGAGATAGAATTAAAGACACAATGGAAAATTAAAAAAAAAAGAGAAAACAGCAAGCTGCCACCAAGGGAAGACAAAAGACAGGGAAGATTTGAAAAGAACAGAAGGAAATATATAGGAATAAAAATATAGTGATTGAAATTTAACTAAGTCTTTAATGGTTAGGTTAAAAAGCAAATTAGACATAACTAAAAGGAGAATTAGTTAAGTGGAAAATCACTGTGAGCACATGGAAATAAAGAGACAATTTGGAAGCAAGATTAATAGATATGGAGAATAGGACAAGAAGGTCTAATAGAAGCACAATAGGAGTTATAGATGGAGAGAAAGGAGAGAATGAGAGTGAGTCAATATTGAAAGAGATGGTGACTGAGAATTTTCAAAATGGAGAACAGTTCTGAGCTCTCAGATTCAAGGAAAATGTAGTCCTAAATATTAGGGTAGACATAAGGAAATGCATCCCTGGATAGATTAGAGTAAGCTATGTAAGAATGCCAAGTACAAAGATAATACCTTAACAGTAGCCAGAAATGTAAGATGTCCTATGAAGGAATGACAATTAATTTGGCTGCCACTTCTCAATGATGACCAAAGGATAGTGGAATTATATCTTCAAAGTGTTGAGAGAAAATAGAATTTTCTACCTAACTAAACTGTCATACAAGAATTAGGGAGAAAGGATGAAAAACAAAGCATTAGGGAATTTATAACTAACAGAGTCCCAGCTAAAGAACTTCCAGGAATGCACTTTATCTGGAGAAAACTGAATCCAGAATGAAGAAGTGAACCGAAAGCAGAATGGTGAGCAAATAAATTAGTAAACATATGGATAAATTGGAACAGGATTGACAATGGATGACAACAATAATAGCAATGACATTTCACATGTATAAAAACACGTAGGACCTGAAATACTGGATTAAGTATCATGTAAGTTGGGAGGAGAGTGACCCAATCCCCTAGTAATATGTAACGTGGGAGGATAATAATCTAGAATTCCAAAATCATTGAATGATCCCATGAACAATTGAGTTAACTTGAGATCTTGGAATGCTGAGTACACATGTTAAAATTTTAATCATGACTGCTGGGAGTTGGGGAGCGTGATAAAAGTAGAATTTGTAATTTTCAAAACAGTAAAGGAAAAATGAGAAAAGAAACTCTTTAATCCTATTGAACAAGGCGGCAAATGTTTTCTGTAAATGGCCAGATAGTACATACTTTTGGCTTTGTGTGCCATATGGTCTCTATTGTATCTATTCAACTCTGCTATTGTAGTGCAAGAGAAACCATAGAGAAGATTTAAACAAATGAGCATGGTGGTGCACTCCAATTCAACTTAGTTTATAAAAATAGCAAATGAACTGGATTTGGCCTGAAGGGTGTAATTTGCCAATCCCTGCTATAGAAGATAGGAAAAGAAGTAAAAAGCTAGAAAGATAGAAAGCACAAATTAAGATGGCAGAAACAATTCCAAATAGGTTAGTTAACTACAAAAAATGTAAACAAATTGAGTTTTCTGAATAAAACCAGAGACTGATAGATTAAATAAAGAAAAAAATGACTTTATGCTTTTAGCAAGACCAATTCTTAAACAATATGGAAAACAGAAAGGTGTAAAGTAAAAGTGGAGAAATAGATGTGCCAGACAAAGATTGATGAAAAGAAAGGTTATTAACTATATTAAAACACAAAAAAGGCCTTAAAGTAAAAAAAGCATTAGTCAGGTCTAAAAGGATTATTTTAAAATGGTAAAAGAACTAGAATTCACTAGGAAAAATTTATAAACTTAGATACCCCTAAAAATATGGCCTCAAAATACATAAAACAAAATTTGACGGAATTACAAGGAGAGGTTTATAAGTCTACCCTTACAGTGTAACAAAGTAAGTGTATGGATTTTTAAAATACAAATTAAGAATTTATATCTAATGACATATAGAATGTTATACCTAAAAATTAATAATGCATATTCTTTTCAAGTACAAATGCAACAGTTATAATAATCACATATTAGGTCATAAAATACAATTCAACAAATATTAACAAAATGGGATCATGCAGGCCATGTTCTCTCTCCACTATATATTGTTCAAGTAAAAAAATTGAATGAAGTTATACATTTGGATGTTTTAAAGCATATTTGCAAATAAGTCATGATCCAAAGAAGAAATCATAATAAAAAAGACTATATTATAGGCTGAATGATAATAAAAATGCCATACATCCACACTTGTGGAATGCTGTTACAGTAATACGTAGAACAAAATTTATAGCCCTAAATGCATTCATTAGAAAAGAAAAAAGACTGGATACTATTAATCTAATAGAAATTAAAAGAACACAGGATAGGAGGCAGAACTAGCTTGCAGTTCCAGCTCCGATGGACAGAGCAGGGTGTGGAGACTTGGATCATCAACTTTTGCTCCAAAACGACTACTGCAGGAATATACCAGGAAAGCCAAGAGAGCCCACAGACCCTCTGAAGGAATCGGATTGCTCCTGCGGGATCTGGGAGACAGCCCACGTATTGTGAGTGTCTAAGCTGTGACAGTGGAAAAGTGGGATTATCTGTCCCTGAACACACACCCTCACTGGGGAAGCTGAAGGTCTAGATCAGGGGAGAAGGATTTAACCTTACTTGGAGCTGAGTCAACTTAGAGAGCCAAGTGAAATACAGGGGTAGAGGAAGCAGTGGGAAAAGCCCTGTGGGCTCTCTGGGGTCCCCAGGGAAGCCATTTCTTACTTTTCTCACAGGTGTCCTTGGGGAGGCTGCCAGAGGAACTGGGAAAAGACCACAGGGAGAAGGAAACCTCCAGCTGAACTTTGTAACAATTCCAACCAAATGTGAAGTCTCCTGGCCAGAACTCAGGGGAGGGCATAAATCAGATGTGCAGATGCGACAGGTGGGGAGGTGTGAAAATTCTACTTGCTTTCTCATATGGGAGGCTGGTACCCTGGGGCAAGTTCTCAGCCCTGCTGCTCATCGCCTGGAAACAAACTCAGTGCTGTTGGGGCTGAGGCACGGTGGGAGTGGGATAGGCCTTTTGGGTTGTGTGGGAGCTGGGTGAGGCCTGTAACTGCCACCTATCCCCCACTTCCCTGACAACCTTGATGACACAGCAGAGGCAGCCATAATCCTCCTGGGAACATAAGTCCGTTGACCTGGGAACAACACCCCCAACCCCGCAGCAGCAGCAGCAAGCCCTGCCCAAGGAGAGTCTGAACTTAGACACACCTAACCTTGCCCCCACCTGATGGTCCTTCTCTATCCACCCTGGTAGATGAAGACAGAGGGCATATTATTCTCTTGGGATTTCTAGGGCCCCACCCACAGCCTAATCCTCCCTATACTACCACAGCTGATGCTCTCTTGAAAGTGCTACCTCCTGGTAAGAGGCCAACCAGCACAAGAATAGTGCATTAAATAACTAAAACTAAGGACCCTCAGAGAGCCCATTTCACTCCCTTGCCACCTCCATCGGAGCAGGTGCTGGTGCTCATGGTTGAGAAAATTGAAGATGGTTCACATTGTCTGAGCAGACCACTCCCATTACCAGCCCAGAGCCTGGTAGCCCTGCTGGGTGGCTCAGATCCAGAAGAGAAATAGCAATCACTACGGTTTGGCTCTCAGGAAGCCACATCCCTAGGAAAAAGGGGAGAGTATTACATCATGGGAACACCCTGTGGGACAAAAGAATCTGAACAGCAGCTTTGAGCTCCAGATCTTCCCTATGACATAGCCTACCCAAATGAGAAGGAACCAGAAAAAACATTTCTGGTAATACAACAAAATAAGAGTCTTTAACACCCCCCAAAAAATCACACTAGCTCACCAGCGATAGATCCAAACCAAGAAGAAATTCCTGATTTACCTGAAAGAGAATTCTGAAGGTTGATTATTAAGCTAATCAAGGAGGCACCAGAGAAAGGTGAAATCCAATTTAAAGAAATAAAAAAAAATGATACAAGATATGAGGGGAGAAATCTCCAGTGAAATAGATAACATAAATTTTAAAAAAATCACAACTTCAGGAAATAAAGGACACACTTAGAGAAAAGCAAAGTGTACTGGAAAGTCTCAGCAATAGAATCAAAGAAGCAGAAGAACTTCAGAGCGTAAAGACAAGGTTTTCGAATTAACCCAATCCAACAAAGACAAAGAAAAAAGAATTGGAAAAAATCAGCAAAGCCTCCAAGAAGTTTGGGAATATGGTAAACAATAAAACCTAAGAATAATTGGTGTGTTCCTGAGGAAGAAGAGAAAGCTAAAAGTGTGGAAAACATATTGGGGGAATAATCGAGAAAAACATCCTTGCCCTTGCTAGAGACCTAGACATCCAAACACAAGAAGCTCAAAGAACACCAGGGAAATTTATTGCAAAAAGATCATTGCCTAGGCACATTGTCATTAGGTTATCTAAAGTCAAGATGAAGGAGAGAATCTTAAGAGCTGTGAGGCAAAAAGCACCAGATAACTTATTTAAAAACTATGAGATGAATAGCAGATTTCTCAGCAGAAACCCTACAAGCTAGAAGGGATTGGGGCCCTATCTTCAGCCTCTTTAAACAAAACAATTATCAGCCAAGAATTTTGTATCCAGTGAAACTAAGCTTCATAAATGAAGGAAAGATACAGTATTTTTCAGACAAACAAATGCTGAGAGAATTTGCCACGACCAAGCCAGCACTACAAGAACTACTAAAAGAAGCTCTAAATCTTGAAACAAATCCTGGAAACACATCAAAACAGGACCTTTTTAAAGTATAAATCTCACATGACCTATAAAACAAAAGTATAATAAAATAACCCCAAGGTATATAGGCGAGAAATAACACAATGAATGGCATAGTACCTCGCATCTCAGTACTAACATTGAAGGTAAATGGCCTAAATGCTCCACTTAAAAGATAGAGAATTGCAGATTAAATAAGAAATCACCAACCAAGTATCTGCTGCTTTCAAGAGACTCACCTAACACATAAGGACTCACATAAACTTAAGGTAAACTGGTGGAAAAAGACATTCCATACAAATGCACACCAAAAGTGAGCAAGAATAGCTACTCCTGTATCAGACAAAACAAACGTTAAAGGAACAGTAGTTAAAAAAGACAAAAAGGGACATTAGATAATGATAAAAGTCCTTGTCCAACAGGAAAATATTACAATCCTAAATATATATGCACCTAACACTGGAGCTCCCAAATTTATAAAATAATTACTACTAGACCCAAGAAATCAGATAGACGGCAACATAATAATAGTGGGGGACTTCAATACTCCACTGACAGCACTAGACAGGTCATCAAGACAAAGTCAACAAAGAAACAATGGATTTAAACTATACCTTGGAACAAATGGATTTAACAGATATTTACAGAACATTCTACTCAACAACTGCAAAATGTACATTCTGTTCATCAGCACATGGAACATCCTCCAGGACAGACCATATCATAGGCCACAAAACAACTCTCAGTATATTTAAGGAAACTGAAATTATATCAAGTACTCTCTCAGACCACAGTGGAATAAAACTGAAAATCAACTCCGAAGGAACCTTCAAAACCATGCAAATACATGGAAATTAAGTAACCTGCTCCTGAATGATCACTGGGTCACCAATGAAATCAAGATGGAAATTAAAAAATTCTTTGAGCTGAATAATAGTGACACAACCTATCAAAACCTCTTGGACACAGCAAAGACGATACTAAGAGGAAAGTTCCTTAAATGCCTTAAATGCCTTCATTAAAAAGTCTGAAAGAGCACAAATAAACAATTTAAGGTCACGCCTCAAGGAACTAGAGGAACAAGAACAAACCAAACTTAAACTCAGCAGAAGAAAGGAAATAATCAAGATCAGAGCATAACTAAATGAAGTTGAAACAAACAAACAAAAAACAATACAGAAGATAAATGAAACAAAAAGCTGGTTCTTTGAAAAGATAAAATAAAATTGATAGACCATTAGCAAGATTAACCAAGAAAATAAGAGAGTAGATCCAAATAAGCTCAATTAGAAATGAAACGGTCAAGGCTTCTATGAACACCTTTATGCACATAAACTGGAAGCCTAGAGGAGGTGGATAAATTCCTGGAAAGGTACAACCCTCCCAGCTTAAATCAGGAAGAATTAGAAACCCTGAGCTTTCTAGTTCTAGAAATTCTAATTCTTGTCCTAGCCAGAGCATTCAGACAAGAGAAAGCCAGAGCATTCAGACAAGAGAAAGAAATAAAGGGCATCCAAATTGGTAAGGAGGAAGTCAAACTGTTGCTGTTTGTTGATGATATGACCGTATACCTAGAACACCCTAAAGTCTCCTCCACAAAGCTCTTAGAACTGATAAATGAATTCAGCAAAGTTTCAGGATACAAAATTAATGTATACAAATCAGGAGCTCTGCTATACACCAACAGCGACCAAGCTGAGAATGAAATCAAGGACTCAACCCCTCTTACAATAGCTGTTAAAAAATACTTAGGAATATACCTTACCAAGGAGGTGAAAGACCTCTACAAGGAAAACTACAAAACACTGCTGAAAGAAATCATAGATGACACAAACAAATGGAAACACATCAAATGCTTATGGATGGGTAGAATCAATATTGTGAAAATGACCATACTGCCAAAAGCAATCTATGATTTAATGCAATTTCCATCAAAATACCACCATCATTCTTCACAGAACTAGAAATAAAACAATTATAAAGTTCATATGGAACCAAAAAAGAGCCTGCATAGCCAAAGCAAGACTAAGCAAAAAAAACAAATCTGGAGGCATCACATTACCTGATTTCAAACTATACTCTAAGGCTATGGTCACCAAAACAGTATGGTACTAGTATTAAAAATAGACACATAGACCAATGGAACAGAATAGAGAACCCAGAAATAAACCCAAATGCTTACAGCCAACTGATCTTCAAAAAAGCAAACATAAAGTGGGGAAAGGACACTCTATTCAACAAATGGTGCTGGGATAATTGGCAAGCCACACGTAGAAGAATGAAACTGGATCCTCATCTTTCACTTTATACAAAAATTAACTCAAATGGATTAAGAACTTAAATTTAAGACCTGAAACTATAAAAATTCTAGAAGATAACGTCAGAAAACCTTTCTAGACATAGGCTTAGGCAAAGATTTCATGAGCAAGAATCCAAAAGCAAACACAACAAAAAGATAAATAGGTGGGACTTAATTAAACTAAAAACCTTTTTCACTGCAAAAGGAACCAGACGGCAGAGTAAACAAACAACCCACAGAGTGGGAGAAAATCTTTCCAATCTATACATCCAACAAAGGACTAATAGCCAGAATCTACAAGGAATGCAAACAAATTGGCAAGAAAAAAACAAACAATCCCATCAAAAATTGGGCTAAGGACATGGACAGACAATTCTCCAGAGAAGATATACAAATGGCCAACAAACATATGAAAAAATGCTCAGCATCACTAATGACCAGGGAAATGGAAATCATAACCACAATATGATACCACCTTACCCCCACAAGAATGGCCATAATAAAAAAAAAATAGATGTTGGTGTGGATGCAGTGAAAAGGAAACACTACTATACTGCTGGTGATAATGTAAACTAGTACAACCATTATAGAAAACAGTGTAGAGATTTCTTAAATAACTAAAAGTAGAACTACCATTTGATCCAGCAGCCCTACTACTGGGCATCTACCCAGAATAAAAGAAGCCATTATACAAAAAAGATGCATGCATATACATGTTTATAGCAGCACAATTTGCAATTGCAAAAATATGGAACCAGCCCAAATGCCCATTAATCAACAGGTGGATAAAGAAACTCTGATATATATGTATATATATGTGTGTGTGTGTATATATGTATATATATATGTACGTATGTGTGTGTGTGAGTGTGTGTATATATATATATATGTATGTATATATATATATATATATGTATGTATATATATATATATATATATATATACACCCACAATGGAATATTACTCAGCCGTAAAAAGAAATGAATTAATGGCATTCACAGCAACCTGGATGAGATTGGGGATGATTATTCTAAGTGAAGTAACCCAGGTATGGAAAACCAAACATCGTATGTTCTCACTCATCAGTGGGAGCTAAGCTATGAGGTTGCAAAGGCATAAGAATGTTACAATGGACTTTGGAGGGGGAGAAAGAGTGGGCAGGGGTTGAGGGATAAAAGGCTACAAATTGGGTTCAGTGTATGCTGCTTGGGTGATGGGTGCACCAAAATCTCACAAATCACCACTAAAGAACTTATGTAACCAAATACCACCTGTTCCCCAGAAACCTATGGAAATAAAAAATAAGAAAAAATAAATTAAAAGAAAACGTGGTAAACTCTAAAAATGGGAAGGAAAGAAATAGGTATGAGCAGAAATTAGTGAAATGTAAAACTAAGATACATGAGGAGAAGACCCATGCAACCAAGAGCTGATTCTGGAAAAGATTAGCAGTACAAACAATTTTCTGCCTACATTTTTCAATGACGAGAGAGGTAAGCAGTGAATAAACAAATGCAAAGACAGGAATTAAAAACAACAAAGACATAGGCATGTTTTTTAAAAAGATGCTACTTATGGATAACCATGAAAATGTATAACAAAATTGCCAATTTCCTAGAAAAATACAAATTGCCAAAACTGACTTAAGAGGAAGTAGAAAACCTGCATACACTCATTAACAAAATTGAATCAAATAGTTAAAAAGCTACTGGCAAAATTCCTTCCAGGCCCAGAGAGCTTAGAGATAGGTTCTACCAAATATTCAAGGAATAGATAATCTCAATTTATATAATCTGTTCCAGAGAATAGACAAAGAAAATATTTGCTGCTTCAACTGATATGCGTGTATACCTTGATGCCAAAATTAGACCAATGGTAAAATGAGAAGCTACAATTATTGGTAAAAGGCACTCATGAAAGTAAATGCAAAAGACTTATTATTAACCAATGGAGTCCAGCAATGTATATATAGAAAATACATCATGATAAAGTTATCAGTCACTTATCAAACTCAAGTTCTGTAGTCTTTCATAAAAAGCCCAATTTCAGTGGCACAATTCACCACAATGCCATGCTCATTCACTACCAGAACAATTGTCACTTGGTTCAGTTCAGCCTCACAGCTAGGTGACAAAAGGGAAAAACATCAGCAATTTGCCCTTAGTACACATTCACCAGACTGAAGAAGTCAAGGATCCCTTAGGGTCATGAAGGCGGGCATAAGAGCCTCACAGCCTGTGGCGTGAGATACACATTCATCCCAGTCTTCTGGTCTGTCCTTGGTCCAGCTCCTGCCTGTGCTCACCTGAATGTGTAAAGATCCCACCTGAACACACCTGAGCTCTTAAACTTCAACCTTACACATACTTCAGGTCATGTCAGGCTTCTGCTCTTGGTCTCCTGTTCCTATCTTCCTCAAAAAATTATTATTCTGTTTTTTTTTTCTGCTAGAGAATTAATGTTCATTTTGTTCATTGAAGAAATGTTGGAACATAAGGAAAAGAAAACCTCCCCTTGATCTTATCACAGAGAGACAACCACTAGTAACATATACTTACATATACCCATGTATAACATATAATATTATAAAATATATTCTATATTTATTCTTCATATAGTATAATACATAATATAATGTGTTCTGTTTATTCTTTCTGTTAAGGTAGAAAATATCTTTGCAGGCTGGGTGCAGTGGCTCACGCCTGTAATCCCAGCACTTTGGGAGGCCGAGGTGGGCGGATCATGAGGTCAGATCAAGACCATCCTAGCTGACATGGTGAAACCCCGTCTGTACTAAAAATACAAAAAATTAGCCAGGCGTGGTGGCGTGTGCCTTTAGTCCCAGCCACTCGGGAGGCTGAGGCAGGAGAATCGCTTGAACCTGGGAGGCAAAGGTTGCAGTGAGCCAAGATCACACCACTGCGCTCCAGCCTGGGTGGCAGAGCGAGACTCTGTCTCAAAAAAAGAAAAAAAAAAATATATATATATATATATATATGCGCATATCTAGGACCGTATATATACTATATATTTATACAAATTTAGAATTGTGCAAACATAGTTTTTCGACATTTTTCTGAATAAATAATATAATATGAATACTTCTTCAAGAAACCCTGCCCCCGCAGCTCCAGTGCTGGGGCCAGGGTTCCATTGTATCACATCGCGATTGTATCCTTCCCTTGTCCCACCAGGCTGGGGCAAGCACTTTTGTTATCCTGTAGCTTCAAAGCTTTGTAGCCAAAGAGTCAGGATCACTCTTCTTGAGTCTGATGTCTGGCACTTCCAGGTCCCCATCCTGCCAGAACACCAGATTCCTGTGCAGAGACCTACACACCTGCTGCTCACCCAGTCTCTGGAGTTTTCTCCAGTGAATGGTGCTCCTGCAGGATTGGTGTGTGTGCTGTCTGTCCACATGTCCTGGTTTGCGTGACACCAGATGGATCTACCCAGCTCCTGCCCCCACTTCCTCACAATCACTGCTCAAATGTCCATCTCATCACAGTGGTCCTACCTGACCACCTGATGTACAATATCTGATGCAAAATGATGAAAAAGTATTTTCCCCAGCCTCTGTACTGGTAATCCCTATCAGCCTTATTCTACTCAAATTTTACATGTACTTATCAAAACCTCTCATGGACTTTATCTGTGTCTCTGTGTTTCTATGTATTCAATTGTGTCTCTGAATCTGATGACATAACTTTTTATCTTGGTGTCTATCCATCTATCTGTGCATCTATCCATATCCATCTGCATCCACCCCACCCATCTATCCACCATTCACTCATCTACCCATACATCTATTCACCTACCCATTCATCTATCCACATCCACCCCACCCATCCATCCACCCATTCACTCATCTACCCACACATCTGTTCACCTATCCATCCATCCATATCCATCTGCCTCTACCTCCACTCATCCATTCACCCATCCACCCAACCACCCACACAACCATCTACCCATTCACCCATCTACCCACACATCCATCCATGTATTTATCCATCTATACATATCCATCCATCCACCTACCCACCCATCCACCCATTCACTCATCTACCCACCCATCCTTCTACCCATTCATCAATTCACTCATCTACTCACCTATCCATATCTGTCCATCTAGCCATATCCACCCACTCATCCACCCTTTCACCTATCCATTCATTTACTTACCTGTCTATTCACCTATCCATGCATTTATCCATCCACATCTACCCACCCATCCGTCCACCCATCCATCCACTCATTCACTCATCTACTCACCCACCCATCCACCTATCCCTCCATCCACATCTACCTACCCACCCCCCACCTACCCATCCAACCATTCATTCATCTACCCCCATCCATCCACTTATCCATGTATCTGTCTCACTACTGTTGAATTCCAACACTTAGTACAGTGCTTGACATATATTTGGCAAATATTTGTTATAGACAAATAAATACTAAGCTTATCTTTCTTATTTTCTCTGTTACCTAAAACAAAGCTCTTAGTGCCAATGTGATTTTAACAAACAAACAAATATGGGCACTGAGGTCACATGGTATTACCTGGTCAGAATGTACCTATCCTTGTGGCCCAGGATGTGTAGAGGGTCTTTGGGTTTCTGGAGACTTGCTGCTCTGGAAGTGTTGCTGAACAGGGTGGCAGGGATCAGCCCAGTTCTGCTTCTTGTCCTGGGTCACACTCCTAGTGGTCCTTGTCATCACCCCTGGCTGCCTAGGACCCATTCTGGCTGCTGCACCTTGGAGGCCCTCCGCATCTGTCCCTTAAGCGCATCCCATGACCTTTGCTGCAGGGCCATGCAGCCCCCAGAGCTCCCCCAAATGGTGAGTCACTGGCTTGCAATCGAGTACTCCTCTGCTGGCCTCCACAGGCCTGGGGGACCCTAGTGTCTTTGGTGGCACAGTCACTCTGAGGAAGGCCTCTTTGCATAGACGCTGCTGGGCTTACAGAGGATGTGGCCACTGATGCCAGTTAGCATGCGAGGGCACTTTCTTCAGGGGCTTCCAAGCGGGAAGGCAGGCAGAAGCCCCCATCTTTGGTATTCCCCTTGCCAACACACCCGTCTTCATGCTGGAGTTTCAGCCCACCCGATGCCCACCCGTTTCCTTTGCTTTTCTCTTCCTTCTCTTACCTGCACTTCTCCTCAGAGGACAGGGTAGTTCTCTTGCGTCTCCAGGTGGGATATAGTCTCCCTTAGGCACAGCTGTTTTGAAACTCCATGGACTTGCCTCCTGAGTTCTGAAGGAGGAAATTAATTTGGGAAGTTTCTTTTCTGTCTCAACAAAATCTTGCTTTCTTTCTGCAGATACAAAATTCCCATATTTCAAGTAGGAGATGAATATTCTATCTTTTAAAAATATCCCCCGCTATGATAATCCTAATCTCTCGCCCTTCCTCCCCAGGGCAGGAAGAAGTCAGATGTCTGGACAGGCAAGAGAAGGAAGCATGCAAATGCATTTCCCCGGATTTCATCCTTGTCACAGCTGTGGATGAGTCTTCGACCCTGGGAAATGCATTTGAGTGCCCCCGCAGTCCGTAAGCCTTGGTGTGACAGAAGGAATTTGTTCATACTTTTCATTTCTTCTGGCAGCTTATTGAGCTCTCATTTTTATAATTTTTAAGTTAGTAAATTGTATCATTGGCAAAAAAAAAATTACTACCTCCTTTCCAATACATTATCTCCTATTTTCTTTTCTTTTCTAACTGCTGTAGGAAGCAAAATTCCAGAAGAATATTTAATAACAACAGTGGAGGTAGCTTTGTTTTATTTCTTACTATAATGGGAATAGCTCTACTGCTTCATTGTTAATTAAGATGTTGGCTAATGAATTAAATAATAAAAAGGTTTTATTTTTCTCCACTCACAAAGTGAATGGTGGCATGTATCTTAATAGCATCTCGGGCAGATTCCTCAACTTCCTGGTCAGTTGGTTATTAAAATCCACAGTTTGTATCTTCAGCCTCCTCTTGCCCTATTAAAGTTCCCTGCATCCTTCCCGCCAACCTCCCCTTGCTGTGACCTGAGGGTCTTGAAGTGAGGAGGGGCTTGGTCTGATGTTGTACTCTTCTGCCCCACCCCCTTCTTCCTGGAATGCCCACGGGGTAGCATGTCTGTCTTCTCCTCCCTTGCCAAAGTTTAACCTCTATGCTCTGCAGGGAATGGGGGGAAGGGACAGCAAGGTGTAGATGTTGCTTTTCTAACCAGACATCCGACTACAATCTGCTCTTTCGCTTGCTTGCAGCTCTGATCACATTAGTCACTGATATCCTGTGTAGCAGGCGAACAAATGGCTCTTTTGCCTTGCTGGGTATTTGCAAGTTCTTGGGTGCTTCTGGGGCCAACCTGCTGCAATATTCTCTGACATGGGAGCCACATCTCTGGCTTGGTGTCTTCGTAGGTTTGCAAGATTTAGTAAATAAAATACAGGATACCTAGTTACATTTCAATGTCAGATAAATGATTAATAATTTTTTTTTCTTTGAGACAGAGTCTCGCTCTGTTGCCCAGGCTGGAGTGCAGTGGCGCAATCTCAGCTCACTGCAACCTCTGCTGCCCAGGTTCAAGTGATTCTCCTGCCTCAGCCTCCCGAGTAGGTGGGATTACAGGTGCACGCCACTGTGCCCGGCTAATTTTTGTATTTTTAGTAGAGATGGGGTTTCACCATCTTGGCCAGGCTGGTCTTCAACTTCTGACCTCGTGATCCACCTGCCTTCGCCTCCCAAAGTGTTGGGATTACAGGCGTGAGCCACCGCGCCTGGGCAATAATTTTTTAGTGTATGTCCCATGCAATATTTGGGACATACTTGTAGTCAAAAAAATTATTTATTATTTACCTGAGATTCAAATCTAACTGGTGTCCTGTATTTAATCTGACAACCCCATCTTTTTTTACCCCCTCTTTCCAGCAAGCTTCCCTCTGGGTGAGCTCTGGCAAGGTGGTTCTTGACCTAGGAGGTGCGTTTTCTTGCTGTATGACCCACCTCACCTCTCTTGCATGGCTAGCTTTCTGGCTATGTTCTTCTCCTTCTTAGATATGAGCAGACCTGACCATCACATTCCAAGCAGCAGTGGAACCGGGTAATAACATGTGATCTTCCTTGCTTGTAGGCAACCCCAATCCTGGAGTGTGTGTGTGTGTACATATACAATGAATAGTGCATACTGAGTATTATGAAAAGCCTTTTGGCATCTATTGAGATGATCATATGGTTTTTATCCTTTTTTCAATTGACAAGATTTATATTCATACATGTCTTATATTGCATTCCTGGAATAATCTTTACTTGGTGATGGTGTATTTTTTCCTTTATAGAGCACTGGTCTTCCTTCCCTAGTTTTTAATAGAGGAATTTGCTATATATATTTATAAAAGAGAACTCTAGAGAAATAATTATGCTTGGTTCTAAAATGAATTGTAAACATTTCCATTTATTTCATTATTAATTTATTTTTTTCACTATTCTTCAAAAGACTTCATTTGGTGCACTGGTCCTGTGTTATTTGAAAACTTAAAATAATTTGCCAGTGAGATCATCTTCATGAGGTACCTTTTTTAGAGGCAGACTTTTTTGTCTCTCAAATTCTCCCTTCATCATTATTCTAGCCAAATTGTTGGAGAGAGGACAGCTCGTTTCATGGGCTCCAGTCCCATGAGTACCAGGCTATTGTTCCTTTTCAATCCTCCCTTGCTATATGAGTCTGTTTTTACTCTGCTGATAAAGACATACCCCAGACTAGTTAATTTATACAGAAAAAAGTGTTTAATGGACTTACAATTCCACATGGCTGAGGAAGCCTCACAATCATGGCAGAAGGCAAGGAGGAGCAAGTCACATCTTACGTGGAGGGCAGCAGGCAAACAGAGAGCTTGTGCAGGGAAACTCCCCCTTATAAAACCATCAGATCCTGTGAGACTTATTTACTATCATGAGAACAGCATGGGAAAGACCTGCCCCTATGATTCAGTTACCTCCCACTGGGTCCCTCCCATAACATGTGGGAATTCAAGATAAGATTTGGGTGGGGACACAGCCAAAACATATCACTTGTTCTTGATTCTCTGTGGAGGCGGAGGAGGGCTCTGGCCTGTGGTTAGGGAGATGACAGTGTTGTCCATTTCTCTTGCTAATCTTTTGCCTGGCTCCAAGTACTGGGGTTTTTTCCTTTTCCTTCCCTTTTTCTTCCCGGTTAGTGTGAGGTGACAGTTCAAGTGACAGTACCCTCAGCAGGGTGCCTCAGAGCTAGCAGTGGGTGGTGGGTGGCAGGGGTGGTGTTAGGAAGCCCTTTTGGCCTTAAAGTTGGTTGCCCTAATTGGTGTATCAGTATTGAGATTGATATTCTACTTGACATCTGCCTGTCTTCTGTGTCTTATTTTTTTTCTTGGTTCTGAACTCAGGAGGGAAATAATAGTGTGTTTATTAAGCCCCTAAATCTTTCAAATCATCTCCTTTCTTTTTTTTTTTTTTTTGAGGTGGAGTCTCCCCCTGTTGGCCAGGCTGGAGTGCAATGGCACCATCTCAGCTCACTGCAACCTCTGCCTCCTGGGTTCAAATGATTCTCTTGCCTCAGCCTCCCAAGTAGCTGGGATTACAGGCACCTGCCACTACACTCAGCTATTTTTTTTTTGTATTTTTAGTAGAGACAGGGTTTCACCATGTTGGCCAGGCTGGTCTTGAACTCCTGACCTCGTGATCCACCTGCTTCGGCCTCCCAAAGTGCTGGGATTACAGATGTGAGCCACTGTACCCAGCACAAATCATCTCCTTTTAACAACCAATGTTGGTAATTTTTTAGAGAACCTTCTGCATTGAGATTCTGTTTTCCAGATATAGTAGTGTGAGGTGACTATAACATTGTTTATATTTTAAGATCTCCTCCATATCATTTATATATCTGTGATAAACCCCAATGGTGTGTATTTGCTTTTTCTTTATTTTCTGCATAATTAGTCTTCTCAGTGGTTTCCTTATTGTCTTTTCAAAGAACCAGCTCTTAGAATTATTAATTTTACTTTTTCTCTTCACTCATTCACTGTTTCCTGTTTTCCATCTTTCTTCATTCTTTTTGTATATCTTACATGTTTTCCTTGAAGGCATTTTGATGCCTTTTTTTCTAGCTCCTTGATTTGGAGACTTCTTTCATTCACTTTTATGCTAATTATTTGACATCTACCTGGTAAGATTTAGGAAATAACTAAATTAGATAATCTGTATACAGTGTTTAGCACTGTGCTCGGAACGTAGTAAATACTCCATAGATAGTGGCTACTAATAAACATGACAATAAGAGCAAACAAAATATTTTAAGACTTGTTTTTTTTTCTGAGTACAGTTTTGAGCCCATTTCATACACTCTAATGTGTAGTATTATAATTACTTTCTTAATAATTTGCATTTGTGATGGCTTTTTTTATCAAATATTTATTTGTCAACTATTTATGTAGTCATATATATATTGTTCTCAAGAGGTTGTATTTTTTGGGTATAACTTTTAAATTATTCATAATTTTATTAATTAATATTTGGTAATATACAATTTTCTTTTAAATCTACAGAGGTATAATTCATTGTTTGGTATATGGTATATTTTTGTGAATGTTCCATGAGTTTGAAAAAGTAATATGTATTCCATGTTTAAAAGGTACAAATCATAATATATCTATTAAAGCAGCTTTCTTAATTCATATTATTTAGATACTCAGTATCCTTATTAAAGATCTGCTTTTTGACTTTAAGATGTGCAATAGTGTCTGCCACTAAAATTATGTTTTTCTTTTTCTTTCTTTTTTTTTTTTTTTGAGACAGAGTCTTGCTCTGTTGCCCAGGCTAGAGTGCAGTCACATGATCTCTGCTCACTGCAACCTCTGCCTCCTGGGTTCAAGCGATTCTTATGCCTCAGCCTCCTGAGGAGCTGGGATTACAGGCATGCACTACCATGTCCAGCTAATCTTTGTATTTTTAGTAGAGATGGGGTTTCACCATGTTGGCCAGGCTGGTCTCAAACTCCTGACCTCAGGTGACCCACCCTCCTCGGCTTCCCAAAGTGCTGGGATTACAGGTGACTAAAATTATGTTTTTGTCAGTTTCTCCTTATGTTCTGAGGAGTTTACATTTTAAATATTTTAACATTATGTTATTTGGCACAGAAGTATTTATGGCTATCATATTATATTGTATTCTAACTTTTGTCAGTTTTAATCATATATGATACATTTGGTCCTTCCTCTGCCATCTGGTTATATTTTTATAAATGTATTTATAATTTATGTATAGACTTACAAATTACACCATACAAATTATTTTACAATTTTATTTTTAAAATAACTTGTTTCCTTGTGACAGAATACAAATTTATCAGAGACATTATAAAATATAATGAACAAAAAGAGAAAATATAATTTTCCAATGTTCTCTTAATCCATCACTAACTTTGTAATTTCTTTGTTGAAGTTTTTCATAGCTATGTAATGTATAGTTTTATGTATAAGAATGAAATTTCAATGTAATATGGTTTTCTAGTCTTTGTTTTTCATTGAATGTGTAAAGACTTACATTCTTCAACTCGTAAGTTAAACTAACTCCTAGTGAAAACAGCTCCCAATCAACATTAAAATTTTGCGTCACTTGACCAATAGGACCTAATGGATATCTGCAGAATACTCTACCCATTAATAACAAAACAGACATTCTTCTCACGTGCACATCCAGTACTCTAAGATCAACCACATGCTCGGCCATAAAGCCAGTCTCACTACATTTTTAAAAAATTGAAATCATACCAACCATACTCTTGGACCACAGTGGAGTAGACATACAAATCAATACGAAGAAGATCTCTCAAAATCTCATAATTACATGGAAATTAAATAACTTGCTCCTGAATGACTTTTGGGTAAACAATAAAATTAAGACAGAAATAGAAATATTCTTTGAAATAAGTGAAAACAGAGACACAACATAACCAAAGTCTCTGGGATGCAGCAAAATCAGTGTCAAGAGGAAAGTTTATAGTGCTAATCACCTACATCAAAAAGTTAGAAAGATCTCAAATTAAGGGTCTAAAGTCACACCCAGAGGAACTAGAAAAGCAAGAATAAACTAATCCCAAAGCTAGCAGAAGAAAAGAAACACTAAAATTAGAGCAGAACTGAAAGAAATTGAGACCCCAAAATCCACACAAAGAATCAACAAAACCAAAAATTGTTTTTTTGGAATGATAAACAAGATTGACAGCCTTCTAGCTAGATTAACAAAGAGAAAAAGAGAGAAGCTCCAAATAACCATAGTAAGAAACGACAAAGGTGACATTACAGCTGGACCCACAGAAATAAGAAAGATTCCCAGAGATTATTATGAACACAGCTATGCACACCAACTAGAAAATCTAGAGGAAATGGATAAATTCCTAGAAATACACAACCTCCCAAGATTGAATCAGGAAGAAATCAAAACTCTGAACAGATCAATATCAAATTCCAAATTTGAATCAGTAATAAAAAAAAAACCTACCAAATAAAAAAAAAACCCAGGACAGATGGAGCCATAGCTGAATTCTACCAGATGTACATGAAGAGTGGGTAGAAATTCTACTGAAACTATTCCAAAAAATTGAGGAGGAGGGACTCCTCCCTAACTGATACTCTGAAGCTAGTATCACTCTGAAACCAAAACCTGGTGAAGACACATCGAAAAAAGAGAACTAAAGGCCAATATCCCTAATAAACATAGATGCAAAAATCCTGAACAAAATACTAGCAAACTGAATCCAACAGCACATGAAAAAGTTAATTTACCATGATCAAGTAGGCTTCAGTACCAGGATGCAAGTTTGGTTCAACATACACAAATCAATAAATGCGATTTACCACATAAAAGAATGAAAACCAAAAGCCATATGATCATCTCAATAGACATGGAAAAAGCTTTCAATAAAATCCAACATCCCTTTATGATAAAATCCTTGAACAAACTAGGTATCAAAGGAACATACTTCAAAATAATGAGAGCCATCTATGACAAACCCATAGCCAACATCATACTGAATAAGCAAAAGCTGGAAGCGTTTCCATTAAGAACTGAAACAAGACAAGGATGCCTACTCTCACCGCTCCTATTCAACATAGTTCTGGAAGTCCTAGCCTGAGCAATCAGGCAAGAGAAAGAAATAAAAGGCATCAAATAGGGAAAGAAGCCAAATTATCTCTTTTGGCTGATAATGTGATTCTGTACCTGGAAAACCCTAAAGATTCCACCAAAAGGCTCCTAGAAATGATATCTACTTCAATAAAGTTTCAGTATACAAAATCAATACACAAAAAGTCAGTAGCATTTCTATACACCAGTAATAATCAAGCTGATAGTCAAATCAAAAACATAATCCCATTTATAATAGACACACACACACACACACAGCCCCCTAGGAATATGTCTCTGCAAGGAGAACTACAAAACACTGCTGAAAGAAATCATAGATGACAAATAAATGGAAAAATATTCCATGCTCATGGATTGAAAGAATCAATATCATTAAAATGGCCATACTGCCCAAAGCAATCTATAGATTCAATGCTATTCTTATCAAAACTACCAACATCATTTTTCACAGAATTAGAAAAAACAATCCTAAAATTCATATGGGACCAAAAAACAGCTCAAATAGCCAAGGTGATCCTAAGCAAAAAGAGCAAAGTTGGAGGCATCAAATTACCCAACTTTAAGCTACAAACCCAAACAACATGGTGCTGGCACAAAAACAGACACATAGACCAAAGGAACAGAATAGAGAAGCCAGAAATAAAGATGCATACCTAGAGCCGTCAGATCTTCTACAAAGTTGATGAAAATAAGCAATGGGGAAAGGACTTCCTATTCAATAAATGGTGCTGGGAGAGCCCGCTAGCCATATGCAGATGAGTGAAACTGGACCCTCTATCTTTTACTGTATACAAAAAGTAACTCAAGATGGATTAAAGATTTAAATGTAAGACTTCAAACTATACAAATCCTAGAAGAAAACCTAGGAACTACCATTCTGGCCTTGGGAAAGAATTTATGACTAGGTATTCAAAAGCAATTGCAACAAAACCAAAAATTGACAAGTGGGACCTAATTAAACTAGAGAGCCTCTGCACAACACAGCAAAAGAAACTATCAACAGAGTAAACAGAAAACCTACAGGATGGGAGAAAATATTCACAAAGTATGCATCTGAAAAAGGCCTAGTATCCAGAATCTATAAGTGTATTAGTGTATTCTTGCATTGCTATAAAGAAGTACCTGAGCCTGGGTAATTTATAAAGAAAAGAGGTTTAATTGGCTCACGGTTCTGCAGGCTGTACAGGAACCATGGCAGCATCTGCTTCTGGGGAGGCCTCAGGAAGCTTACAGTCTGCCCCTGCGCTCTCTTGCTCCTGTTTTCACCATGGGATGTGCCTGCTCCCCTTTCTTCTTCTGCCATGACCAGATCTCACAATAACTGACCCACTATCATGGGGACAGTACCAACTGAAATGGTGCTAAAGCATTCAGGAGAAATCTGCCCCCATGATCCAGTGACCTCCCACCAGGTTCCACCTCCAACATTGGGGATAACATTTCAATATGAGATTTGGGCAGAGACAACATCCACACTATATCGATAAGGAACTTAAATAATTCAAAAAGCAATAAAAAAAACATTAAGAAGTGGGCAAAAGACATGAACATACACTTCTCACACTTGATCTTAGCCAAAAGGCTGAAACGTGATGAACACACACTTCTCAAAAGAGGACGCGCAGGTGACCAACAAACACGAAAAAATGCTCAACATCATTAATCTTCATATAAATGCAAATCAAAACTACAGTGGGCTACCATCTCACACCAATCAGAATGGCTCTTATTAAAAAGTAAAAAAAAAAAATAAAAAAATTCGCTGCTGGCAAGCAGCAGAGAAAAGGGAATGCTTATACACTGTTGATGGGAATGTAAATTAGTTCAGCCACTATGGAAAGCAGTCTGGAGATTTCTCAAAGAACTTAAAACAGAAATACTATTTGACCCCGCAATCCCATTACTGGGCATATATCCAAGGAAAAGAAATCATTCTACCAAAAAGATGCATGCACTCGTATGTTCATCACAGCACCAGTCACAATAGCAAAGGCATGGAATCAACCTAGGTGCCCATCAATGGTGGATTGGAATAAGAAAATGTGGTACATATATACCATGGAATACTACACAGCCATAAAAAAGAATGAAATAATGTCCTGTGCAGCAACATGGATGCAGCTGGAGTCCATTATCCTAAGTGAATTAACATAGAAACAGAAAACCAAATACCACATGTTCTCACTGATAAGTGTGAGCTAGACATTGGGTACACATGGAAATAAAGATGGAGACTCTATCTAGGGGAGGATGGGAAGGAAGCAAGTGTTGAGAAACTGTTGGGTATAGTGTTCACTACCTGGGTGGATGGGATCATTTGTACACCAAACCTCATTGCCACACAATGTATCCATGTAACAAACCTGAACATGTACCCCCTGAATCTAAAATAAAAGTTGAAATTATAGAAATAATTTCACGTCATTAGGTTTTCATCTAGAACATGATTTTATTTTATGTTTTTGAGATAGAGTCTTGCTCTGTCACCCAGGCTAGAGTGCAATGGCGTGATCTCTGCTCACTGCAACCTCTGCCTCCCAGAATTCAAGCTATTCTCATGTTTCGGCCTCCTGCGTAGCTGGGATTAGAGGCACCTGCCACCATGCCCGGTTAATTTTGTATTTTTAGTAGAGATGGGGTTTTGCCATGTTGGCCAGGCTGGTCTTGAACTCCTGACCTCAGGTGATCCACCCACCTCAGCCTCCCAAAGTGCTGGGATTACAAGCATGAGACACCACGCCTGGCCTAGAACATGATTTTTAATGCAGTGTACTATTCTACCTTATATGCATACTGTCTTTTTTTGCCCCTCTTTATTTTGGCTTTTATGCTTTTTTGTTGTTTGTTTGTTTTAAGCACACCCTCACTGCTTGCTAGCACTCAGGAGGTTCTCACTCTCATTTTTTCCTATTGAGGAGAACCCATGTGTGATTAAACATTTAGCATGCATTCACTTTTCCCCTTTACCAGTCCTATTTCTGTGACTTTGGGATTCTAGAAAGATTGTTTTTAAATCACAATTTAGTATATTGAGATTTTTTTTTGGTACCTTTTAAGAACAATTGCTTTGGCATTTACACTGATTGATTGATTTATTTTTTTCGAGACAGGGTCTTGCTCTGTCGCCCAGGCTGGAGTGCAGTGGCACGATCTCAGCTCACTGCAACCTCCACCTCCCTGGCTCAAGTGATCCTCTTGCCTCAGCCTGCCTAGTAGCTGTGAGCACAGGTATGCGCCACCACTCCTGGCTAATTTTTGTATATTTTGTAGAGATGGGGTTTCACCATGTTTCCCAGGCTCGTCTTGAACTCCTGGGCTCAAGCAATCCACCTACCTTGGCCTCCCAAAGTGCTGGAATTACAGGCGTGAGACACCGCACCTAGCCTGCATTGATTGTATTACTCCCATTTACAGTTTATTGGACCGAATGCCTTTGTTTATGGGGTTTCTTACTTATCACCACCCTTTGCTGCCATGTTTGCCCCCTCTTGTGCTACTTTCTCTAACTTGCCTCTGCTGGCTGGAGTTTGCAGATGGAATGATGGAATGGCGTTGCGGGGATGTTGTATCCTCCTGGCCCCTCCATCTGAGACTGTCTTTCCACGGCCTTTTCTTGTGGCCGACACCTGGGCTGGGTATGGAAATCTTGGGCACAATGTCCCTACAGAGCTTGCTGGAATGTGCTTCGTGGGCTTCTGGAGTTTTCTCTGGCATCACCTGAGGCCCATTCATCTTTCTTCCTTCTGTGCTCACCTCTGTCCCTCTCTTGCCACCCCTCCTTGTTCTCCTTTCTCAGGTCACACCTGCCTTCCTCAGTTCTTCAAGTAGTTCCTTCCTCTCCCCTCCCATATTCTCCCCTCTGCCAGGAACTGGACCTCATGCACCACCTCAATGTCAGAGCTCACCATAATCTTCAGTCAAGCTGGTCTCAAACTCCCAGCCTCAAGTGATCTGCCCACCTCAGCCTCCCAAAGTGCTGGGATTGCAGGCATAAGCCACCGCGCCCGGAAAATTCCTGCAAAAAACTTTTGATCAGGTCTTCCCTAACATGTCGTTTGCAGCAGGGCATGGGTATTGTGCTGTGTTTTATAAGAATGTAACACAATCCACGCCATAGAAATCCAGAGGCAGAGCTTTCTGGAGACCACTGGAAATATTCCCAATGTGGAAGAAGAGTGTGTAGAATTATTTCACAAAGTGGTAGTGAGAGAGAAAAAATTCATGTACCCAAGACCTTTATTGTTATTGATGTATTTCTAGGTGCTTCTTAGCTTTGTGGAACATCTGGAATAAATACTCAAAGCTCACTCATTCCTGACCCTTCCTCTTGAATGTCCTGAACGTTGGCTTCTCTACAAGTCTTCACAACTGTGTTCTTGAAATATGTTCTCAAATGTGATAGTGATTATGACTACACAATGACAGCTTGCCCAGGCAAAAGGTTAATAGGTCAGTAAAATGTTAAAGTGCTTAATTAATGCTTATAAAATTCCAAAATATGTCCACTGATGCCACAATAATTCACTCAGCGTTCTACACAAAAACATTGTCATTATTTATAACAGGGGTTGGCAAACCTGGCCAATGGCCTATTTTTGTAAATAAAGTTTTATTAGTACACAGCTATACCTACTTGTTTACCCTTTGTGGCTGCTTTCATGCCACAAGGGTGGAGTTGAGTAGTTGCAGCAGGGACCAGATGTGATGGTTGGTGTTATGCACCAACTTGATTGGGCCAGAGGTTGCCCAGATATGTGGTTAAACATTATTTCTGGTGTGTCTGCAAGTTTGTGGAAGTGCCTGGTGTTTCTGGAAGAGTTGAACATTTAAATGGTGGACTAAGTCAGATGGCCCTCCCCAGTGTGGGTGGGTGCATCCAATCCATTGAAGGCATGAATAGAATAAAATAGTGGAGGAAGGTTGACTTTGCTCTCTGCCTGATCTCTTGGGCTGGAACGTGGTTCTCCTGCCCTCACTACTCTTTGTTCTCGGGATCTTAGACCAGGACTGGAATTGACTCCATCGGTTCTCCCACACTCAGGCCCTCAAATTACATGGGCTTTCCTGGGTCTCCAGCCTGCAGGTGGCAGATCATGGGACTGCTCAGCCTTCAGCCTTCCTAACCGTGAGTCAATTCCTTAGAATATATATATGTGTGTGTGTGTGTGTGTGTGTGTGTGTGTGTGTATACGTGTGTGTGTGTGTGTGTGTGTGTGTGTATATATGTATTCAATTGGTCCTACATCTCTGGAGAACCCTGACTAATACACTGTATGACTTGCAAAGCTAGAATATTTACTATCTGGCCCTTTACAGAAGAAGTTTCCACTTCTGCTCTATGTCCAGTATAGGCAGTAGTTATCTTTAGCTCAGAGACACGCAGCTAGAGATGAAGAGTTTGAACACAGTTTATGAGGGTGGCAAGAATGAAAATCCTCTTTATATAACAAAAGAAAATGAAAACCAAAAACAAAACAAAGAACTCTGATTTGCTCCCGAGTGTCTATTCTGGTGTTTATTATTGAATGATGTTTTTCCATAAGCACATGATGATGGCTAAAAAAAAAAAAGTTTCTGAGGAGGTGATTTTCCATAAACAGAGTGCCTTCTCCAACTGGAGTCATCCTAAGCAACAGAGGACACATCAGAAATGTTACTTAACCTGTGTTTTGTGACCTAGTTTTCATGTGGATTGAAGAAAGTGTTCATGTAATCTCCGAAGACGAGACCTGGTCTTGGAGTCTGAAGACCTGGGTTTGTGGCCCAGTAACACAACCACTCCGTGACCACAGCTGAGGTGGGCGCCCCACATGGCCTTGGTTTCCACTCTGTACAATGGACCCTCTGAGAAGTAGCCTTCTGACATCCCTTCCACCTCTGAAAGCCTGACCCTATGGTTCCAATCTAATGGAAATGTCGGCCTCCTTCTGACTCTACCCCTGAGAATGTGATGGTGTGGGGTTAAAATAAGGAAGCTCTACGTGCTAAATCCCCTCGTTGTAATGTATGTTGCACATAACTTCTGAGGAAATGGTTATTCAGTTTCACCAAGTAGGTGAGGAGATGTGGCCAGCATTTGGGCGTAACAGCTAAAGCTCTTGTGGAAACAGGGGGCTCTGACCTCGGAGAGACCAACTCGAAGGTTGGCTTGGACCAGGGACACGCAGTGTGCCTGAATCTGTTTTGTATTTAGAAAAATATTTACAGTGAATCCATGATTTTATTCATAACACACTCATTGCAGATGATTTTAATTGTGTAATTTTTAAATGTCTGCAAATCCCAACACCTCTCCAGCCTCCAGCACGGTTCTGCTCCGAGTGGTGTGTCTGTTTTGGTTCCTAATTTAACAGTCCACAGGTCCTGGGTCTCTGGAATACTGGGGAGTCTGGGTGGGGGAACAGCAGCGATGAGGCATCCACACAACAGCATGATTCTATTCCTTGGAGTAAGCAGATTGCAGTTTGCGCAGCACACTGCCAGGGGCACCTCAAATTGGGGCCACGTGGCTTTGAGGTTGCATTCACCTCCTGATAGAGCGGCTGAGAGGTTAAATAAGATAAAGATTTAAAATGTTCATGCAGCCTGGCTCTCAGTGACAGCTCAGTTACGGCAGAGGGAAGGCCGTTGGAAAAGAGCGGAGAGATATCCCATTGTATCTGGGTGTGTGCATTTATTTTGATTAAGGGACTGTGGAAATCAATGTGTGGATTAGAATTCTGAGAGCCTGGGATTTCAGTGGCTCATCCAGTGGCCACATGGGTAATTAAGGGTAGAATGGTCTGTAATCTTTTCTTCCGTTTAATTGAAAATCTATTGAAAGAGCAGAGTGTCCTGATCAGTGTCCCTTAATGACACTCATGAAAAGCCTGAACTCTTTGGCATTGTAACCACAGCCTGGACTTCATGTCCACCTGGAGGCCTCGTGGCAGGTGCAGGCAGGAGGCTTAGGAGGAGAGGCAGAGCACGGGGGGCTCGCACACTCAAACCCGTAAACCTGTGGCAAAAATCATGCAGATCTTGTCCAGGTGCGGTGACTTATGCCTGTAATCCCAGCACTTTGGGAGGCTGAGGTGGGAGGATCACCTGAGGTCAGGTTTTCAAGACCAGCCTGGCCAATGTGGAGAAACCCCGTCTCAACCAAAAAAATACAAAAATCAGCTGGGTATGGCGGCAGGTGTCTGTAATCCCAGCTACTCAGGAGGCTGAGGCAGGAGAATCGCTTGAACCTGGGAGGTGGAGGTTGCAGTGAGCTGAGATGGTATCATTGCATTCCAGCCTGGTGACAAGAGGGAAACTCCGTCTCAGAAAAAAAAAAAAGAAATCATGCAGCATTTGGCAACAGGGGTGAATTTGGGAAGCCTGGGCCGTTCACTAAGGCCATGCCAATCACCTTCGTTAATTGCTGATGACAAGGTAAGGGAATTAGACTTACTAACTCTAAGTAAATGTAAGGCAGAAGCTTACGTGAGAGCAGCAGGAAGTTGGGACGTTCAAGGCTGACTGTGGCTGTTCCCTCCTGGGAAACCGCAGGTCTCGCTTCAGGCCAGGTCTTGTTCCAGGTGAGGTCTTGGCATCTTCTATCAGATCCGGGAAGAACATGCCCAGTGATTCTGAGAGACTGCATCGTCCTGTACCCTCTGGGACTGGTATTAGTCCAATGCAGAATTTCCTGAACTTGGTTCTGTTGAGCAGTCTTCTGGGACCCATCAACAGATGGCTTCCCCACTGTCACTACCACTCACACGCAAAGGATCCTTGTGGTCAAACAAGTCTGGAAATGGTATATTCCATTTACCTCCCTCAGCTTGACTGTGCTTATTAGCACACTGAAGGCTTGGAGCACTCCTGCAGCAAAGTGTTTAACTTTGGGTTACAGGAGCCTTCTCAAACTTTTTGGAGCCAATACACTGTTTCGCATAGCACCACAGTGAGCATCAACTCTTCTGCAGACTCCAGTGTGGGAAGCACTGTTGGAACAAAATCCATGTTCCACTCCCGTGTCCTAAAAATGTTGTTTCTCCCATGAAATCTAGTCTCTTTTTCTTTTTAGGGTATATTAGTTTCAACTGGGTGAAAGCCTGGAGTTACTTGGCATTTGATAACTTTTAATTTGTTCCATATTTTACTTTGAACAGCATATTACTTTTTATGCTCCTATTCACTTATGGAAAAATAAAATTGCCCTTGCTATTTCACAGGGAGCACACAGTTCATTGCTTAATGAAATAAACTCATCTTTGTTAATCTATCAGACACTACCACCCAGATGACAATAGTTTTTTGTTTTATTTTATTTATTTATTTATTTATTTTTGAGATGGAGTCTCGCTCTGTCACCCAGGCGGGAGTGCAGTGGCCTGATCTAGGCTCACTGCAACCTCCACCTCCCAGGTTCAAACAATCCTTCCGCCTCAGCCTCCCAAGTAGCAGGGACTGCAGGTGTGCACCACCGTGGTGGGCTAATTTTTTTATTTTTAGTAGAGATGGTGTTTTGCTATGTCGACAAGGTTAGTCTTGAACTCCTGGCCTCAAGCGATACATCCACCCCCTTCAGCCTCCCAAAGTGTGGGGATTACAGGTGTGAGCCACTGCACTGGGCCCGATAATAGTTCTCAGTCGGCTGGAAATCTGTGTTTAGGGGCATGCTTGCAAGGGGGCTTGCACCATTGCAGGCACAGGGAGGGAGGGCTGGCTGGGCAGGCACTTGGAGCCCCCTGAGAGTGAACAGCACACACCTGACGTGGAGCTGATTCCGGCCTGGCCTTCCCTGTTGAGCTCCGAGGCGTCTATCCATGGTGAAGTCTAAGAATGCCTAATAGTGGCGGAAGGGGCGGCTGAGGGTTAGTAAAAGAGGCCCAGGAATACACGGTGCAGAGGAAGATGGCAATCTGGGACAGGAGGAGGAGTGCTTGGTCACTGCTTCCTCCCACCAGGTGCCCACTGCCATCTCTGCCTCCCCAGGCTCTGTGTGGAGCCGGGCATACAATTGATTAAACTAATGTGCAGATCATCAGTGCAGTGCCGTGGGTAGAAATATAACTTTTTAAGCCAGAGAGACGTGGGTTTGAACAGACAGTTCCCCACAGTGAGACCCTGGGTGAGGTCACGGGACCATTTATAGCTCTGTTTCTGCGTTTGCAGCAAGTGATAACTTCTGCCTTGCAGGTTACTGTGAGGAGGAAATGGCATGTTACAAGCCTGGGCATTGTGATGACGGGGCACGTGGCAAGACTATGTGGCATCTATTCAGGCTGGGGCCTTGGGGACATCCTTGCCTCCTGCCAGGCCTTCTCCTGGGCAGGAACAACCCCCAGGCTTTGAAATTCCTACCCTTGGTCAGTGCCTCTGGCTGCTCAGTTTATTGATCAAACATGGGATTGTTGGGCCCAGAGGAGACAGTTGTTCAGCCCAGCACGGGCCAATACCTCTTCTTTTAGTTATAAAAGTGCTCCTGGGTTTAATTAGGGCTGACACTGAATATTACTCAGAGACAGGCGTGAGGGAGGTTAAGCAGAACTGATGGCACATCAACTACTTAACCAAAGGCAGAAAGGCCTTGGAATCCAGGGACTGGCGCCCCTCGCCAGCTCCACTGCTGATGGGCAGGAGACCAGGCTGAGGCCGCCTATCTCATTAGGACCATCCAGGACCTGAGCATGTGTCACCAACCTTTTGATTTTATTTTTAGCTGATTTCTAATTGTTTTTACGTCGCCCCAGTTCTGTGTGTATTTAGAAGTGTCTGTAGGAATGACATGGCTGCTATTTTTGGAGGGCTGGTTTGGCTTTGGGTGTGACGTCCTTCACCAACACGGTGGAGAGGCACAGTAGTGGCTCCCCCATTTGACAGAGGAGACTGTGGCTCAGGTACACGTGCCAGCAAGTGGCAGAGCCAGGGCTCGACCCAACTTGGAGATCATTCAATGCCTGGAATATTGACCACTGCCTGCAGCAGGGATTCTCAGCCTGCACCGCCCAGGAGAGCGGCCTTTCTGGACGCTGCCCATACGGGGAGCTCCACGCTCTTCCGGTGAACAGCGGTGGTGCTGGCCGTGCCGAGGGTGAGGGGGTACTGAGGGGCCAGGGCCATGAGCTGTCCACCCAGACGCCGGGGAGGAGGCAATGAGGCTGAGCTGGCTCTCAAGGGCACTGGCCCTGGGGAGGGGAAAGCCATGCCAGCCTCGGGGATGGCGAGTACCGTCAAAATGCCCCACGCACCTGGAGAGCATGTGCAGGGACCTGGTCATGCCCAAAGGAGGTCCCTCTCCGGGACCACTTCATGTGGCCACAGGACACCTTCTTCAGGTGGGATCTCAGGTAGACATCTGTCCTTTCCCACTTGAAGTACAGAGTGAGGGGCTGGAGCCCCATCCATCGGCTTAGCCAGATCCCGACACTCTCCTGACCAGGGATGCGTGTGCGGTGTGTTTATGATGTTTGTGAATGTGATGTGTGTGGTGTATGTAGTATGTGTGCTATGGATGTGTGTGTGATGTGTGTGTAGTGTGTGATGTGTGTGGTATATGCAGTGTGTATGGGATATGTGTTATGTGTGTGTTGTGTGTTGTGGGTGTGCATGCATGAAGGGGGTGTGTGTGGGGGAGTCCTCCAGATACTACACAGAAGCCCTCAGGCCCCAACAAGCAGCCGTATTTGCTGTGCTGAGAGGCCATGGAAGCTTCGGGATCCAAGGCTGTGAACGATTATTCTATTCAATATTAACTTTTTTTCTAGAGTTTTCCAAAGTAAAATCTTACTCTTTTATAAAAGAAAAGGCCCCTCTGTTACTCATATTCTTTTGTGTTCTTCCCCTCATCTCACTAGATGAAGCTCAGAGAGTGCTTGCCGGGTCAGCGGCCGGATGCCCAGTGCGTTGTCTACGTTGTCAGTCAGTTCAGCAGTCGCCTTCCTTGTCAGTCAGTTCAGCGCGTCGCCTTCCTTGTCAGTCGGTTCAGCGCGTCGCCTTCCTTGTCAGTCGGTTCAGCGCGTCGCCTTCCTTGTCAGTCGGTTCAGCGCGTCGCCTTCCTTGTCAGTCGGTTCAGCGTGTCACCTTGTCAGTCGGTTCAGCGCGTCGCCTTCCTTGTCAGTCAGTTCAGCATGTCGCCTTCCTTGTCAGTCAGTTCAGCGCGTCGCCTTCCTTGTCAGTCAGTTCAGTGCGTCGCCTTCCTTGTCAGTCAGTTTGCCCTTCCTAGATGTTGGTCATGGCGGATCCTTACCAGTACGTGTTCCATTCATTTTTATATACATTTTACACGTACATCACTCAATGTATACTTTAGATATTGGTAAAGCTTAATTTCTTGTTTGTAAAAACCTAATATTTTCCCTGTACCCTGGAGAGTTACCTTGTGCCTGCAGGGTGTCGCTTCTTATCTGGGGGCCACTGGCCCAGGAACTCAACTGGTCCCATGTTGTTGCTTCTAATTACATCACCTCAGATTCATGTGCATTGAATTTTCACCTCCCAGCCAGCAGTAAATATAGTTAAGTAAAATGCAAATAACATATCTCAGTCCAGACTACTCACGAGAAAAACCTACAGTAAAAAACACCCTGGCCGAATCCTTTGAATCTAACGGCTTCAGAATCGTGCTCTCCAGCACTGGGGAGTCGGCTGTCACAGAGACACCTGCAGCTCCCGCGAAGGCCACATCACCACCTCCTCCTGCCCTCCGTGTGTTCTCCTCCTCAGTGGATGAGACCCTCGGCTCAGAGGGACCCTAAGCTCTTTCTCCTTCCTCATTCCCTCTGTCTGGTTAACCTCATTTACTGCCTCGATATTCTTCAGGTGGCTCCATCATTACCAGCATGACCTTAGTTTCAGATGCCAGCGGGTCTAGCCTGGGCACCCAATACCCCAGAATCCTCCATTTGTGGGTAGACCCGGCTGGTTTACAGAGTTTTCTCCAAGAGCCGACACGACTTTCCAGCTGTGCTGGGGTCCCCTCTAACAGCAGAGAGGTGACTGTGACCATTCGCAATGCAGGGAGGCCCCACAAACTCCACTGTTTCGGACAGATGACCCTGCAGCCATCAGATTTGCATCATAGAGCTTGGTGTCAGGAAGGGACTCTGGGAGACTAGTGGATGTGACTAGAGGGAGGAGGGGCCGAGGTCACCCCTCCAATGAGAGTCATGTCTCCCAGCTTGTCCCATTCCTCCTCCATCGCGGCAGCACTACGAGTGCTGGAAGGAGGGCACATGGTGGTTTCATCCCACAGACATGGACGGGGCATCTTTAATGTCCTTCCCCAGAGTAAAGAGTCAGGTGGTTTTTGTGTTGACTGATCCCATTTAGAGGGAAGGGCTCCTTTGGGTCTGAGACAGCACACACTGGGAGGCGGGGCAGGCACAGGCATGGGGGCACCTTGCAGTGAGCAAACAGAGAGGTGAAGCCATTTGTCTGGGCCCACGTGGGATAAAGGCCTTGCTGAGGCTACCATCTTGGGTAACCATGCCAACCTGCCCTCCCTTTTCTAAGGGCAGGGCAAAGGCAACCCAGCCTCTTGTGGGCTCCGTTCTGTCTTGGGCCTGCGTTCACGTCCAGCTGGAGAGAGGGTCAAATGCAGGCAGCTGGCATTTTAGGGACTCCCCAGTGTTTGAAAGCAGCTCAGCACTTTCATATGAGTTTGGAGAATGGGGTCTTTTTGTAAACTTTTATTTTAGGTTCAGGGGTACATGTGAAGGTTTGTTACATAAGTAAGCTCATGTCATGGGGGTTTGTTGTACAGATGATTTCATCACCCAGGTATGAAGCCCAGTACCCAACAGTTATCTTTTCTGCTCCTCTCCCTCCTCCTACCCTCCACCCTCAAGTAGACCCCAGTGCTGGGAGAACGCTGTGTTTACAAACTCGATGTGTGCCTGGTAGAAATTATTGCTTTCTTTCTCTCTCCGCTTTCCCCAGCTGAAATGCTGACCTGGAAAACATCAACCTTGCTCTCACATAAAGCATTTTTTTCCGGGACTGACATACAAAGCTCTGATGTAGAAATTGAAATTTCACACTCTGAAGGGCCCAAATGGCTTCAGAGGTCAGTGGGCGGCTGGACCCACTGGTGAGTCACGGGGAGAGATGCCACCCCAGATTAACATCAGCAGACACTTGTGCGTCAGAGGTTCTGCGCACTAAAAATGTTTGGTGGACATCTGTGTCCCCCCCCACCCCAAAATCCACCCCAGCACACACTCAACTCTTTTAGGCCGAGGGGCACGTCCCACTCATCTGGTGAATACATCAGCTGAATGCAATCTGCTCTCACAAACAGATGTCCCAGGAGGGTGGTGGAGGGGGGACACAGTGAATACTGGTTAGAAGTTGCCGGAAGGCTTTTTATGAGGTTCTTGTTTTGTGGGGTGGGGAGTAGAATGGCCAGAGAATTTACTTTAATTGAAACACACCTAATTTGGGTGCTTGAGCTGGGTATCTAAAAATATTTTTCTAGCCCTCATCCACAAGGAGGGTTTCTGTTTCCCGTCTGCTTATTTTCTCTGTCTTCCTGAAAAGACCAGGAAGAATTGGAGCAGGATCAACATGTGACCCTGGCCAGCCCGACAGGGGAGGCCGGGCCCATGGCTCACGGGACCCTCTGAGGGATCTCAACTCCACGCACGCGCACGGAGCGACTGTAGCCACTGTAGACGGAGAACGCTGCCATGCAGCATGGCGGATGCTTGCTTATTCCTGCCTGTTGGTTCCTGTTTTGTTTCAGGCCTGCAGGTGTAACGGCTACACTCTGTGAGCAATGCACACAGTGGCGGCATGTGGTGACAGTGGCCAGGCTGCAGTAGGGACACCTGCTCCCCAGTGGAGGCAGCCAGTGGTTTCCTGGACGCTTGCTTTATTGCTCACATTCTTTCTGTGTTAGCAACTTTCCCCTCCTTTCTACGAATCTCAAATGTCTCAGAGGAATGTTTAAATTATTATCAGATCCCAGGAGAGATTGCGATTTCCTATGCAACTTTTCCCTGCCTTGCATGACTCCCATGTAAAGCATCTCCCTCCAGGAGTGCCCAGCTGAGCCTCCCGTGACTGTCATTATCCATGCAGATGTGCGGCAGAACAAGTGACACAAATCTTAGCCCTCCATAACATCTCTATCAGTTTAGAGCTTTCAGAAAGCAAAGTATCGGGACCTGGAATGAGCGACGTGCTGTGGCTGAGAAGGGACAAATGGTGCCGGCTTGGAAATGATGGAGAATGCCAACTCCTCTCTTCTGGCAGGAGGCAAAGTGACATTGAATTAGAGATACGGCAGTAGTGCTTCTTTAGAGGGGTGCAATAGAAGGAGGTGCTTAGATTTCAATCCCAGCTTTGACTCCAACAAGATCTATGAGCTGTAAGAGGCCCAGCCTTGACTCCAACAAGATCTATGAGCCGTAACAGGTGCTTTCACTCACCTTAGCTTCCGTCCTCCTGTCTAGATGGAGGGGGCGGGACTCCATCACTTCCCAGGCCCCTCCAACTTTCCTGTTATAACTCTGTGGTCTTTGAGAGCTTACTTCCAGAACACCCTTCAACAAGGAAACACCCAGAAGACCAATGAAACCACCAAGAATGCCTCATCCAGGAAGAACGATGTGGTGGGTATACCCTAGGGTGCCCCTGGTCCCTGCCTCCTTGTGTGATCTCCTCCGCTGGGGGGTGAGGGTGATCTGCAGCATGCTTCTGACCCACAGATATGGCACAGGGGTGGCAGGTGGCTTCCTTTTGTTTCATTCAATGAGACTCTGTCATAGCTGACTTCTGGGAGATGTTCACCTGCTGGCCTGGAAGAAGGAAGGCGCCACATTGTGGGATGTCTATGGAGAGGGCCGTGTGGCACAGAGCTGTGCCCATCCTCCAGGAGATGTGCCTGCACTCCTAGCCCAAAGGAACTGTGAGACAACAAGTGTGTGTTAATGCCATTGAGGTTGTGGTGATTTGTTACTCAGCAAAAAATCCCACTGATCCAATGGACGCTTGGTCATGCCCACAGTGGCCCCAGTCCAGTGGCAGCCTGGGCAGCGAGCCACTCTCTCGGGTGCACTTCAGGAGGGCTCATGCTCATGCTGTTCAGATTGAAAAGGACATCACTGGCAGGGTGTGGTGGCTCATGCCTGTAATCCCAGCACTTTGGGAGGCCGAGGCGGGCGGATCACGAGGTCAGGAGATCAAGACCATCCTGGCTAACACGGTGAAACCCCGTCTCTACTAAAAATACAAAAAACAAGTTAGCCGGGCGTGGTGGCGGGTGCCTGTAGTCCCAGCTACTCTGGAGGCTGAAGCAGGAGAATGGCGTGAACCCGGGAGGCGGAGCTGGCATGAGCCAAGATTGCGCCCCTGCACTCCAGCCTGGGTGACAGAGCGAGACTCGTCTCAAAAAAAAAAAAAAAGGAAAAGAAACCCCAGAGGATCTTTTTGTGGTCCAATTTGCAATTCTCCAGGCCTTTCACCTACAGCGCCCTGTGTGAGTGCCTCGCTAGCCTGGTGGGCCAGCCTTATCCTGGGAGACTAGAGCCCGAGGCTTAGACCAGCAACTTGCCCAGGGTCTCAGAGGTAGGCAGTGGCGCCCCAAGATGGCCTCGGCAGCCCAGTGTGTTTTGGGGCCCACCTACTGCTTTATGGTAAAGCTGTGTGGCATGGATGAAAATACATTTCCCGCTTGGCATTCTGCGTGAGATGGGCACAGAAACAGCACACTTGACTTGAGAAGACTTTGGGAATCTGTCCCCTGAGCCCTTTCTTTTGTCCTGACAACTGTCACTTGGACACGTGACAGTCGTGTGTGGATGTGAGTAAATGTGATTTAGGCAGTGCTTGATTGATAGGTTCAATGGTCTGCAGCTGGTGCTGCCTGCCTCGGTGGCCTTTGAACGTCTTCTCTCTTTGGACGGCTGTCCTCCAACGAAGGAGGGGCAGCCGTGAAATATCAGGAGACAGCACCGGGCACTGCATGTTGGGGATCACAAAGACAGTGAGGTTTCTCTGGGGAAGCTGCAGGCACCATGATGCGAGGTGTCACAACATGTGAGCAAAGGAGTTTCTAGCTCAGCCAGGTGACATTTGACACATGTGGGATCCAGGACGTGGCCCTCCCCTGGGTGCAGGACTCACTTCTGCCCGAGGGCAGGGCTGTCTGGCAGGTCCCAGGGAAGGGGCTGGGAGCATCCTCTACGTGTTGCCTTCACTCTGGGTTGGAGCCTATGTATCTGAGAAATGGGATTTGCTGTCAAAAGGCTCCAGGAATGCCCATTGTGAGAGACTGTGGCTGCAGATACCTCACAGCCTGCAGTCAAGTGCTGCCTCTGGGTCCCGGGAGCCTTCAGGCAGAGCAGCGTTTGCCAAGGGTCACGACGGCTGTGTTCCGTGGTGAGTCCATGCACAGATGCAGTGTCGCTGGTGCCGCACAGCAAAGGAAGGCGTTCAACCACTGTGCACCTCAGTCCACTCCTCACCTGAGGCAACTCACGGGTGCTGGTGGTTCCAGAATGGCTATGCGGCGACACTCTGCGGTTGAGGAAGAGGGGTCCAGAGATGAAACAAACTGCATCGCCAGGTGGCTTAAGCAAGAAAAGCCACATTTCTGTCCCCACTGGAAGCACAGCTTTCCCATTCTTTTGAGAAGCTCCGAGCATATTAGCAACAGTTCACAGCTGCCTTCAGATTCCCTGCTTTTCCTTGCCTGAGGCCTCTGGCAAATCTTCCCTTCGAGGCTCACATTTTCTATACTTGATCTCACTCAGAGGTGAATTTTCTTCAATTTTCTGTTTGTCTGAATGAGATGTGCTCAGCTTCGAGGTGCTATTGAGAATAAGAACAAAGCATCTCTTTGTCTTCAGAGCACTTTCCCTGGCAGCTCTGGACAGCTCGGATTCTGAATATTAACTTTTCCCAATGCTTCAGTTGTTATTAAAGTAGAAGTCTTGGTCCATCTCCACCTTGAATCTAATGTTTGTAGAAAGATTCATGTTAGCCCACATGTAGAACTCGATTTATAGGCAAGAGACCTTGAAACTCTTTGAATTCAAATGTTGGAAGCCTTCAATGAAATGGAAGAAAAAAGTGAGGACTTTTTTTTTTCTTTTCTTTTTTTTTAGATGGAGTTTAGCTCTTGTTGCATAGGCTGGAGTGAAATGGCATGACCTCGGCTCACTGCCACCTCTGCCTCCCGGGTTCAAGCGATTTTCCTGCCTCAGCCTCCTGAGTAGCTGGGATTACAGGCGCCCGCCACCACACCTGGCTAATTTTTTGTATTTTTAGTAGAGACGGGGTTTTGGCCCCATGTTGGCCAGGCTGGTCTCGAACTCCTGACCTCAGGTGATCCACCTGCCTCGGCCTTCCAAAGTGTTGGGATTACAGGCGTGAGCTACTGTGCCAGGCCAAAAGTCAGTACATTCTGTTTTTAGGAGAAAGAGGAAAAGCATGAGGAATCAAATTTATCTTGAGGATAATTAAAAGAAAGAAAACTCTGACACATTTAGTCCAATGTCTATAGATATCTCTATAGCTACCTGTTTGGTGCTGTGGGAATGTTTCTTTCCCTAGTCCTCTGGGACCACTCAAGATATGTGATTATAAAATAAATCCCTTCCTTTGCAAATCAAGGCAGACAAGTGAATTAAAATATTTTGAATGAGAAAGTTGGAAAAAAAAGTTTTCTGGGTAGCTCCACTTTTCCAGAAAATTCTATCCATGAACTGCATGTCCCCAGGCACTGTGATTTCTGGCACATTTGTCCATCTGTGGTTGGCTTGCAGCCATGAGCCTAAGGACGTGGAAGAAGATTTTCATTGTCTTCCTGAGAGTCCGGAGTCTCTCTAGTGATGCACGGGATGCTCTTGTCTTCCTTACTGGACTGGTCAACTTTGGTGCTTAGAACTGGATGGGTCTGTCCTTACAGCCCTGCCTGGGATGGGGTGCAGGGGAAGGGCACCACTAACTGTCAGGAGCCTGCCCCTCGGATCACCTTCCAGATGCAGCATCCCGACAAAATGCCACGAAGGTGGTTTTTTCCTAAAAGCCAGGAAGCATAACTTGGTCTTTGTGGTCATCCCGCTTCTGGTAGGTCATGTCGTGCTAAGTACTGAGTAGAAAAGTGGACAGTTTTTTCAACACATATGCCCCTTAAAGAAATTCTCAGCAAACAAGAACACATGGAACATCTTAGAAAATTAATTAATTCACCTCAAATCCTCCTCCTCCGATGCATATGTAATACTGAGCGTCTATTGCTAAAAATCAGACGAATGCACATGTTGTAGATATAAACCAGTAGGAGACAACTTTGGGGAAAATTTTTAAAACAAAACATATTCCGATGTGTTTGAATTATGCATTGTGAAGATATTCAGACTTTCCATGACTGAGGCAGCCATGATTGCTGTTTGTTTTTAAGGGCAACACACGTTTCAAAGATTTTGTTTTGTTCTGTTTGTTTTTCCTACAGAGCTAGGATTTGCAAGACAAATATGGCTTATACTTTAGAGGAATGGGATTCGAAGATGGAGAAATAAAACGCCAAAATCAAAAAAATTTTATGAATGTCATTTCTTTCTGATATCATGATAATTCTCATTACAATAAAAAGAACCTGTGAGATGATTCCATTTCTGGTGAGCGGAAAGTGCCGAGCGACTCTCCTTCTCAAGGAAGGTTGAGGTACAAGGGCAAGCTTTTGTACTTGGATTTAAAAGAGAAGTTCTAGTTTTAAATTCTTGGTCTGCTGTTAACCAGCTGTAAATGTTGGGAAGTCATTTTCTTCATCTGTAAAATGCGTAAAAGGAATATTTGTCTTATAGGATTTTTGCACTTTGAAATCCAACTATGCAACTCATTATTTCTTTCAACTGTGGCCACATTCAGGATCCCATGGTGTACTAAAATCTCTTTGAATCAGAAAGCAAAGAAGAAGGAAGAAACATTGGCGTTTTCCCTGTCTCCAGCATGGCTGTAGGATGCAGAGTGATTGAAAATGGACATTTATTAAGATGATTAATGTGTGCCCTCGGTTCTACGAGATTGTCTGTATAAATTGTCTTTCCCTATTCAGTCTTTGTAATTTGCGCCTTCTCTATTTTTCGGTAGATATTTTTTGCATTTGGGGAGGTTTACTTTTTTTTTTTTTTTTTTTTATAAAGTTTGCCTTTATAGTAAGACTTTCATACAATACCATTTGCATTAGACGAAGGCCTAGTCATGAGAAAATCACATCCGTTAACTGACCAGGGAGCATTTACTCTAATTATTAACTCGGAAAAGAGAAGAGCTCCTAATGGATAAAGAGCACACGGGACAGCTGTGCAGGGAGCAAGTACCGCCTCCAGGGCTAAGGCAGGGCCCTAGGGAAGGAACACACTGAGAAAAAGCTCCCCACCCCATGTACCCCAGGAAAGGATGTGGCGCAGCGCCACTGCATATTCTGCTCCTAGAGACCAAATTGTAAAAATAACCTGCATCAACTTGCATGTAAAAATATACTGGTGGGGCCGGGCGCGGTGGCTCACACCTGTAATCCCAGCACTTTGGGAGGCCGATGTGAGTGGATCACCTGAGGTCAAGAGTTCGAGACCAGCCTGGCCAACATGGCGAAAACCCATCTCTACTAAAAATACAAAATTAGCTGGGCATGGTGGCGGGCGCCTGTAATTCCAGCTACTCTGGAGGTTGAGGCAGGAGAATCGCTTGAGCCTGGGAGGCAGAGGTTGCAGTGAACCGGGATCACGCCATAGCACTTTAGTCTGGGTGACAGACTCAGACACTGTCTCAAAAAAAAAAAAAATACTGGTAGGAGAGAAAAAGAAAATGGTTAGGACGTCTAAATAAAAACACACAGAGGAGCAAAAATATGCAAAGCTACTTGTTTCTGTATTGGTCATGAGGCCGTAGTTGACATATTTGGCTTCCTTTGTCAATGACTTGTTCCGTATTTCCCCAGCTTTAGCTAGAACCTCTGCTCATGCTGTCCTTTGCCTAGCATAGTGACCCTGACATTCATTCATAAAGTGTCTGGATCTTTGATCCTGCGGCCTCTTCTTTGGTTGCTGTAATTTTATATCACCCTTTGCTACAGGGCATGAAAATACTAAGAGGCATCCTGGGGTCCAGACATGGTCCCTCTACTCTCTGAAGAGAGAATTTTTTCACCAAGGTGTGATGGGGCTGCTGCCCCATCGTGGGCATGCAGATGTCATTATGTTAGGAGTTTTCAGGTGAGACCATCCTGTGCAGGGGAGGACTGGACACCAAGGCCTAGATCTGGGTTTAGGAGGAGAAACGGCCACTCTATGAAAGCGCCCATCAGAGCCGCTTGCTCCAAGCCTGCTTTACCAAAGCCCTGCTGCTATTGTTTGGGGCCTCATTTCCACTGCTGCTGCTCCTGGGTCTGTTTCGCTTAGAAGCCTCCCAGATGCACAGCGTCTGGCGAGGTGGTGTCGGGGACCCCTTCTTGTGGGGAGCGCCACCCCACGGAGGGCTGGAGTCAGGAAGTGCTGATGGCCTGTCTTGTTCCAGGTTGCTTTTCAGAATCGGAACTTTCATTCCATGTACAGTTGTAGACACCCGTGGATGCCCGAAACCTCAGATAGTACCAAATCCTACATGTACTGTGCTTTTTCCTATGCATATATACCTACAATAAGCTTCATTTATAAATTAGGTGTGGTAAGGGGTTAACAATAACTAACAATAAAATAGAATAATTATAACAGTTGCCAGCATCATCACTCTGGTGTTTTAGGGCCATTATTAAGTAATATAAGGACCACTTGACAATCTGATCACTGAGACGCCTGTGAAGTGGGGTCTAGAATGTGGATGAGCTGGGTGAAGGGACAATCCCTGTCTGGGGGATGGAGTAGGTGGTGTGAGATTTCATCACACTGCTCAGAATGGCATATCATTGAAAACACATGAACTATCCATCTCTGGCACTTTCCATTTACTATTTTCAGACCTTGGTTTACCGTGGGTAACTGAAACCTCAGAAAGTGAAACTGTGGATGAGGGGGCACTGCTGTAGAAGGCAAGGTAACGCTGGGATTTGGAGGAAACTCTTAGAAGCCAGTGATGATGTGGACTTGCTCATTGATTGATTGATTGATTGATTTTTTGGTAAACTGAAAGCTACGAAGAGCCACAAATGAATGAAGACGACTGAGGCAAACTGAGCCTCTGAGTGCCCCTGGAGGGAGACTCCCTTCTCTGTGGGGTTTGCTCTGAGTGGTTAATAATCCAGGTAGAAAATCCACTGGTAGAGGTAGTGCAGGGTGGGAAGAGACCTGGGAAGGAGGCTTTGGTCCAGGTCCTAGAGCAGGCTCCAGTGTGACTCCAGGAGACTGAGATATCCAGGGGCCATCCCACACTGTGCTTCCTAAAGTCTACTTAGCGGCCCCCTCACTCACTGGATAAGAACAGTGGCTTCCTCCTCACTGAGCTTTCACTGGTGCCTTAGGCTCCACTGTTGGAGATCTAGTTGTTTTAGTCACTCTGTTGTCTCATGCTGGAGAGAAGCGACCTTTCACATGAGAGTTAGTCACTTGTCTATGGTGAGTCAGATGCTATCAGCTGCCCTTGGTGACAGGAGGCTATGGATGGATATTAATGGCTGGGAGGAGGGTCAGGAGGCCACCAGCAAGCTGAAAAGAGTGGCTTGGAGAGGTGACAGTAAGTCCTAGAAGGAGAGATGAGCCTGGGAATGTCCAACTCCATCGGCTGACAGGGCTGACCTGCTCTGCACCTGCCGTGTGAAAGGTACCTGGGTCTGAGTCAGGTCCCGTAGGGCCCAAGCACACTCACATGGACTTCCTGTTACTGGGGCTGCAAAGAGTTGCTACTTCCAACTGGAAGGGGCTCTGACCAAATTCACAGCCCTGGACCAATCTTTCTGTTTGGCTTGTAGCAAACTTGCAAATTCCTGTGAGGGGAAACAAGATTTATTTCTCATTGAAACATTCACAGAAGAATCAGGTTCAAATAATTATTCCCGACTTCACTTCCCTTTTACTCTGCGTTGCTTCACAAAGACGCACACACACGCACACAGAAATGAGTCATATGTTCAGCTTTCTGAAAGTCAAAGAGAATAAACAGATGCCACAGAGGAGATGGAAAACTGGCATTGTTTTAATAAAAACTCTGAAGACAAAGGAAGGAACAGAAACTTAAAGATTTAAAAGAGCAAATCCCAATGGTGGGTGATTCAAACATCTTTCCAATTCCCACTCCCACCCCAGGAAATGCTCCCTAAGCGTGAAGGAGGGAGGTGTCTGCAAGCTTCCTGCTGACATGGCCCGGGACAGGCAGAGTCCAAGAACAAAGGACTGGCTAAGAAAAGCATGGAGATCAAAAATACTTAAAAATATACATGGGTATGAAAAGGGTTAGACAGCTAGAAAACAAAATACAAAATGTCACCTTTGAGTAGTGAAGTTTTGGATGATTTTTATTTTCTTATTTTATATAAAATTTATAACAGGGGTCCCCAATCCCTGGGCCATGGACTGGCACTGGTACCTGTCTGTGGCCTGTTAGGAACCAGGCCTCACCGGGCCTCACGGCAGGAAGTGAGTATTGGGTAAGCGAGCAAAGCTTCATCTGTATTTACAGCTACTTCCCATCACTCACATTCTCACCTGAGCTCTACCTCCTGTCAGATCAGCCGCAGCATTAGCTTCTCGTAGGAGCACAAACCCTACTGTGAACTGCGCATGTGAAGGATCTAGGTGTGTACTCCTTACAAGAATCTAATGCCTGATGACCTGTCACTGTCTCCCATCACTCCCAGATGGGACCATCTAGTTGCAAAAAAAAAAAAAAAAAAAAAAAAAAAGCTCAGGGCTCCCACTGAATCCACATTATGGTGAGTTGTATAATTATTTCATGATATATTACAATGTAATAATAATAGAAAGTGCACAATTAATGTAATGCACCTGAATCATCCTGAAACCATCCCCCTTCCCCGGTCTGTGGAAAAATTGTCTTCCACAAAACCTGTCCCTGGTGCCAAAAAAGGTTGAGGATCGCTGTTTTATAATATACCAGTATTGCTTTGTTCATTAGAAAAATGTACAGATTATTTAATAAACAGCTAGATCACTGGCCTCATTTGACCACACAGCATAAGTAAACAACTTGCCCCAGGTCATCCAGTGCACATACCAGTCAGGCTGGTGCCAATTTTGTGCTTTGTCTGCTGTACTATACACCATAAGTGCCACCACCCTCACCCAAAGATAATGAGCCTTGCCAGCCAGAGGGGAGAAAAATCATTTGAAATGATTTTTACAGTAATTTATTGAGGTGAAATTCACATGAAATAAAACTAACAATTTTTGCCATTCAGTGGCAGGGAGTACAGTCACAAAGCTGCACAGCCACCCCCTCTACCTGGTTCTAAAACATTCCCATTGCTGCACAGCAAAACCCCTTATGCATTAAGCAGTTTTTCCCTATTCCTCAACCCCCACAGACCCTGGCAAACCCCAATCTGCATTCTGATAGGATTTTTCTTTTTAAAGGAAACATTTTAACTTTTATAAAATAATTTTGGAAGTGACTCATACTTTGTTTCAACCTCTGGAGAGGCAAATATTCTGCCATGGTCCAAAAGTGATGGGATTTCTGGGTGACCTTTTCTGGGTACAGTCTCCTTGGTGTTGGTGGGATTTCTGGCTGTTGGAGGCCGGAGCCCTGAGTCCAGAGCCCAGCAGAGGCCTGGTCTGCCAAGCCTTGGCATTCGTCACAAGCACAGGGTGTAGCACTCTCTATTATATTTACTTTTGCAGGAGACCTCTGGATTATTTAGCTCTGCAATGCTCACTGGTGAGTTCAGAACTAACAATTACTCCTAAGACAGTATGCGCATGTCAGACCATGGTTAAAAACGGACAGTGCTGACAATCTTTAGGGTTCTGTCATATCCCCCAGAAGGGCTTCAGTGTGGACCATTTCACTCCAGATAGGCTCCAAGGGGTTTGGAAACACCATCAAGAGGACATCGCATGTGAGGAATTTTTGAACCGACTGAAGGACTTTGAAAGTGAAATTTCCTGACAGGCTTAAACTTCCACATCAAACATTAGCATCTTCAATAATTTCAAACAATGGGACTATAAAGTTTGCAACTGCCTTTGGAAGGAAGAAAGTGAAACGAGCTCATCTTAGCAACTGAGGGAGAGGAGAGCAGGGAGGTGGGAGTGAAAGTGGTGGGTCCAGGAAGAGACAGGTAGAGGGAGGTGGGGCTGGCAGCCCTCATGCCAGGTAGTAAGCCTGACAGCCTCCAGGTCTGGAAGCCTGAAGTATGCAGAGGGTTCCACTACATGCCTGCTACATCCTTAACGGCCTTACACATCTCCACCAGTCAGGTGAGGACCATATTATCTCTGCTTTAGGGATAGACACGAAGACTTGGAAGGGTCTACGCTGCTCTCATAGTTTAGACTACACCCTTGCTTGGATTTCTTGTACATCAGTCCTTCCACAACACCATGATCGACAATTTCAAAATGCTTTCCAAAGCCCAGTTTGAGTACATCGCCTATCTAGTACCCTTCATCCCCATTCTCTCTTTCCCCACTTAGGCCATCACAAGACCACTATCTTGGCAAGAGTAGAGTTGCTACTGAGTACAAAGTGCATATGTTGGACTTTTTATTTCAATGTTCTAAAGGAGAAGAAAAGATGTACCAAAAAGAGAAGAAAAAGCAGGCTCCAAGCTGCTAAACCTTGGCCTGGGGACTTGTGTGTCTAGTATGATCTGTGGGCATGGCCATGGGACTCATGCTTTGCTTGTTAGTTGTCTAAAAGGAGTAGAGCAGAATCATTATAGAAGACTTGGAAAATGCAGAAAGATTATAAAGACTTACGAGGATAACTGTGAATACTTTGGGGAATCTCTTCTGGTCTTGTTTCTGTGAATATAATAATAATGTATATATTTTTACATTTTCTGAAAATGGGAAGTTATATTTTATGTTATGGTATAGGTTATGTTATGCTTAGATTTATATTATGTTTCTTGGTGACTGCCATTTTTACTAAGGGATCTATTCTGAGCATTAATGATGATTTGAAATATTCCCCTAAATCACACTTTAAAAATGATTCTATACAGTTCTATCACCTGAATTTATCAAAACTAATTATTTAATCCTTTATGTCTAGATGTTTTGGTTGGCTTTGTACATGCATCTTTCCTTTCAACCTTTTGTACTATATCCTGGGATTTTTATATCCAAAAATGTTATTATTGAATTTCATAACATAAGCAACCTATTTTCCAAGAATAATTGTAATATTTTTATTACTTTTAATAAATATTCTAACAGTATTTATTTAAACTCATTCCTTTTTAAAAACTGTTTCTATTGGTCTCCATTTTTTAACTTTTCCATATTTTTGAACTCTCAATATTGAATCTTTTTTATTCAACTATAAAATGTTGAAGTAATTTTTAGAGTATGTATGTATATATGTGTCTGTATAGACAGTTTTTGAGCCTCCATATCCAAAAGTGTCTCCATACTATCCTCATACTTGGTGGAAAGATTCTCTGGTCACAATTTTTTCCCCTCAAAGGTTTTAAAAAAATCTGAGAGTTTTAAAATTTCAGGCACTTAAGTGATATTAATTAGGAAAAGTCTCAGGTGGCTTGATTTTTTCTTTTCTTTTTAAAAACACTTTCTAGTTAAAATATGCAAATACTTGGTTTAAAAACTCAAACAAGGCCAGGCACGGTGGCTCACACCTGTAATCCAAGCACTTTGGGAGGCTGAGGCAGGTGGATCACCTAAGGTTAGGAGTTCGAGACCAGCCTGGCCAACATGGCAAAACCCCTGTCTCTACTAAAAATGCAAAAATTGGCCAGGTGTGGTGGTGTGCACCTGTAGTCTCAGCTACTCAGGAGGCTGAGGTGGGAGAATCGCTTGAACCCAGGAAGCAGAGGTTACAGTGAGCAGAGATCGCATGACTGCACTGCAGCCTGGGCAACAGAGTGAGACTCCATCTCAAAAAAAAAAAAAAAAAAAAAAGTCAAACAAGATTGTTCTACTTTTTCCATCTCCCATTCCTGCACCCAGGATTTTTGGGTTTTGAGCTGTTTTGAGCTGTTTTCTTTTTGCAGAAAGATTATAAAGAGTTAAAGGATAACTGTGAATACTTCGGGGAATCTGTTCTGGTCTTGTTTCTGTGAATATAATAATGTATGTATTTTTATATTTTCTGAAAATGGGAAGTTATATTTTATGTTATTTTATAGGTGGAATTAAAATTTCAGGCATTTAAGTGATATTAATTAGGAAAAATCTCAGGTAGCTTGATTTTTTCTTTTTAAAAACACTTTCTAGTTAAAATATGCAAATGCTTGGTTTAAAAAGTCAAACAAGGCTAGGCGTGGTGGCTCACGCCTGTAATCCAAGCACTTTGGGAGGCTGAGACAGGCGGATCTTTTCTGTTTGAATAGTTTTTGCGCTGTTTTCTTCGGTACTGACCCCGTGTTTCTAAGAGACATGCTCATGGCTTTTCTCTTTTTGTGTCGACTGACTTTCTGTTGTGGAAGAGAATGAGTCTCCTTCTATCACGCCCCATGCCCACCTGCCCACACATCCCTTCACCACTAAGTATTCCCTGTTGAGTCATTTCATAATTGTTGGCTAAATCAATATTTGGTGTTTTTTATTACTATCATGTAAATATTTTTCACAGTTAAGGCACATATTGTACCAAAAACATACAACCTTTTTTTGGGAAGTCAGCTTCTTTGATTTTCTTGAAACTTTCCTTCCTCTTTTAAAATATGTTTTTCTATTTACCTATTTTAAATTCCACCTCAAACTTTACAGCAAACCCAAACCCCTTTCAATGTCACATTCTGTGACTTTCTGTTTTGGGGTCATCCCTCCTAGTGTCCTCCAGCTCCTGCCCCAGGCTGGGCACCCCAGGCCACCACACAGTGACGACCCTGGGCTTCTCCTCACCATCATCCTGGGAATTCCTTTGGCTTTTCCACTGGGTGGGATTCTCTGTTTTCTGGATTTTCTATCTTCTTTCTTCAGGACTGAATCCCTTATTTGACCGTGAAAGACGTCCTTCAATATTACCTAAGAAAGGGTACACGTGAAGTCAACTTTCTGATGTCTGAAAATTTCTTTGTTCTGTTCTCATAGGTGATTAAAATGTGGTCGGGTATAGACTTCGAGGTTGGAAGTCATGCCATCTTGCATCTGGTCTCAGGCCACTCTTAATTCCAATCTGCCCATGGGCATGGGTGGACAGTCAGGGAAGGTCTGGAGAGAGGTGGTTCAGTGTGAACAGACGACAAGAGCGCTTGGTCAGGGGACCAGGGCAGGCCAGCTTGCCTCACGAGGAACAGAGCCAGGCTCCGTGTGACTTTAGGCATCCTGGTGGAGCGGGCAGCCGGCTGAGGGCAGCTTCTGGCGTCCTGGTGGAGCAGGGCAGCTGGCTGAGGGGCTCCAGGGGATGATGTTGGGCTGCCATTGGGGCCAGCGTATCCAGGCCTTGTACCCCGCAGGAGCAGTCAGGGGCTGGGCAGGAAACAGGGCTCAACCTGGGGTCCAGTGAGGATTCCTGTGGGGAGGGCAGGGTTAAGGGGGCCCACAGGGAAGTCAAGGCACCCAGGGGCTGGCAACAGTGGGGAGCTGCTGTATCCCCAGGGCTAACGGGCCCACAGAGAGGGGCCTCTTGGGAGAAGCTGCAGCTTGGGTGGTGCAGCACCAAAGCAGGAGGGTACAGGAGAAACACCAACCTCTCCATCCACCCTTCTGCTCCTGCTACGCCTTCCCCAAGCACAACCCAAAGAGAGCAGCCACAAGGGAATGGGGGGAACGAACAGGGTGAGGGTATCAGCTGAAGAATGTGCAGTGTCCTCAGCACCCCAGGCCCCCAGAATCCATTCCTGTCCTTTGTTCAGATGGAGAAACTCCCAGCCCCCTCCCAGGAGACACCAAGGCTCACTGGCCACCCCGTCATTGTGGGATGATGTTAGGCAATTGTTCCTCTGCCCGAACCTGACACCTGGTTCCACTGGTGCCCATCATGGAGGATGTAGCAAAGCATAGGATGAAAGAAAAAAAATGCAGAGAATGCATGCCTGGCCGCTCCAGCCACCTCCATAGCCGGCCATCCTCCTCTGATAGCTGGGGATCCCCTTACCCCCTGCCATAGCTTGCCTTCTCCTAGCTCCCACCAAAGCTGGTCGTCAAGCCAACATAGATCATCATAGCTCCCTCCTTCTATCACTCACTCCTGGAAACCTGTGACTGCCACTTACAGCCTCAGACCCCCAATGAGGTTCAATCTCAGCCTTCTGTCTCTGTGGCCTCTCGTGGTCAATGTGCTGTGCCCTGAGGGTGGGCAGTGCCAGAAGAGGTCTGCCCAGGAGAGGAATGTGTTATCACCGCCATGGTGTGGAGCTGCCATCACATGGCTATAGTACAAAGCAGACTGTGTCAGTTATATTCTTATTCTAAATTATCTGCCAAAAAACCACTTTCTTGTTGTGTGCACCCAGCATGGGAAACTCCCACCCTCCCTGCCCCCATCCATCCCTGATGATAACTGGACTCACCTCACCTCTGGGGTGATGCCCCCATTATCCCTGCCCCCATCCATCCCTAATGATAACTGGACTTGCCTCACATCTGGGGTGAAGCCCCCATTAGTGAGCCCACCATTGTTGGAGTGATCAAGCCTGGCAGCCTCACCCTCTTTGCCCTCCACCTGCACACCATCCCATGCCAACTTGATGACAATTAGGGTGACTGTGACCCCACTGCCTGCTCAGGTTTCCTGGATCCCATTTTCCCTGGTAAAGGGTCATCTGTGCCTTCATCAAGGATCTGAGTAGCCTGGCCCCAGAAGCCCATTTTTGGGGTCTGTTTTTGGATGCTTCCAGCTAGTTCCCAGAAGATATCAGAATTCATCTCTGCCTTAGTCTGTTTTGTGTTGCTACAAAGGGACACCTGAGGCTGGACAGCTGATAAAGAAAAGAGGTTTATTTGGCTCATGTTTCTGCAGGCTGTACAAGAAACATGGCGCCAGCATCTGCTCCCGGCGAGGCCTCAGGCTACCTCTACTCATGGCAGAAAGCCCACGGGTGTGAGCAAGTGCAGAAATCACACCACAAGACAGGCCACAAAAGGAGAGGAGGAGCTGGGGTCTTTCTAACAACCAGTTCTCACCAGAACTAAGTGGGACCTCACTTGTCACTACAAGGAGGGCACTAAGCTACTCATGAGGACTCCACTCCCACGACCCAGACACCTCCCACCAGCCCCCACTTCCAACACTGGGGATAAATTTCCACATGAGACTTGGTGGAGTCAAACAAACTATGTCCAAACCATAGCAGGCCCCAGGGGTTCAAACGAGGAGACTCTGATGACACGGTCACTGGAGAGGGGTGAGCAGTATTACCGGACTATGGGCTGGTGCACACCCTTGACTAGCAACAGTGGGGAGCTGTTCCCACCCTGGGTCTACAGCACAGGGCCGGGGACTAGGGAGAGCGCTCTGCCTTGGAGAGCTGCAGCCCTGTGGGGGCCGGGGCCCCTCTGCTCCTGCCTGTGCTTCTCCTCCTGGCTCCCTGTGGTTGAGTCTAACCTGAACGGAGCCTGTGGTGGAGAAGAACCAGCACAGCTGCCATGTGAAGGAGTCTCAGCTTTATCTTCCGGGTAGTGGGGAGCCTGGAGAGAGACACAGCTCAGTGGTGGGAAACATCTGTGATGGGAGTGGGGGTCGCCCAGATGCAGGGGAGCAGTCAGGAGACCACCACCAATGTAAACAATGGAGTTCACTTCCTGAGCCCTGGCCATGGTCCAGGACCCCGCAGTGAGGTGGCTGTGCAGGGGCCGTCACCATCCGCCATTCATGGGTGGGGAAGCTGAGAGGTTAAGGTAGAGTGACCTTACGTCCTGCCTGGCCCAGGACTGTCCTGGTTTATGCTGATGTCCTGATGTCATTATTGATGGCGCCCTTTACGTTTTCCAAAGTGGCCCAGTTTGGGAGATACATGATGGGGTCTCCCAGGTTACCGTGTCAGCAGTAGGTGTGGGGATTCTCACCTGGCCAAAGCTTGGGCAACAGCGTGGAGGAGAGATGTCAGCTCTGAGACATGCATCTTCATAGAAGGGGGAGGTCATGTGCTGGAGGCTGGGGGAAGGGAAGAGCACAGAAGGAGCAGGCCCCGTGGGGAGAGGATGAGCTGCTTGGGGCATATTTACACATTCGTGGTCCCTGCAGGTCCCGGCAGGAGAGCATCCTGCTGGAAATGGTCAAGTTGGTCCTGTGGTCCACGCTGCCACGGGCTGCCTCTGTGACTGTGGTGTGTCACTGGTCCCGGCCCACGCTGCCACGGGCTGCCTCTGTGACTGTGGTGTGTCACTGGTCCCGGCCCACGCTGCCACGGGCTGCCTCTGTGACTGTGGTGTGTCACTGGTCCCGGCCCACGCTGCCACGGGCTGCCTCTGTGACTGTGGTGTGTCACTGGTCCCGGCCCATGCTGCCATGGGCTGCCTCTGTGACTGTGGTGTGTCACTGGTGCTATGGTCCATTGCAGAACCAGTGACCTGACATGGCAAAGGGAGGTTGCAGATGTGATTCACTGAATGATCTTGAGATGAGAGATGATCCTGGGTTACTCAGGTGGCCTAATGACATCCCAGGGTCCTTAAAAGTGGAGAGAGAAGACAATGGGAGAAGAGTAGAGAGAAGTGACATGATGTGACGCGGGAGGCTTCAACACCATGCTGCTTGTTCTGAGATCCATGGGGCAAGCGTCTGCCAGCCAGCAGGGTGACAGAGACCTCAATCCTGCACCTGCATGGAGCTGAGTTCTGTCAACCCCTGAATGAACAGGAAACAGATTTTCCCCTAGGGCCTCCAGAAGGAATGCAGCCAGATTTTAGCTCAGTGCGACTGACCCTGTCACTCTTCTGACCTCTGGAACTGTAAGGCAGTTGGTGAGAGAGTAGGAATTTGTCACGGCAGCTGTAGGACACCGATGCACTTGTGCTGTCTGGATTCCTCTACGGGCACCAGAGAGGTCCTGTGTCTGCTCAGATGACACACTGCAGAGGCAAACCTTCAAAGGGCCATCCTGCACCTCCTGAAGCAAGGAGCAAGCCCATCAGGTGACTGTGGGTGACTGTGGGTGGTGGGGCGGAGTAGGGGGCTCTGGTCCTGGCAGTCTCCAAATCCCTCCCTCTACCCATGATGGCACTGGGTCCTCGAGCTCTGCCAGGCAGTGATGGCGATGGCTCTGGCCTGCTCTTCTTCCACGCAGCCTGGGGCTTCTGTCGGTCGCACACAGCTGTGTGGTGTGGGGGCAGCTCATGTGTGGGGGTTGCTGGCTAAATTGCAAATGCCTTCTCCCCACCGTATTGCCATGGGATTGCAGTCAAGGAGTTTATTTCTCTTCTGATCCGCGGTTGTTTTGTTCTTTTCATTTTCCTTGTGAAATAAGGTCTAAAGTAATCAAACTTACTTTACAAAAACCTCTGACAACCAAATGAACTGCCCAGGTTTGATGCATTGGCTGACGATTTATATGCAGGGTACAGTTGAGCTTTCCTTTCAGCAGCCCCTTCTTCCACCTCCACCAGCCCCCATTACACTCCCCAAACCCTCACCCCTTGCAGCCAAAGTTGCCTTTCTGTTGGCCACCCTGTCCTGCCTGCAGGGAGGCTGCCTGGCCCTGGGGTTTTGGTTATGGTCAAGGAGTGGACATATCTAATTAACCTGTGTTCATTTCCTTACCTTTAGAAAAATGAGTAAATGCATGAGAAAGAAAGCTGACATTCAAATTGTTTCCCAATTGAATTTCAACATTCACATTTTTTAAGTAACAACTTCTTGGCCCCAGGAACCACGTGGGGGTTGGGATGTGGCAGTGCATTGGAAGCAAAGGTGAGCTGATGGGGCATCTGTGACATATAAGCCCCTCTGCCGGCTCAGCTGCCGGGACCCTGGACCTGTGCCTCCCTGCTGTTCCCACGCCAGCCCCCAAGTGACTTGGCTCAGACCAGAGGGTGTTTTCCCCAAAGCAAGACCAGGGGTGAATGAGGGTTCGCCCTCCTGCCAGAACCACTAATGTAAACCCAGGACAGCTCACCCTCCTGCCCTCAGCCCAGGGAGTTCCTGATAACGATTCTGAAGGAAAATCTGGAGGCAATTCATGATGCCCTGGCATGAAAGAAGGCTCCAACTGGGCTTCTTTTCTGTGTTTTCCAAGGCTTGGAAAGGAATCACACAATTTTATAGGATTTCCAATAGCAAAGACCAAGACAAAAGAGGACTGGTTTCACCTTTTCGTCAGAACATTCAGATAACGAGAATGCAGCCTTCCCTGGGGACCAGTTAATTGAGGGTTTGCTCTTCCTCAGGGCCTCTGGGCTATTTGAGAGTAGCCTGCAGGGCCCTGCCCTTGGCTGTTCCCTCTGCTGCAGGCCACGGCCAGCTAGCAAGTCCCTTGTTCTCCACCATGCCCATGTGGGGACAGGTGTGCTGGGTCCTGCCCCGGGAAGCAGCCACGGTTTGCATGTTTCCTCTCATCTCATCCTCCAGGGAAGCTGATACTCCCTACTGCCCATCTGGACTTCAGGTTTGAGCAGCTTGTTTCTAGCACTGTCCCTCTTCAAGGGGCAGCAGGGGCCTATGGCCATCAGGATTGCTTTCCACCCAACATCCATAAGGTGCAAGAAGCCTAGAGCTGGGTTTTGAGGTCTCGCCAATCAGCTTCAGCAATGCATATTTTAGAAATATGTAAACACTCTGTGAGGCACTTTGGCTTCTAACTCCTATCAAGAGTCCTAAAAACCAGACCAAAAGATGACCTCTGAAGCCTTAGCCATGCTCATTCGTTGAACAGATGGACTCTGAGGCACACAGGGAATAAATCACTTGGGGAAGGTCACCAGCAGACCAGTTCCTAGTTCCTGTGTGGTGACTGTCTACTGCGTTATACACCCTGGCGCCTCACTCCTGTTCTTTGTCTATTCTGTGAAGTTGGTGTGCTTTAACTGCTTCATTCTCTGTGAGGACCTGAGTTTACAGTTTTGGGGGAAGACCCTCAGCCTCACAGAGAATGGCAAGGAGACACAAGGCCCCAGAGGAGGAGGAGTGTAAGGCAGCCACGGGTTGCCTTCTGTAACTTCTCCAGCACCAAAAATAGGCAGTAACACTCAGGCATACATGCACGGCAAGTGGTAACAGCATCAGTAGGGCGCCACTGGTTTCCGTCCCCAAAGTCAAACTCAGGAATGGACATTCCTTTGCTCATGTAATTCATCAAACACAAAGACCAAGTGTTTTAGGGTTTCCCCATCGCTAGGGGTGGCTAAGTCAACCAGCAGTGGTTGTGCAGCGTTCATATGGGTGTTGGTGTTGGTTGGGGCTTTGAAGGCAGCTGAGACTACTGTCCCAAAGATTTAGAATCATTCTAGAGTGATGATGCAATCACATAGGAAGCTGAAACAAAGAAACTGACAACCAGTAAAGAACATGGGGTATTTAATAAAGTTAGAATGATTCCTTGATGTGCAAATAAAATGTAGTGAAAAGGCTCCGTTGAGACCAGCTCCAGTGCTGTGTTCTCTGGGCCTGCCCTGCTCTGGCCCCATCTCCCAGCCTGTGGGAACAAATTCCTCCCTCCTGGCATTCCTGCAATCTTTGCCTGTAACCTGTCTCTCTGTTCACCTGCCCCACCCCCAACTAGACCAGGAGCTCCTCAAGGGCAGAGACCTTATAGACTACGTACTTGGGGATCCAGCCCTCAGTATGGGCCTGCCCCAGAGTGGGTACACCACGAATGTAATTTGAATGAACTTGAAGTTGTCAGAGACACATAAAAGCCAATAAGCACAGACCCGGAGACACCCAAAAGCCAATCAAGACAGACCCAGAGACACACAAGAGCCAATGAGCACAGACCCAGAGACACGCAAGAGCCAATCAGGACAGATCCAGAAACATACAAGGGCCAATGAGGACAGACTTTCCACAAAACTCATGGAAAGGAGTTTGAAAGAGAGAAATGTCATGGGTGGATTGGCAAAAGGTGAGGAGAGGGTCTTAACTTTGCCTCCTTCTTAACTTGACTTCATCTTTAGAATGTGTTTGGCTGGGTTTTCCATGACAAACCCTCAAAATGAAAATCCATAAAACCTTAGGTCCATTTTCTTCAAAGACGCATACTTTGGCCTGTCATCCCTCTCTATTAGTGTGTGTGGAATATGCATTGTCAGGCCTGTGACTTCCCATGCGGCACTGTGGCGTGAGTGGGGTCACTGTGGGGAGGGAAGAGCCGAGGAGACACTGATGTGTCTGCTGCGGGAAGGTCTGGTTCTCTGTTCAGGGTGCAAGAGCTTCACAATTAAAGCCCATTATGTTTCCTACATTAAAAAAGGCTCCAAAGAAGCACATGTCTCCAAGTGTCATTTGATTTAATAGTTCAGTACAAATGGCCTTGTATTCTACATGGTTATGTAATCTGGTAACCAGCATGCATGCAGGCAACGAAGTCAATATTAAAGTATTTGTTGATGAATAGATTTTATTTTTAGCTGAGAAGTTGGCCAACTGGGAGGCCACATGGAGGAGATTAAGGTTTCACAGGAGCCATCTCATCAGACTGTTGCAGAAAATGATTATGAATGCTAATAGGAATCCCATGCGTGCCTCTGAGATATGGGGCTTTCCCTGGAAGGATTTTACAGTTTGAGAATAAATCTCTTTGGTCTTAATAATTTAGAACAAACAAATGTGTCTTTCCATCTTCCAGGCTTCAGCCAGCTCAGCTGGAACCTCCTGAGTGTTTGCCAAAATCTCTTCGCCCCGTCTCTGGCCCTGTGACATCCCCATGTTCTGAATTCCTTGTTATGCAGAACCCTTCCCGCTGTGAGCACAGAGCCTCGCATCACATCGGCAGAAGCTCTTCCAGGAGAGGGCCCAGGTGGGAGGCTGTGGGCTGGATGGGGTCAGGGTTCTCACTTAGTGATCTGCCCCCTGCTTGGCCCCATTGCCTGAACTGTCTCCATTGTCATGCCTTAGAACTCCCAGCGTTTTAGGTCTCTTTCAAGTAGCCCTTGCAGGGAAGCCCTTGAGCCTCCATCAGCCCACACAGGCCGGGAGAGGCTCTGTACAGCACCAGGGAGCCCAGTCACTGTGTGTGCCAGATCACAGGTGCCCCAACAACTTGTGCAATGCAACAGCCCTGCCTGGGGAGGAATTGGAGTAAATGGGATGAGAGTTAAAGGGACACTTTGTGCTTCCGATGATGCGAGGGGGACTGAGAGAGACGATGACAAAGTGGGCAGGGGCTTGGAGAGGCAGCTTGTGCCCTTCTCCTTTTGCTGAGTTGTTCTGGGCTTAGTTGCTTCCACATAGGTCGCAGTGGGAAATCCAGAAGGTCGGTCACTTGCTTTGCAGGACACCTGGCACATGGAGAGCTCCGGTGACTTTTTGTGTCCTTGCAAAGGGGACCTGAACCATGTCTCACATCTAAAACAACTTTGGGTGCTGCGGCATGGCCCTCTTCTCCCTGGACACTGTAACATTTGAATGTGCACCCTAGAAGTGCTTGCGTCTATCACAGCAGGCTGGCAGCTTGCTCTGTTTGTCCCCTGTGCGTCGAAGGCAGGGGTTACAAGAAGAGCAAGGTGCTGCTTATGCAGGAAGGAAAAGTGCCCAGGGCAGTTGGGGCCCAGGAACGAGGAGGGCACCATTTAAGCAGTAGGGCTGGATCCAGGGTTCTAATTTATGAGGCCTAGGATTGACCACAGGCAATGGCAGAGCCTGAGCATCATGCAGCCTCTCCTAGGATGGTTCTCCAACTAGGCTGGCTGACTCTACTGATGAGTGTCTGTCTTTTCAAAGCTCCACAGAAGCTAGCTAGGACAGGGTGAGGAGACTTTCTGAGCTCACCTGTGAAAGGATGTCGTTAGGGAACCCATGGGTTGGCTGCCTTCCGTGTTCCCCCTGCGACCTCCATGGCATGCTCTCCTGGACACACTGGGCCTCACCACCTACCCCAGCTGCCCCCACCCTGACAGCCCCATCACCTCCAGGTCCCCTCCCCTCCATGCCAGCCTTTAGGCCTTCCTTGACTTTTAGCTTTCCTTCTTTCACACCCAATGCCCAAGTTCAAACTCTCTTGTTAGCTCCCTAATTCCAAGGCTTCTCCCAGGCCTGGGTGAGAATCCACACCCAGGTCAATCCTGGCCATTCTCATGGTGGACATGCCTGGAGAACTGAGTTCTGTTGGAGAAAGTAGCCTCACTTGACCGACTGGTGCCTCCACCACCTGTTTGCTCATGTCCTCTGGGCCTGGCTGCAGTCTGTCCATTGAGAACTTGATCCTGGTCACTTTCCTCACAGGTGCTGTGCTGAAACATCACCCCTCACTTTGAGAACTTGCTTCATCCCTTCCTTCTCGCCCTCAGGAGGTGCGGTGCCCTCTTCTGAACAATGAAGACGGTTGTTGGGAAAGGGCTTGTGTGGTGCCTGCATAAACTAGCCATAAAAATATGGGACAATAAGTTGTGGAATGCCACAAGAGGCCTCTGAAAAGGAAGGCCTTTTTATCACCATTATATTCCCATGCTCTGAGCGAGGCTTGCTCTCTTCTCCATAAACACTGTGTTCAAGCAGAAAGACACTCCTTTGAAGCACTGGAATGTGGCCAGACACACAGGCTCCTAGTTAAGCCCGCTCCCACTAGCTACTCTCCGATAAGTTAAAGATATGATGTTTGAGCACAAAGGAGATTAATTTAAACTGCCACTACTATAGATGATGCGTATGACGCACTGCCTCCCTTTCACCGTTTCACACTGAACTTCTGCTTCTTAGATCTGAGTGTTCATACTCAATAAATAGTGTGGAGACCAGAACTCTGGGCCTTTTGCAGCCTCCACTGTGCAATCGGCCCCCTGGCCCCCACTCTTTATGCACTCTTAACCTGTCTCTTCTCATTCCTTCATCACCACTGGACTTTGGGTACCCTGTGGGAGATGTTGAGGCTGGTCCCCAACAACAGTAAGTTAAAAAAAATAGCTAAAGATTGACACTTTCCTAGAAATCAATCTGCAGCTGGACAGGAGGGTGTGTTCTAAGGCTGGTGGGATGGCCAGTTGCCTGTACATGTTGTGCATTTTATGGCTTGTTTGAAAAATCTTCCCTGCTATATAATCCAGATTATATTACATATTTTGTTCTAGAATTTTTAAAGCTTTGGTTTCACCTGTAGTTCATTGATCCATTTGAAATTGATATTTTTCAGGATTATAATGATACTTTGCTGAGTGGTATAAGGAAGAGATCCATTGTTTTCCTTCAATATTCCAGTCACCATCATTGAATAATAGCCCATTCTATCCCCATTGATAGGGAAATGATGTCTTCATGCTAAGTTTTCTGATATAGGAAGTTCTGTTTCTGGCTTTTCTCTTCTGTCCTCACATCAATTCATCTATCCTGGTACTGATACTACAATCTCCGTGTTTCCAAATCAGCTCTGAGATCTGGTAGGACATATCTCTTCTCTTCATTATTCTTTTAAATACTCGCGGCTGTTCTTGAACTTTGGCTCATCTTTGACCTTATTACTTTCCAGGAACAACTTGCAAATTTTTAGGAAAAAACACTCTTTGGGATTTTGGTAGAAAGTGCATTTAATGTACAGATTAATTTCTGGAAAATTGGTATCTTTATGATATCATGTTTTCTTATTTATGAACATGGTGATACTCATTTAAATCCCCTTGTGTCCTTCAATAAAATGTTATACTTTTCTTCATGTAGATCTTGCACCAATTTTGTTAGATTTCTTCATTATAGTTTTATTGCTATTTTGAATAGCATGCTTTGATTTTTACAGCTTTTAATTGGTTGCTGCTTGTGCATAAGAAACTGTTAATTTGTATTTGTTTTGCATTCTTAGATTTTTCCTTTTTTTATTATACTTTAAGTTTTAGGGTACATGTGCACAACGTGCAGGTTAGTTACATATGTATGCATGTGCCATGTTGGTGTGCTGCACCCATTAGGAGATATACCTAATGCATTCTTGGATTTTTCTATGTATAAAACCATATATGGAATCATATTACATGTGAAAAATATTTTCATTTACAACTCTCATTTATCTTATTTATTTTTCTTGTCTTATTGAATTAGCCCTACTCTCAGAACAATGTTCAGTAGAGGCACAGGAGGCATTTCTATATCTTGTTCATTTAAAGATAAGAAAACATCTCCTAATTTTGAACCACTTTTAAAACCTCAGAAAAGTGAAAGAATGGACACATACAAACTTTTTACCTAGATTAATCTATTTCTAACATTTGGCTTTTTGTTCTCTCTTATTATTTTTAACCACTGAGGAATAAGTTGCAGACATTGTGATATTTCATCCTAAATATTTCAGTAATTATAGACAAGAAAAAAGGCATTCTTCTATGTAAACAGAATTGAGAAATTTCACAATGATAATACTATTATTTATTATACCATATGTATTCAAATTTTATCAACTGTCCTAATAAAATTCTCTATTAGCTGTTGTTTTCCTGATCTAGCATCCAGTCAAGGATCACACATTGCATTTAGTTGTCACACTTCAATCTCCTTTAATTGAGAATAGTTCCCTAGACCCCACTTTCTTCTTTCTTTGTTTTTTTGGGACCCTTTCGAAGAATCCAGGGCAGTGATTTTTTTTTTTGTGGTGTGACTCTCAATTTGTATTTTTAAAGAGAACACATTATTGTGCCCCCATTAGAATATCTCCTGAAGGTTTTCATTAGATATCTATTAATAAACTACAAAATTACCTTCTATTCCTATGTTGCAAGAATTCTTTTCTATAGGTTTTTTGGCATTCATTTAGATGAGCATATGATTTTTAAAATCTGTTTTCGTGGCAAACTGCATTACTAGATTTTCTAATATTAAGCCATCCTTGCATTCCTAGGGTACATTTAACTTGGTCATGACTTACATTTATTTCCCATGCATTTTAGGATTCTATTGCTAGTATTTTATTTAGGATTTTTGAGTCTGTGCTTATAATTTTCCTTTTTTTTTTTCCTGCCTTACCTTGTTTTGTTACCAGAGGGATGCTGTAGGAAAAAGGGGATAGTTTCCCCTCCTTTTCTAGTCTTTAGAACTTAATAGATCAAATACAAGCTTCAGTAATTTAATTTTTAGGAAAATTACTTATTGTATATACAATTTCAAATATATTAGTCCAAAATTGTTCATTTATTTTTGTTTCTTAATCTCTACTTATAAGTAATTATTTTTATTTAATTTCTAATATACTTTATTCATGTATTTTTTCTTGATAAACCAAGAAAATAAGAAGTTTGTCTTTTTTTATTAGCTCTTTATAAATAATCAACTTTTGATTTTTTTGTTTTTCACTATTGCTTTTTTGCTTACTATTTCAATAATTTTAACTTTTCTGCCAGGCGTGGTGGCTCACACATGTAACCTTAGCACTGTGGGAGGCTGAGGTAGGAGGATCCTTTGAGCCCATGAATTTGAGACCAGCCTGGGCAACAAAGCAAAACCCCATCTTTACAGAAAATAAAAAATAAAAATTAGCCAAGCGAGTGATACTTGCCTATAGTCCCAGCTACTCAGGAGGCTGAGGCGGAAGGATCACTTGATCCTGTGGGATTGAGGCTGCAGTGAGCTATGCTCATGCCACTGAAGTTCAGTTTAAGTGACAGCAAGACCTTGTCTCAAAATTTATTTTTGAAAAAGCTTTTCTTTTCTTTTTTCTTTGGCTTTACACTAATTTATTTATCTAACTTTATCTAACTTCTTAAATTGAATTTTTAGCTTATTAATTTAAAATCATTTTGTTTTCTAATATGTACATATATTTACTATTTTAAATTCCCTGTAGTATGCCCTTCATGTACATTCTACAGCTTTTGTGCATAGTTCTTTTTTTGTCCTTCAGTTCTCAGTGTTTATAATTGCCATTATGATTTCTTCCAGACCCATGAATTATTTAACAGTGTTATTTAGTTTCCAAATGTATGGGTGCATTTTAGCTGACTTTAAAATTTTATTTCTAAATTCACTGTGGGCTGCATGGTTTTGAATCTTTGGATGTTTTCAAGACGTCTTTTGTAATCCATGATGTATGTGGCCAATTAAAAAAATACTCTGTGTTTGAAACAAATATGTAGTCTGTATTTGTGGGAGCCTGGGGATATATGTATATATACATGTGAAATGGTATTTTTATGTTTTCTCTTCTTCCTGATTTTTTGAAAGCTTAATTTGTCTGCTAACAAGAGATGTGAACTACAATTTCTTCCCCTGATTATGGATATTTCAACTTCTTATAGTTGTGTCAACTTTTTCTTTGTATTGGGAGATGTGTGTAGGTTGAGGACCATTAATCTTCCTAGAGAGTTATTACTTTTATCATTAAAAATGGCCTTTTTCATTCCTACTAAGACTTTTTGCCTTAAAACCTATTTTGTCTAATATTCATAAAGCCATCTAAATTTTCTTTTGCTTAGCAATTGACAATATCTTTTCCTGTCTCTTTACTTTTAGTCCCTCTTTCCTTGTGTTTGGGGTGTACCTCTATTCATAAAGTTTCTACAGCCGAATATTGTATAACTAGTATGTGGAGTGAACACAATTCATGCTGTAATTAAAGCGTGACTTAATTTCTGTTCCCTGCCTCTTTAAAGTCTGTTCATCGGTGGTAATCTTGCTCAGTTATGGGCTTGGACAGGTCCCAGGCTTACCCCAGATTACCGCCTGATGTCCTTAAACATATCTCAGTCCAGAAATCAAATAGGGCATAGCCTGAGCCATTAATTGAAACGTTTTATTCATTTACCATCTCCTTCCCACACTAGCTAAGCCTGCGGCTGGTGAGGCTACAGCCCTCAGGGAGGCTCTACCTCCAGCCCAGCTGGCTGACAGGGGCTTCTGTCCTGGTCCCGCACGACTGGATGTGAACAGGAGAGAGGAATGGGTGGGTGTTTCTGCCCTGCCGGCCTAGCAGATGTTTTTAACTGGCTTTCTTGTGGGCCACTTTGGAGTCTTTCAGAGTTGCTTATGCTCTCATAGGTACTCTTGGGCTGTGCCCCTGGCTACTGTGCCTCGGTGCCGGGATCTCAGGGACCTGCTCTCTGAAGGTTCTTCTACTCAGGGTCCTTAGTCCGTTCAGGTGGTCCTCTGGGGCAGGACCTAAAACGTCTCTCTGTATGTTTGTGTGTGATCTGTTTCTTGTCTGTCTCTTGTCTCAGTCTCTTTTCCACCCTCTAGTTCTATCTTTTTTATGTGGCCCATATCTGGTGCAGGAAAACCTCTCTGGCATCTTCATGCCTGAAAAAAGCAATCTCTATGTAGCATTCTCTAAGGAGCATCCTTCTTTTTCCACACCTGACAAAGCAGCTGACCAGCCCCTCTTTTGGGGGCAGGATGAAGTCATCAGCCTAGAGTGATCCCTCACAGCATCAAATCTATATCAGGCTTTTTTTTTTTTTCTTTGAGAAGGAGTCTCACACTGTCACCTGGGCTAGAGTGCAGTGGCGTGATCTCCTTTCACTGCAACCTCCACCTCCTAGGTTCAAGCGATTCTCTTGCCTCAGCCTCCCAAGTAGCTGGGATTGCAGGTGCCCACCACCAAGCCCCGCTAATTTTTTGTATTTTTGGTAGAGACAGGGTTTCATTATATTGGCCAGGCTGGTCTTAAACTCCTGACCTTGTGATCCACCCACCTCAGCCTCCCAAAGTGCTGGGATTACAGGTTATATCAGGCTCTTCCAGGGCTAGAGCTGAACCCATTTGCTTGAGGTAAAGGAGGTTTGGCCCCTCCCACTCTTCCTTCTCTGGAGGACTTGAGATACAAGCACCACTTTCACCAAAGACACCTCCACAAATTCATGCTCTCTCTACTCTTGTAATTCTATCTTCTTGAATGAGTGCAGGTTCAAAGGCGGGACACAGATTCTTAACCATTTCCTTTGTAAATCTGGCACTTCGTTTAGCATTTTTACATACCTTTAAATTGGATTCAAAACTTCAATTTTAGGATCTGCGGTAGTTAAAAAAAATCTGTGCCTTAAGAAAGGTAAATTTAATTCATTTACATTTATTATGATTGTTAATACATTTGAACTTATTTTTAGCATTTTTTTGTTTTTTAATCATCATTATTTTCCTTGTTTCTTTTTTCTTTCCTGATTTTGCTAGGCTGAAAGTTTTATTTCTCTGCTCTACAATTTGAGAGTTAAACATTTTTTATCTGTTCATTTAGTGTTCACCTCTAACTTTTCGTGTACTCTGAATTCTTTTAATAAAGGAGATAGGAATCTAGAAACACTTTAATTTCCCTCTGAACTTCCTACTCCCATGAGTTGGTTCCATTAACTGTGCCTTACTGCAATAGATTTTAGTCAAGTGTTTTATACTTTTTATTTAAAAGCTCACCTTAGCTGGGAGTGCACTAAGGAACTTGAGCAAATTTGTGTGTAATTCTGTAATTAAAGAAAAAGGAAAGTTGTGAACAAACACCTGTGAAAGATGAGGGTTAATATCTAATGTCTTCATTGAGAGAATGGCTCATGCAAGTAGATAAAGAAGTGAGTCCCCAAGAAATTCAAAACAGGGTCACAGACAGAGCATGTATTGCAGAAAATGTTTAATAAGCAACCAAATTATTTAACCTCACTGAGTCAAGGATTGCAAATTAACTTAAGACAACAAGGAATACTTTTTATACCCATTAAGTTACAAAAAATGAAGCAATGATAATATTTAATGTGGGTGAAGGTTTATGATACCAGCACTCTTTTACTGCTGGTGAGAGTTTAGCTTTTCAAGATGGCAATCTAACAATGCAATAATGCCAAGGACAGACTTACTGAGCACTTACTATGTGTTGAGCTAAGCACATATTGGCATTACACCTACCTATCAAGAGCCAAAAATGTTTCATCTAGGTGAATTTTATGAATGCTCAACAAAAGACAATGGTTACTTAAACTAGAATATATTTTGTTTCCAAAGAGTTTTCTTGATGGGAAATGCTCCTGAAATACAGAATTTTAAAGCAAAACAAGTGGCCTCTTACTAATGACAAAACGTGTGCAGAATATCAACTGGACACAAATTTCTGTGTGTCAAGAGCAATTTCTTTGATGGTGAGATTGGGGCAGATCATTTTTATGTCTTTTTGTACTTTTATGAACTTACCACATTTTCCACAATGTGACATTATGACTATAATTAATATAGAAATGTTAAGTGATGGAAAGCAGGGCTTTCAGCAGTAAATGTTCTGTGGAAAGACAACATTTTTTGCATGCCCATGCCAGTCGTCTGGCCTGAGGCATAACTACATGCCCTCCTAGCCCTTCTTCCACCTGCTCCTGGCAGCCTCGCTCCCTCCACATCAGTCTGTTCTTGGTGGTTTCTGACTCTTCTTTTGCACATGCCTCAGGCAGCTAGTTCCGTTGGGCAGCTCTGTCTGTTAGGAGGTTCTTATTTAAACAACTTTACAAATGTATTTGGTGATATTGATTATTGGATTAATTGTAAAACTGTCTTTGAAGGCTTCCTGGCTCTGGATGACAGCAGGTGCTGTCTGCATTCAAATCCGAAATGTACAGCCAGTGTTCAACTACATGCTTACCTGTGTGGTTTTGGCTGCTAGAGGATATTTGGCAATGTCTGGAGACACTGTCGATTGTCACAGTGGAGGGTAGGGGGTTGCTGTGCCTCTGGCATCCAGTGGGTGGAGGACAGGGATGCTGTTAAACAACTTGCATGCACAGGCCAGCCATGCACAGCAAAGAATTTATCTGGTCCCAAATGTCAGTATTGCCAATGTTGACAGACCCTGGCTTAGACACAAAAGTATTTAAAAACTCTCACTTACAAAACCCATATACTTTTGTAATTGTTTTACATTTTTTCTGTTTACAAAAAAGTACTATTAATGCCTTTTATGCCAACACATCACTTTTAAATTGATTTCTTACAAATAATTATTAAGCTTCAAAATGTTCTTCGTTAATAAGAAAAAAACAGCCTTGAAAAACACATTAAAAGACTTGCAAATCTTTAATTATCAGAGACAGTATGTCTTAAGGCTAAAAGGAAAGGAATGGCATGCTTGGAAAGTCATTGTGGATATCTACCCAACCTTCCTGAAAATGACATTCCACAGATTTGGGAAGAAAGGCTCTGGGAGCATGGCCCCCAGCAGTGGGGTCCCCCTCAGTGAGTTCCCTTTGATACCTCATTCTCTTTGCTTGGATCATTCTACCAAAGATCACTGGAGTAGATACAAAGCGTGCTCACGCAGAAGATTCTCCTGCAAGGGGAAAAGTGAAGACACATGTTCTGTCTTTGTTCAAAACAGTAACACATGAAAGTCTGCCTAATTTACGTCATTTTGTGTTTCCGTTAGCAACATCCTCTGCATGAAACCATAAGCGAGTTGGAGATGCCTTAGGATGGTTCCTTGGCCCTATTCCAGCGGTCAGAGATATGACCTGGCAGTGGGAAGGGCCCTTGGGAATCTGGAGCCTCAGGGCCAGCCACTAACAAGCCATGAGACTTTGAGAAAGTCATTTCATCTCTCTGTCTGAATTTTTTTTATCTGTCTAACAAAGAGATTTTATCAGAGCATCCTCTGCTTTCTTTATGTCTCTAAAATGCTAGGATTTTAGAGCATTGTCTAAAAAAGACAAGCATTGTCAATTAGCAGTGCAGTACACTTTATAAATTATTCTTTCACTGCTGTTTCCTCTTCAAATTTGGAGATGGATTCAATTTTCTTTCCATAATTTTTCTTTAACAAAAGCAGTCTGACTCACTAGTTAATATGAGTTTATTTGGGATGATTTTAGAAGGAAAACAAGTTCAAAGAATCGTTTGATAGGAACTGAAACCAGAAGTTAGTTGCATATGGATGTTGAAAGTAAATTTATAAGCTAAAAGGTATGACACATTTCTGTTCTACCCACCATTTCTTTTAAAAAAAGATGCTTCAGAATAAAAGAGTTTGAGCTCTTCACATTTGGTTGCTGCATTCTCATTTAATTAATAACTGTCTTTGGCCATTTTTCATCTGGTAAAGCAACTTAACCGGGAAATAATCAGGAAAACATTACTCAACATATTGCCAATAAATTATAACATGGCAACTGAAGACATCTGAGTTTGGTTGGTCCTTGATCTTTTCATGGACCATTAGACATAATTTCCACAGGGTTCTTGCAGGTGGAGGAAAGATCTGGGAATGCTGAAAACTTGAGTCTAACCAATAAGGCAGAGCAGGGAAGTGATTATGCTTTCATTGAACTACAGCTGCTTTCCCGCAACTAGAATCAAGGTCAAATTCACTGTTACCTGGAGATCTAGGGGACTCTCTTCACTGACTTCTGAGGACCTTTACAACACTAATCACAGCTATAATGGTGTGGTGCTGTCTGTGGACCAGGCTTTAGGTTTTTCGGGGCTGTTTTGGGGCAGTGTGATAGGCGGGATTATAAGATGACCCCAAGATCCTGTCCTCGTGTACACACCCTGCTTAGTATGAGACTATGTGAATAATGGATTTTACCCCCACAATTAGGTGGTTACACAGCACAGTTGACTTTAAGAAGGAGAGATGACCTGACCTAGCACATGACCATTGTAATTTGGGTCTAGAGGTCAGAGACAAAGGAAGTTAGAGAATTGAAGCATGGGAGAGATTACACATGAGAGAGAGTCTCTGTTGCTGGATTATTGAGGGGACCATGTAGCAGAGGATGTGGGCTGCCTCTTGTAGTGGAGGACAGTCCCTGGCTGACACCTGCAAAGAAATAGGGACTGTGGTTTCACAGCCATGAGGAACTTAGGTCTGCCAACATGAATGAGCACAGATCTGGATTCTTCCCCAGTTGAGCCTGCAGAGGAGAGCCCAGCCCAGCATAGCTGACACCTTGATTTCGGCCTTTGAGACCCTGTGAAGAGAACCCAGTTACATTTGCCTGGACTTCTCTCCTGCAGAACTATGAGTTAATAAGTGGGAGTATCTTGAGGTACTGAGTTCGTGGTGATTTGCTTCACAGCAACTAAAACTAACACAGCAGCCATGTACATAGGATGAATGAAAACAAATTCTAATTTCAGAGATGGTAGAAAGTGTTAAATCAAGTTTAACCTAAAGGTACCTCCTTACATATTTTAAGTTCAGCCTAAAGGCTTCTCTGTAAATAGTAAACTGTAACCTAAGTGCTGATATAAACAGACTGTAATCTACTCTTGGGGCAATCACCAAGATTTGGGCAATGAAAGGGGGCCAACTGTTCAAACTATGTTCAAATAAGGTAAATGCCAAGCTGTAACCAATTTGGCTGTTTCTGTACTTCACTTCTATTTTCTGTATGTCACTTTCCTTTTTCTGTCTATAAATCTTCTTCCCCCACATGGCTGTGCTGGAGTCTGTGAGCCTACTCTGGCTCAGGAGGCTGCCCGATTCATGACTCATTCTTTGCTCAATTAAACTCTGTTAAATTAACTCTGTTAAATTTAATTTGGCTAAGGTTTTTTTTTTTTTTTCAGGAGATACCATCTCCACATACTAATGTCACCCCTGTCACCCATTACTGGACTCTTAGCATCTTTAGGATGAGCAGCTCCTTACAGCATGTAGTCTATCCTCCCCAGCATTGTGAGAGTCTGCTCTGTATTGTAAAGGTGGGAGACTGCCCTGAATTGGAAATTGGGGGACACAGTTCTGTTGTTCTCAGCTTTGCAATTGCTTGATAGCATTTGATCAAGTCATTTTACTTTGGGACCATAGTTTGATTATCTGTTTACACATATTTGACTTAGATGATACCTAAAGTCTAAGAGGCTCATATGATCTGCTATGGTTTTGTGATTTTTTAGTGCCCCACCTCTCCAAGTAGTTGATTAGTCCATGCTTGAACATCTTGAACAGAAGCTAATGGAAGCTCATACCAACTTTGGACAGCAGTGATGTTGGCCTGTTCACTCATTGATTCCACATGTGGTGACTATGTACTAACCAAAGAATCAAGACCAATTATAATGTGGAGAAGGAAGAGAGAGAGTTAATTCAGAGCTAAGGCCATGAATCAGTGTGGGTGAGAAGATGGCTTTTTTCATAGGATATTTGGTGAATAGGCTTGGAGTGAGAAGTGAAATTTGAAAAAGACTTATTCAGGGCAGGACTCCATCCATTGGCCAAGACACTATGTGGTCTTAAAATGGAGCTCTGAAGACATGATGAAAGTATGCTAAATGAAAGAAGCAGAATATGAAGTAGCATGTATTGGAGAATTAGATAAAATTATTCAAATTGGGTGTGTTCCTCCATGCTGCCTCAGGAAATGTCTGTTCCGTAGCAGAGTAATTATAGGCGCCATGTGACCTGGCTGATTCTGCAGGTGCAGTTTGCGTCAGAATCACCCCCAGCAGAGCAAAAGTGGATCACAGATGACTTGAGTCATCGAATAGTTCTGTTATTGCCAAACATATGGGTAGTTTCTTCTTTTTTTTTTCAAGTTTTAAATTGTGGTAAAAAGCACATAACATAAAACTTGCCATTTTAACCATGTTAAGTGTACAATAATATCAAGAACATCTATATTGTTGTGCAACCATCACCACCATCCATCTCAAGAACTCTTTCATCTTGTAAAATGGAAACTCTGTCTCCATTAAACACTCATCCCCCATTCCCCTGCCCCCAGCCTCTGGCAAGCACCATTCTACTTTCTGTTTCTATAAATCTGACTACTGTAGGCTCCTTATGTGAGTGGAAATCATATGGTATTTGTCTTTTTGTGATTGGCTTATATCACTTTGCATAATGTCCTCAAGGTTCACCCATGTTGTAGCATGTGTCAGAATTTCCTTCTTTTTTAAGGCTGAATAATATTTCATTGTATGGATGGGACACATTTTGCTTATCCATTAGTCTGTAGGTGGACACATGGGCTGCTTCCTCCTTTTAGCTATTTTGGATAATGCTGATGTAAACATGAGGGTACTTCTTTTCTTTTTTAATCAATATTTTTTTACAAAGTGCATGAATTCCATGTATACAGTTCAAAGAATTCTCACAAAGCGAGCACATCCATACAACAACCATGCAGATAAAAACATAGAACATTACCAGCACCCCAGAAACCCCCTCATGCCCCTCCTACTCATCTCCCCTACACCCTTCCTCAAAGGTAACTGCCATCCTGACTTCTAACACCACCTATTAGTGATACCCATATTTGACGTTTGCATGAGTGGACTCATACAATCCTTATGCCTGGCTTCTTTCGCTCAACATGGTATTTGTGAGACCTATCCACATTGTTGTAGAAGACAGTGATTCAGTCTTTCTCTTTACTACCTCATAAGTATTCCACAGTATAAAAATACCTCAACTACCTTATTAATTCTATGGTATGATGGATATTTTGTTTGTTTCCAGCTTGAGGCTATTTCAGATAAAACTTCTGTAAGTGTTTTTATACATGTTCTTGGTGTCTATATACATCCATTTTTATTGGGAATATAAATATGGGGATTGCTAGATCATAGAATAAGGGTATAGTCAGCTTTAAAAGATACTACAAAATAGTTTTGCAAAAGGCTTATTCCATTTGTACTTCTTTTACCAATGTACGAGAGTTCCAGTCATTCTGCATCTTCACCAACACTTGGTTTTGTCTTTCTTTTAATTTTAGGTATTCTGGTAGTAATTTTGTGTTATCTAACTGTGATTTAAATTTTCATTTTCTGAATAACTTAAAGAGGATGAGCACCTTTTCTTATGTTTATTGGCCACTTGGATATCCTCTTTTGCAGTGTGTCTGTTCAAGTCTCTTGCCTACTTTTTAAATTATGTTGTCTTTTTCTTATTGATTTATAGGAGTTCAAAAATATTTCCTGAATATAAGACCTTTGCAAATTATTTGAGTTTATAATTCTTTTCCCCATGTTGTGTGGGTTGGATTTTCAACTATTTAAATTTTTTTTGATGAATGAAATCTGACAATTTGAATGTAGTCCAATGTATCAGTCTTTTCCTTTAGGATTAGTACTACTTTTTGGTGTCCTGCTTAAGGAATATTTGCCCACCACACATTTATAAATACACTCTCTTATGGTGTCTTCTAAAGGCTTTACTGTTCTTTCATGTTTAGATCTACAAAGTGTGGAGAATTCATGTCTTCGTGTAGTATGAAATATAGGTCTAGATTCTTTTTTCTTTTTATGAATATCTAGTTAGCCAGTACTATTTATTTAAAAGATAAGCCTTTTGCCACTGCTCTACAGTTTCCTTTTTCATTAATCAATTGTATGAATATGTGTCAGTCTCTTCCTGAATTTCTGTTCTATTCCATTGGCCATTAAAAAAAATTTTATGTCAATACAACTGTCTTAGCTATATCTTTTTCTTCTCCCCCTCCTCCTCCCCCCTCCTCCTTCTCCTCTTCCTCCTCTTCCTCCTCCTTCTCCTCTTCTTCCTCCTCCTCCTTTTTCTTTCCTCCTTTTCCTCTTCCTCTTCCTCTTCCCCTTCTCCTTCTTCTCCTCCTTCTCCTCCTTCTCCTCCTCCTCCTTCTTTTCTTCCCCTTCCCCTTCTCCTTCTCCTTCTTCTCCTTCTCCTCCTCCTCCTCCTTCTTCTTCTTCTTCTTCCTCTTCTTCTTCTTCTCTCTCTCTTTTTTTAAAGAGATGAGATCTCACTGTGTTGCCCAGACTGCATTTGAACTACTAGGCTCAAGTAATCCTCTTGCCTCAGCCGCCTGTTAACCACTATTGCTTTATTTTATCCTGTAATGTAAGTCTTCTTGTATATTTTATTGACTGACTATTCATGGCCATTTGCATATTTTCATACATTTAAAAATCAGCCCATTAAGTTCCTCACCAAAAACATGTTGAGGTTTTTGATAAGGATTGTATTGAATCTATAGATCAAAGGACTGACATCTTTTATAATATTGGGTCTTTAAATCCATGAACATGGTATATCTGTTCATCTGTTTAGGTCTTCCCTAATTACTTTAAATAATATAGTGCAGTATTCTTTCTAGGTTTTTTCAGAATATTAAGTGCTATTGTAAATGGTGTACTTTTATTTCAATTTATGATTGTTGCTTGTATATAGAAATGAAATTGTTTTTGTTTATCTTGTACTTAGTGATTTTGCTAAACTATTAATTCTAATAGCATAGAGTTAGAATTTTTTCATTACATATTCAACCATCTGCAAATAATGACAGGTTACTTTCTCTATTTATAATCTACATACCAGTTATTTCTTGCATTGTTCTCAAGAGAATATATTTTTGCCTTATTTTTTGAGCTAGGACCTGGATCTGTAGCACAATATCAAATGAAAGTAGTGATAGTAAACATCTTTATCTTTTCTCTTTTTTAATATATGAAAGTTTTAGGTATTTCACAATTAGCTATAATGTTTACTATATATTTGTGTAGATAATATTTCTCAGATTAAGGACAGTAAAATTTTTTATTATGAATTGGTATTGAATGTTCAAGTTCCTTAGAAGCATTTGTGAGATAATCTTATAATTTTTTTCTTTTAATCTATGTGGTGAATTACCAACCTTGTATTCTTGGAAGGAAACCAACTTTATCATGATGTATTATCCTTTCTACATATTGACAGATTCTATTTGCAAATAGAATTTTGATCAGATTAAACTGTTTTTAAGTAAAATGCTCTATCAGTGGTATGTATTTTCATGAAGAGGCATGCAATGTTTGGTTGTCCCTCTATTTGTTATGTGAGAAACCAATGGTGATTATTGTCTAGATCCATTATTTCAATTTTTTCTGTGTGCAAAAATGTGATACTCTAATTCTATTGTTTCTTTTTCAATTGTCAGTGTGAACACTTTCATGAAGAAAAGTTTTCCTTATTAATTTTTTTTACCTTGTAATACAGTCCATATAGAAAAGACAGAATACATACTTAATTGTTTCCCTTCATTTATAAATTTTCTTTAAAAAGCTTTTATTGGTAAATAATAATTGTACATATTTATGGGGTACATGTGATATTTTGATACATGCATATAATGTGTAATGATCAAATCAGGGTAATTGGGATATCCATCACCACAAACATTTATCATTTCTTTGTGTTGTCAATTTTTAAAATCTTCTCTTTTAGCTATTAAAAAAATCTACAATAAATTATTGATAACTAGTTACCCAACTGTGCTGTTAAACACTAGAACTTATTCCTTTTATCTAACTGTATTTTTTTTTTTTTTGAGACGGAGTCTCGCTCTGTTGCCCAGGCTGGAGTGCAGTGGCACAACCTCGGCTCACTGCAAGCTCCGCCTCCTGGGTTCACGCCATTCTCCTGCCTCAGCCTCCCAAGTAGCTGGGACTACAGGCACCTGCCACCACCCCCGGCTAATTTTTTGTATTTTTAGTAGAGATGGGGTTTCACCGTGCTAGCCAGGATGGTCTCGATCTCCTGACCTCGTGATCCGCCTGCCTTGGCCTCCCAAAGTGCTGGGATTACAGGCATGAGCCACTGCGCCCGGCCTATCTAACTGTATTTTGTACCCCTTAACCTATCGCTATCCCCCTGCCTCACCCTTCCCAGCCTCTGGTAACCATCATTCTAACCTTTACCTCTATGAGGTCAATGTTTTTAGCTTCTACATAGGAGTGAGAAAATGTGATATTTGTCTTTCTCTGCCTGGCTTATTTCACTTAACATAACGACTTCCAGTTTCATCCATGTAGCTGCAAATGACAGAATTTCCTTTTTATGGGTGCATCATATTCCACTGTATATATATATCACAGTTTCTTTTTTTCTTTTCTTTTTTTTGAGACAAAGTTTCGCTCTTGTTGCCCAGACTGGAGTGCAATGGCACAATCTCAGCTCACTGCAACCTCCGCCTCCTTGGTTCAAGCAATTCTCGTGCCTCAGCCTCCCGAGTAGCTGGGATTACAGGCACCTGCCACCATGCCCAGCTAATCTTTGTATTTTTTGTAGAGACAAGGTTTCACCATGTTGGCCAGGCTGGTCTCGGACTCCTGACTCCAGGTGATCCACCCACCTTGGGCTCCCAAAGTGCTGGGATGACAGGCATGAGCCATCACACCCGGCCACCACAGTTTCTTTATTCATCTATTGATGGACAGTGAAGTTGATTCCATATCTTGGCTATAGTGAATAGTGCTGTAATGAACATGGATGTGCAGCTATCTCTTTGATAACTGACCCTTCCTCCCTCCCTCCCTCCCGCCCTCTCTCTCTCTCTCTTTCTTTCTTTCTTTTCTTTCTTTTTTTTCTTTCTCTCCTTTCATCTTTCTTTTTTTTTCAGAGTCTTGCTCTGTCACCCAGGCTGGAGTGCAGTGGCGCGATCCCAGCTCACTGCAACCTCTGCCTCCTGGGTTCAAGTGCTTCTCCTGCCTCAGCCTCCCAAGTAGCTGGGATTACAGGCATGTGCCACCATGCCTGGCTAATTTTTAGTAGAGATGAAGTTTCACCACGCTGGCCAGGCTGGTCTTGAACTCCTGACCTCAAGTGATCTGCCTGCCTTGCCTCCCAAAGTGTTAGGATTACAGGCATGAGCCACCACACCTGGCCAGCTGATTTTCTTTCTTTTCTTGTGGATATATACCCAGCAGCGGGATTGCTGGATCATATTGTAGATCTATTTTTAGTGTTTTGAGAAATCTCCATAGTGTTTTCCATAGTGGCTGTAATAATTTACATTCCCACCAGAAATGTCATTCCCCTTTCTCCCATCCTCACAATCATCTATTTTTTTGTCTTTTTGATGAAATCATCTCACCCCATTTTAACTGGGGTGAGAGGATATCTCACTGTCGATTTGCATTTCCTTGGTAATTAGTGATGAGCATTTTTTCATATACCTATTAACCACTTGTGTATCTTCTTTTGAGAAATGTCTATTCAAATCATTTGCCCATTTAAAAATCAGATTATTATTATTTTTTGCCATTGAGTTGTTCAAGTCCTTTACATATTCTGATTAATAATTATTTGTCAGATGGGTAGCTTGCAAATATTTTCCCCCATTCTGTAGATTGTCTCTTTATTCTGTTAATTGTCTCTTTTGCTGTGCAGAAGCTTTTTAGCTTGATGGAATCTCATTTGTCTATTTTTCTTTTGTTCTCTGTGCTTTTGAGGTTTTACACAAAAAGTTTTTGGCCAGTCCAGTGTTTTGAAATGTTTCTCCAATGTTTTCTTCTAGTATTCTCATAGTTTCAGGTCTTACATTTAAGTTTTTAATTCATTTTGAGTTGATTTTTGTATGTGGTGAGAGATAGCAGTCTAGGTTTATTTTTCTGCATATGGATATCCAGTTTTGTCAGCACCATTTATTGAAAGTTTTCCACTGAATGTTCTTGGTGCCTTTGTCAATAATCAATTGGCTGTACATACATGGATTTATATCTGGGTTCTCTATTCTGTTCCACTGGTCTATGTATCTGTTTTTATGCTAGTACCATGCGGTTTTTGTTATTATAGTTTTATAGTATATTTTGAAGTCAGGTAGGTGATACCTCCAGTTTTGTTCTTTTTGCTCAGGATTGCTTTGGCATTTAGGAAGCCTTCTGTGATTCCACATGTGGATTTTAAAACGCTTTTTCTATTTCTGTGAGGAATGTCTTGGTGTTCTGATAGTTATTACATTGAATCTATGGATCACTCTTGGTAGTATGGTCATTTCACAGTATTAATTTTTCCAATCCATGAGCATGGGATGTCTTTCTTTTGTGTGTGTGTGTGGCCATTCCAATTTCTTTCACACTGTCTTAAAGTTTTCCTTGTATATATATTTCACCTCTTTTAAAAAAATTTATTCCTAGGAATAATTATTATTTACATTTTTGTAGCTATCATAAATGGGATTGCTTTTTGATTTCTTTTTGCTAGTTCATTATTGGTGTATAGAAATGCTATGGATTTTTGTAGTTTAAAATTTCATATCCTGTAAATTTGCTAAATTTGTTTACCAGTTCTGAGAGTTTTTTGGTGGAACTTTTAGGGTTTTCTATGTGTAAAATTATGTTATCTGCAAAGAGGAATATTTTTATTTCCTTTTTTTCCAATTTGGATGTCCTTTATTTATTTCTGTTGCCTAATTGCTCTGGCTAGGATTTTTAGTACTATGTTGAGTAAGAGTGGTGACAGTGGGCATCCTTGCATTGTTCCAGTTCTTAGAGAAAAAGCTTTCAGCATTCCCTTTTATTATACCTAGTTTTTTGAGTTTTTAAAATCATGAAACAATGTTGAATTTTATCAAATGCTTTTTATGTATCTATTGAGATGATCATTTGGTTTTGTTTTTCATCCTTTTGATGTGATATATCATGTTTATTAATTGGCTTATGTTGAGCCATCCTTGCATTCCTGGGATAAATCCCACTTGATCATGGTGAATGATCTTTTTAATGTGCTGCTGGATTCAGTTTATTAGTTTTTGTTAAGGGTTTTTCCACCTATGTTCACCAGGGATATTGGCCTATAGTTTTCTTTTGTTGTGTCCTTATCTGGTTTTGGTATCAGGGTAATGCTGGTCTTATAAAACAATTTGAAGAAATTCCCCTCTTTTCAATTTTCTGGAAGATTTGATAAGAATTGGCACTAGCTCTTCTTTAAATGTTTGATAGAATTCAGCAATAAAACCATTAGGTTCTGGGCTTTTCTTTGATAAAAGATTTTTATTACTGATTCAATGTCATTACTTGTAATTGATCTGTCCAGGTTTTCTATTACTTCATGGTTCAATCTTGATAGGTTGCATGTGTCCAGAAATTTATCCATTTTCATTAAGTTTTCCAATTTGTTGGTGTATAGTTATTCACATATAATTGTTGGTAATAGTCTCCAACAATCCTTTGTATTTCTGTGGTAAAGGTTGTAATGTCTCCTTTTTGTTTCTGATTATATTTACTTCACTCTTTTTTTTTTCTTGACCAGTCTAACTAGTAGTATGCCAATTTTGTTAATCTTTTAAAAAAAACACCTTTTTGTTTCATTGTTCTTTTGTATTTTTTCAGTCTGAATTCCATTTGTTTCTGCTCTGATCTTTATTTTTTCTTTTCTTCTACTAATTTTGCATTTGGTTTGTTCTTGCCTTTCTAGTTACTTTCAGTTCATAATCCCAGAAGTTTTGATGTGCTCTGTTTCCATTTTCATTTGCTTCAAGAAATTTGTAAATTTCCTTCTTAATTTCTTTATTGACCCATTGGTCATTCACAAGCATTTTGTTTAATTTCTATGTCTTTTTACAGTTTTGAAAGTTCCTCTTGTATTGATTTCTACTTTTATTCCACTGTTGTCAGAAAAGACACTTGATTTGATTTAAATTCTATTAAGTTTGTTGAGACTTGTTTTGTGACCTAACATGTGGTCTATCCTGGAGAATCTTCCATGTGCTGATGAAAAAAATATGTATTCTGCAGCTGTCAGACAAGATGTTCTGTAAATGTTTGTTAGGCCTCTTTGGTCTAAAATGCGGTTTAAATTCAATGTCTCTTTGTTGATTTTCTGTCTAAATGCTCTGTCCAATGCTGAGAGTGTGGTGTTGAGGTCCCCAACTATCATTGTATTGGAGCCTGTTTCTCCCTAACTTTATTTTTTTGAGACAGAGTCTTACTCCATTTCTCAGGCTAGAGTGCAGTGGCACAATCGTGGCTGACTGCAGCCTTGAACTCCAGGCTCAGGTGATTGATCCTCCCACCTCAGCCTCCTGGGTAGCTGGGACTACAGGTGCACACCACCATGCGTGGTTAATTTTTTTATTTTTTGTAGAGAGGGGGTTTCACCATGTTGCCCAGGATGGTCTCAAACTTCTGAGCTCAAGAGATCCACCTGCTTTGGCCTTCCAAAGTGCTGTGATTGCAGGTGTGAGTCACCATGCCCAGGATATCGCTCCCTTTAGATCTAATAATAATATTTGATTTATATATCTGGGTGCTTCAGTGTTGGGTATGTATATATTTACAATCGTTATATCCTTTTGCTAAATTGATCCCTTTATCATTATATAATAATCTGTTTTGTCTCTTTTTACAGTTTTGACTTAAAATCTGTTGTATCTGCTATAAGTATAGCTACTCCTGCTCACTTTTGGCTTCTGTTTGCATGAAATATCTTTTATCATTCCTTCACTTTCTCCAGTCTATATGTGTCTTTACAGGTGAAGTGAATTTCTTGTAGGCAACATATTGCTGGGTTTCTTTTTAAAATCAATTCAGCAAATTTATATCTTTTCAGTGGAAAAGTTAATCCAATTGTACTTAAGGTTATTACTGACCGGTGAGGACTTACTCCTGTCAGTTTGTAAACTGTTTTCTGGTTATTTTGTATGTCTTTCATTCCTTTCTTATTGTTTATCATTGCAATTTGGGGTTTTCTGTAGTGAGAAGGTTTGATTCTTTTCTCTTTCTCCTTTGGGTATCTACTCTACCAAGTGAGTTTTTAAACTTACTTTTGCATGTTTTCATTACGGTAATTATAATCTTTTTTCTTCCAGATGTAGGACTCCCCTGAGCATTTCGTATAAGGCCAGTCAAAAGGTGACAAATTCCTTCAGTTTTTGCTTGTCAGAGATATTTATACATTTTCTAAGTAGTTGGTTCATAGTATTCCTCAAGGATGACAAATAACTCTTTTTAGTAGTGTAATTATGAATTCATGAGATAGAAACATGTTTGATATGTTTCAATCTACTTCAGTCATTATTATTACTCATGCTCAAATTGTCCCTTCTTTGGCCAATAGAAGGTTTTCCAAGTTGAGTCCTGAGACCTCTGACAGATCCTAGTACAACCTGATACCCTTCTTGCTTTTGGTATGACAAGATGTTCCTGGTGCATTCTGTTTGTTTCTGCCCTAGACTTGGACTCAGCCATTTTTCCAAGGGGCCATGGTTTCCTTTAAAGGGAGAAGATATAGAGAAAACACAATTTGGGCTCTAGGGGTGCTCATTGCTACTAGGATTTTCCTCATTACCAGATGTTTCCAGTGGACAGAATTAGGAAATACACATTTTTTAAAAGACAAAATATTTCTTGAGTTAAAAATTTTACTTCCAATTCAAATTTAGTACTATTACTTTTTACTAAACTTGATTGATCTGTATGTATCTCCTTTCTCCAAAGCTCAAAATCCTGGTTCTTCATGACATCAACATAATTACTTATTTGTCTTATCCTATAGAATAAACAATATAACCTCAGGATAAAAGTACCTACCAATACAATAAGTGTCAGCAATATAAATACTGAAAACATTAACTTTTTTGTATTTGTGCATGTGTTTTCCTGGGGTTTATTTCACTAGGGATGACTAGTCAAATCATTAGGTTTAGAAATCACTTCAATAGCTGCTTTCCGTTTTGCTTATCACTCACCTGATACACATTCAGGTTCATTTGCTTCATTTTGCTTTTGATTTTTAGGAGTTGTTCCACAGTTGATTTTTATGTTATAATTATTTACATGGATCCTAAGTTGGAACTATAGAACAATGTTATATTCAGAGAAGTCCAGCTTCTCTCCCTGTCCCCTCTATCTTTCTACAGGTAATTTTGTGAAAATGTATGTTTTATCCTTCTATCTCAAAATAAAAGCAAATATTTATTTTCATATTCTCCTATTTTTTCAACACATGGTAACATATCAACTTGAAGATACCACAGTTATCCACTTTGTTTTTTCTTTTAAGAATGTGTCCTAAGTGTCACATCAAAGCAGTATATATAAATATTCTTCATTGCTTTTTATAGTTGTATAGTACTCTATTGTGTAGATATACCATAGTTTATTCAGCTAGTACCCTTCGATAGACCTTTAGGTTGTTCCCAGTCTTTTGCTATTATAAACAGTGTTACAGTGATTCATCTTATGCATATATGTTTGTGTATTTTTCCCAATCTATATTTTGGGTATATTTCTAGAAGTGGAATTGCTGGGTCAAGGGTTAAATGAATTTGAAGTTTTGCTAGGTATTTTGAAATTCCTCTCCATAGGGGAATTTGCATTTTGCATTCTCATCTACAATGTATGAGAGTGACCATTTTTCCAGCCTTGCCAAAATATTTTGTCCAACATTGTAAAACCCAACACAGTTTCAAATCCAACAGTTTGATCACTGTGCTTTGAAAAACCCTGGAATGTTTGATTTAACATACCTATAACCTTTTAATATACAAATAACTAAATAACTTGCAACTTGAACGAACACTTAATTATAGAAATTAACAAGTTAATGAAAAGGACAGGAACTTTAAACACATACATTTATAAAAAACAACTTGAAGAGCGAAGTGCACTTTCTACCTCCATTGAGGGCATCATCATTTCTTATAGCATGCTGCCCATCTTGCAACTGTCCTTGTTGTTGGGTCCAGTCGATGCTCTTGCCTTACTTCTGACTCTTTACAGCTTCCCCTTGCAGCTGCTTACGATTATCACCTGGGAGCCTAATCCTTTCCTTAGCAGGGCCCATAATCACTCCTTTATTTGGGAATCTGGACTTGTACCTTCTGATCTTTCCACTTGTCCAGATTTCCTTTTGTCCTGCTGTGCACAGCCCCATGCTTTCTGCTCTACCTTCTCCCTTCTGCCATCCCTTGCTTCATGTGCCATTCTGCCTTGAACCATATGGGGGGCACTGGAGACACCTAGATCCTGGGGACTCCAAGTCAAGGGCATAGGTCAGAGTAGGAATATGCCTTACCTACGTCTGTGGTTCTGCCAGTGCTGATGTTAAGTTTTACCTTAGCCTATGTTAGCCATCTATCATTTCCACCGTCAGTGTTTTCACTTAAAACTCCATGTTTTTCCTTCATGCTTATTTCCAGTATCAATTTAAGATTACAAAATGAATTCATGGTCATTGTAGAATATTTGGAAAATAAAATATAAAATTACAGAAAAAATATATGAGTGCAATGACCAGATGTGGCATTTAATATCTTGCATGTTTTCTTCTGAGTATTTTCTATGCTTTTAAACATAATTGAGATAATAGTGCACATGCATATTTTTATTCTTCTTTTTTGTCTATTTATTGCTGTTTCAGAGAGCACATGGTTTTATTTATTAATGGCACTGTTCTTTTTCATAATTTCTTGATTTATTTTTTATTCTGTATTATTTCCTTCCTTTTGTATTTTCAAATTAGAAATATTTGTCCCCTTTTTTTACTGTCTTAGTTGAATGTATAGATGATTTATTGTTATTATTTTTATTCAAAATGAAATTTCAGAACTTATTTTTCTTACCCCCAAAGTAATAGATTTTTACCGAAGTCAGAAAATATAGTAGCCAAACCAATGATAATCCCACTCACTGAGAAGCAACTGCTGGTAGCTTTCAGAGTCTATTTATGTTTAAGTATGCTTTCCCACTAAAAGTTTCACTTATGATTTCACCTAACTACATTTTATGAACATTTTCAATACCAATATATGCATTGCTTCAACATTGTTTTAATGGCTACATACTATCTTATTGTGTAAAATTTTTATTTAATTGAATTCATGTTTCTAGATGGTTGTTTCTATTCTCATACTTCCTCCTTAGAAACAGTTTTGTTATTAACATCTTTTGTGATATATTTTTTGGACATGGCTTACATTTGGAGAAAAAGAGTATTGAATTTCTAGAAGTAGAATGGGCCACTTCATGGGCTAAAGCAGCAGTCCCCAACCTTTTTGGGACCAGGGACCGGTTTTGTGGAAGACAATTTTTCCACAGATGGGGCTGGGGGATGGTTTTGGGATGATTCAAGTGCATTACATTTATTATTAGATTCTCATAAGGAGCTTGCAACCTAGATCCCTCACATGTGTAGTTCACAATAGGGTTTGCACTCCTATGAGAATTGAATGCCACTGCTGATCTGACAGTAGGCGGAGCGCCGCTAGCCCACCACTCACCTCCTGCTGTGCAGCCAGGTTCCTAACAGGCTGTGGACCAGTACTGCTCCATGGCCCAGGGACTGCGGACCCTTGGGCTAAAGGGCCTATTTTTGGAGCTTCTACTGCATGTGTGTATTGCCAGTCTTCAGTTCAGAATAATTTTCATGTCTACCTAGTCTTCAGGATAGTATTGATTTGCCTTCTCACGTTTTTCACCAATCTGGGACACTACATTTCATAGACCTTTCCTTTATCGTAGGAAAACATGTCATTTAAAAAAATTATTAATGAGATTAAACTTTCCCCTACTTTATATAGTATGCATATTCGTGTGCTTAGCACACCTTATTCCATAGCTTATTGAATTTTAAATGCAATCTCTATATGAAGACCATTAACAATTTGTATTTATATTGTTTCCATTTCATCATTTCCCTTTTTATTTCATCGTTGACATAAAGAAGTCTTACATGTTTAGGTTGACTTATCTATCAGTTTTTCTCTTACAGTTTTTGCCTTGGGGTCACCTTGAAATTCTCCATCCCATCTATGGTCATATAAATATTCGATTATCATCTATTTTAAGAGTTTTATAATCTTTTCTTTAATATTTAATATGTTAATCACAATTGAAATGATTTTAGTTTAAGACACAGATTAATTATAAATGTTAGTACCTAAACTCCACTTAGTAACTAACTCATGCTTTCCCCATTGATTTGCAATGCCACCATTACTGTGCATTCACTGTCTTTACATAGATATAGCATAGGAAGCCCTTGGAAATTAAAGAACAAACTTGAGTCAGAGGTGTAAGAAGTAGCTGTGAAGTTTCACCTGCAATCATCTCTGGGATTCAGGATGTATTTCCTCTGGGAAATGCAGGGCTACTCTCTGAGTGTCCGTCATACCTGGGGCACGTCTTCCTGGTCCTCAGTTCTTCCTGGTCCTCAGGGCATGGTCAGTGGTTGCTCAGTTGATCCTGACTCCAGCCTCTTCATCTTCAAACCAGTATCAATTGTCTTTCTTTTTCTTCTTCCTAGGTTTAGATTTCAAGGTTCCAGAGGGTGAGATTCATTTTTTTTCCTCCCACAACCTAACCACCCAATGCACAAACCCCCTTTCTTAGGATGGGCTCCCCCAGTAGCAGCCCCTGAGACAAGGATTTGAGCACAAGTAATTATTTTGAGGGTGATTCCAGGAAGCACTGTTGGGTGAATGCAGAATGAAAGATCGGAAAAATGCAAGAAGGAGCATCATTGACTGCTGTGGGGGCTGGGCCCAATCCCACGGGGGACCTCCGGCCAATTATAGAATGTGCATCAGTGTTGGCCAACCTGAGGAGTAAGAAAGTTGGGGTCTTTACCCACCAACTCTTGTCAGTCACTGGGTGAGGGTTGTTCCCAGGGGTGCCTTTAACTCCCTGGTATTTCTGGCTTGATCCTCCTTGCAGAGAAAGCCTTAAGACAGAGCTGCAAGCACCTCCAGTTGGAGGCCGCGGGGGCCTATGGGCAGGTCACCAACTGTGACTGCTGAAGTCCACCCCTTGAAAGCATCCCTGACTGATTGTTGTTCAGCTCCCACTGAAAATGCTTTCAAGTTGGGATAATTCGAGATGGACTTTGGCATGGGTGGGCAACTCTCTTTAGAAAGTCTTTCCCTATACTGAGCCCAAAATGTTGTTCATAAATCTTCCACATGTTGTTCGAATTCTGCCATCTGGGGGAAAAAAGTGTAAAAAATATTTTCCAGACATATTTGAGAAATTACCCAGAAACACCAGACTTGACCCTCTTGCACAAACTAGGGCATAATACTAAGTTGCACAACTCTGAATGTCTGCCTCATCCTCTATGTTTGTCCATTGTTGTCATTGCTTAGAACAGCCAGGATGACGCTTGTGCGGGTGGAGGCTAAGGAAAGGCAACTAGATTCTACTTCAGTAGTGTGGGTGAGGAGAAGGTCAACTTAGCCAATGAGCACCTTGATTATGTCAGTTGCTCCAGGGAGTTGGGGAAAAACATACACGGTCTGACTAATCCATGAGTCATATGAATGTTTATTCTCATTTTCAGATTTTTAAAAACTCACAAATGCTTCCCTCCCACAAGCAAACAGTTGCCGTTTTTTGTTCTAGAAGACTGTAGACCAGCCAATTCTATCATAATTTTAATCTCTTACCACATACTAATGGAATACATGCATTTAATTTGGCCTAGAGCAAGATGGGCTCCCAAGGCAAAATCTGACTTGAATCTGTTCCCTTCCTTTCTTCACAAGCAAATCCCAGGAGGCAGTTGCAAGGAGCTCAGCACTCAGAGCCACCCCTTGACAAGTTCACAAGCCAATGATGCTGGGAAGGAATTTACACTTTGCATTCGCTGGCTTTTCTTCAAATATTTGGGTGGAGCACTTGCATCTCGTATTTTAGTGACAAGGAGGGTGATAAATGAGATCATAAACTAAGTTCTGTTGTCATCACTTTACCAAAGTTGAGTAGGATTAATTACAAAGAATCTGAGCTGAGAGTACCCCTCAAGGTCAGAAGTTGACTGCAGTGGCCTTCAGTCTTGCAAGACGTTCCATGAAACCAGAAGAATCTTATTTCTACCATTTTAGTTGACTCACATTCACAGGTCAGCAGGGAGACCTGAGTCTGGAATTTGGAGTTAATTTCTGGCCTAGGAATTAGAGGCCAGGCTGCACAAACCTGCAATAGGAAGATCTAATTTACAAAGGCAATCCCATCCTCCCTGGTAGTGTGCACCTGCATCCTCGGCCCCTAACACATGTGTTCCCAAGGCCACCTTCTCCATGAGCCCCGGACTCTCCATCACCCCACAGCTGGGCACTGCTGCTGGCTAGATCTCCAAGCTCACTGGACTGAGCAGGGCTGGGTTCGCAGTGTGGGCCTTGCTCAGAGGAATTGCAGAGGTGTCCTGAACACTCTTGAGTTCTGTTGGTGATGAGATTGGCTGCTTGTTTTCGAGAACTGAGAGTTTTCATTCATGTTGTCAGTCTCATTCATTATCTATTTTTTTATTAAAAAATGGAAATTTCATTAACTCAAAATGAAAATGTCCATTGCCATACATTATTGGGGACAGATGTTCAATTTCAAAGCATGCATAAGTGTACTGTATTTTCCAACAGGGGGTAGGAGCCAGACACTCCTAAGAGCCCTTGCCAATCAGCAGCGCCCCCTGCCCCACACCCACTGCCAACACACACACTGTGGCCAGATTTGCTGTCATGGAGCCCAGAGTCCTGGGATCTAAAGGGGGTCATCTGCCTGGCCTGACCTCAAATCCTACCCTGATGCTGTCCTCAAGAATGGGTGTTTTCTGAGGTTCGGTGTCTGTCTGTCTCTGCCCTGGCTGCCCTTTCTCCCTCCACAGCCCCATCTATCTCCTGATGAACACTTTCTGTTACACTCGGCCACCCTCCTCAGCCTCAGCCGAGAGGATGGGGTGAGAGGAGAGGACACAGATAATATATACAGTCTATTATATCTCAGCTATAATAGATAAAATTTTCACAATAATGACCCCCTAACTTGTGTGACCAGCCCCCAGGCTAAAGTGATCTTGGGCCAATGGCACTAATAGCTGTCAGGCAGTGGGATGGGCTACTTCTTGAGCTGGAAATGGTGCCACTGCACGGATCTGTGGTGCCTTCATGGCAGGCACATGACACCTATGCAGCCCTGGCAAACAGCAGTGTCCTCAAGGGAACTGTCTCTCTCTGCGACGTCTGGGTAGGGGCACCGTGACATGCCACAGGGAGCGGTACTCCATGAGAGCAAAGGACACATGTAGGCTTAGCAAGGAAACTCACCAGTGTGACCTCAGTGTTCAGAGAGCAGGTGCGAAATCGGCTTCATGAGCTGCCTGAGTCAAGAGTAGCTCAGGGCTGATGGATGCCCATGCACCATGATGAGGTTATCTAGAACAGAAAATACAAGCATAGCTAGAGATGAAAGAAGGAATAAGAAAACACATACGGGAAGGACTGCTAAGAGGCAGGAAGAGACACAAAGGGGGCCTGGTGTGAGGAGGAAATGTGGTTTTGAAGTCAAAGACAGTCACTCCAGAATTTAAAGTCCTGTCAAAGGCAAAACAGGTCCTTCGGGAAGCTCCCTCGTGATGTGGAGTGGGAGCCCGGAGGCCTCCAGAATGCATAGGGACGAGGCAAAAGGGTGGATGGGATTTTAAACAAGAGGAGAATAAAAGGATACTGCATATGGGGGAACGTCTGAACTATGGGTGTCCTCAAGGCAGAGCCAGACTCCACGGGATGAAAACCATATTCAGAGACACAGCAGGGCAGCAAGATGGGTCTGCAGAAGCTCCCCCAGCACCTGCTAAATCAACAGAAATAGAATACAGAAAGAAACACATCCCTCGACATACACCAATAAAACACTTAAGCTGCAAGGAAGAAGGGATCTTTCAAACACTTAGGTCAAAAAACAACAGCACCACAAGGAAAAAGCTCTGAAGGCCTGAGGCTTCCCCTTGGCTGCACACAGATGCATAAACTGCTTATCACATGAAGCAACAGGAAGACCACCTTTGGTGTACAGGCATTAAGAAGACTGGTGGCTGCCGCTCTTCCTCGTGTCTGCTGATGAAAAGGCATAGCAGAGAAGAGATCGACCCAAGTGGCCCAGAATGAGGCTCACAACAAAATCCCCGTTGATAAGACAAGAAAAAAACCAAGCTATGACACAGAGGAGACATTATTTTCATTATTTGAGGATGATCTGAGTTATTGTCTTTCCAGGGACAACTTAAAAATGACTAGAACGGATATGAGTTCAGGAGGTGGCTGGTAACAAAACATCCATGTCTAAGCATCTGTGATTTTTCTAGATGCTCCATGTATCGGCAAAACCAAGTTTAGATCCTCAGAGTGAAGGATCAACTCTGCTGTCTGTATGTATGCATGTATGTGTATACTTATTTTGAATACATATATACCTGTTCACTTATTATTTTTTTCTGAAATTGGGATGTTTTCATGACCATTACATATATTAAATATAATAGCCTTTTTTTTCCTGGAAAGGTGACATCAAGTTAATGGTGCATTTTCTAATCAACATTGTTTTTGAATGAAGGAAATGTGACTCAGTTGAGAAAATGCATTTGGCCAGGCACGGTGGCTCATGCCTGTGATCCCAGCACTTTGGGAGGCCCTAAGGTGGGCAGGTCTCTTGAGTCCAAGAGTTTGAGGCCACCCTAGGCAAAATGGTGAAACACCATGTCTGCAAAAATTACAAAAAATTAGCTTGACATGGTGGTGGGCGCCTGTAGTCTCAGCTACTCAGGAGGCTGAGGTGGTAGGATCGCTTGAGGCCAGTAGTTTGAGTCTGCAGTGAGCTGAGACTGTGTGATTGCAACACTGCACCCCAGCCTGGGCAACAGAGCAAGACCCTGTCTCAAAAAAAAAAAAAAAAAAGAAGAAGAAAGAAAAATGCATTTTATTTGCAAGAGTTACAGAATGATGAAGTGCAGAGTGTCATAAATCAGGAGGTGCGTGAGAGCAGTGGCAGAGCCCTCTTCAGCATGAGACCTGGAAGGGACGAGGCAGCCCCTGCTCTGGGCAAGGACTTCATGTTTAACATGCCAGGTCTCTGGGGAGGGCACTCTGATGTGTTGTGGATAGAATTCCAATTAAAATGCCAAAAGTCTACTTGGGGGGAACAAAATGATATTGAGTTCACTTGGTAGAATGACTGTGCAAGAACAGTCGGGAGCCTGGAAAATAACAACGTGAAGTGGCCCCGGGTCCAAAATATCAACACGCCTTAGAACCAGAGTAATGAGAGGAGCACGGCACTGGTGCTGACAGAAAATAGAATCAGAGCGAAGCATTGATGGTTCAGAAATGACTCAAGATATGTAAGTATTTATCACATGAAAAGGGAGAATGAAATCCGTGCGGAAAAGAGCGGATTGTGCAATAAATGTTACTGGCATAGGTGGTTACAGTTTTGGGGGAAAAAAATTAAAGTTGGATTCTTACCTCACAGTGAAATACATTCCAGATGGCTTAAAGAGATAAGTGTAACACAAATGAAATGGTAAAGGAATTTGAGGGGAATATTGGTGAATATTTTTACACTCCGGGGGTGAAAAAGGCGTCTCTTAGCATAACACCTAAGTTAGAAAACAGAATGGAAAAGTTATATTACTCTATATAAACGTGAAACTTCCATATGTGACTTGCAAAGGCAAATGAAACACTGACGTCACTATTTGCAGCAAGAAACGAAGAAACAAAGAATTTCTACCTTTAATTTATAACAACACGGCCCTTGCCCTCAGCCAGCGCTATTATCGGTGCTTTCTGTAGTCATGGATTTAATCCTTCAGCTGGCGGGGGGCGGTGAGCCCCACTGCTCAACGAGGAGCTGGAGACACGACGACATTCAGGAACTTGCCTGAGAGCTCCCAGAAATCAGCAGCTCACAACATAAGAAGGGCAAAGGAATCTAAGAGGGAAAATTATTCAGATTCACGGATAATCAAAGAATTGGCATTGAAATCACAGTCAAATGTTGATGAATGGATTCAAGTGGATGGTCAAAAACATCAAGCACTACTGAGGAACGGGGCCACTGCTCCTGTCTGCCCTTGCCATGATCCCCAGGAGGAGGCCCGTGTGGCCAGGCAGCCCAGTGATACATGGAGCAAGTCACTTACCACTCAGCCTCCTCCTCTGTAGCCTGAAGGCCATCATGGCATGTTCTTCAGGTTGTTGCTGTGAAGATTATGTGATTACTCCAAGATCCTGGCTTGGAGACTGTGTATTAACATGACAGCTCAGACATGCTGGAACCAGACTCTCAGGGTCTCAACAGCTGGCTTTTTCTTAGAAGTCCATGAATCAGGGAGGCAACAGGAAGGTCTCAGAGGCCGTCCTAGGAAGCAGCACAGTTCATGACAATGTTCACACACTGACACTGGTGGTGCAGTTAATAGAAACCTGGTCCAGCTATTTGGGGATTGCAAAATGGAATAAACCTCCCAACATCCAAAGGATTGGTTTCTTCTGCTTTCTTTGGGGATTTGAAGAAATCTCTCAGCTCTTCAGAAGAGAGAAAGAAGGAAGAAAGGAAGGAGTGTAGGAAGGGAGGGAGGAGGGGAGATGGACAGGAGTCACCAAGTCCTGCCCCAGGGGTGATGGCAAATCCAAGAGCCGGTAACACTGGGAGTCTTGGGGGTGCTTAGGATTCAGGGCACCCACAGGTGGGCTCAATGGTGCTGAGTCCATGAGCCTTCTGTATTTGGGATGGGCCCTCCAGAAACTTTCTGGTTCCTTAGTCATCCCTGCCTGGGGCAGTTGGCCACAGCCAAGGGGACTGGATGGAGGGGGCAGGTGTGGCCACCCCAGGGTAGTCCACGATGGGCTCCTCCTGTGTCTCCTCCCAGCATTGCTGTCATGCCTCCAGACCTCTCTCTCTGCTGCACATTCTCGAGTCCTTGGAGGCCAAAAGAAGAATCCTCCTCTCCTGGGGGCTGTTTTCATTTCCTGGGCAGACGCTGCCAACTCTGCCATCCTGGGGCAGCAGCCCGGGCCATCTGCACAATGGTGGGAACTGCCCCCCTCCCCCCACTGGCCGTTCCAGTCACTCATCCATGCTGTCACGTCAGTTGCTTCCTGGGCCTCATCTTCCTCCTCTGGTGAGAACAGTGGTCTCCATGCACCACGACTTTAGCTTTCAATGTCATAGTCTTAGCCTGGTCCCACTGAGGGCAGAGCCTGGGAAGAGGCTCCATAAATGAATGAGGGGACTGATGATCCGGGGCAGGACTGAGAGATGATAGGGAGGAGACAGAGTCAGTGCAAAGACATTATTCTTGTAGGGCCTGGGGCGTCCCCGCCAGACCCCCTGAGAAGGAACACGCTGACCCCGTGAGTTCCCATCCCCTTAGAGATGGGCGGCCCCTTTGGGATCAACCCCTGCTCCACGCTCCAGGCCAGGTGACCCTGAAGTGTGGCTGTGTGAAGCCGACCACCGCCTGTGGGAACTGATCACTGGTCACTGCAGCAGAGGCTGGGGTGAGGCGGGGCTTGATGTATCACACAAGAGGCGTCTCTGCTTGCAGACCTAGTCAAATGACACTTTCCCCAAGGCCTCTCTATACCTTCTGCTGACTCTGGACCCAGCAGTTTCCAGAGAGTAAGTTGTAACTGGCTGTGCCACTGCGGGCTGGGTATACGCAAGCTCTCGGTCTGTATGCAGAGGGTTTTGGTAAGTTCTCTGAGTACACAGTGAATTGCGACTGCCCTGGGCTGCTGTGAAATGAAGCTGCATTAGACGTGTAGCATCCACAAGGGAGGGCATAATCCAGACCTGTCCATATCCATCAGACCCTCCCCAGAGGGCAGAGTCCCCCTCCCTTTGTGCCTTTAAAAGTGTTAGATTTTACACTCCTCTCTCACTCTGCTTCTTGAGATACAGGGTCCAGAGAAGCTCGGGCTGCAGGTGAACCCTGTGTTCCTGGGCAGAATCCCTCTCCTAGGTGCTGCAGCGTTTCTTAGTCTGCAGGGTGAAGGGCAAAGTAGAGAGGCTTCCTGGTGCCCTCCCCTTTCTCCCAGGCTGGACACGGGGGTAGCTCTTCCCTGTTGGTCTCCTACCTGTGGCTGCTGTCCCTGCCCCAGATCCCTCTAAGCAGAAAACATCCCCTAATCCAAAGACAGAGAAAAATTAAAGGGCTGAGCCTACAGAATCCACCTGGCCTCCGAGGGGCAAGATTTCCCCAGTTCACACTCCCAAAACCTTCCCAGGTCCCCTAGTCTGGTGACCTAACCTCCCTCCTCCATCCCAGGCATGGCTCAGGACTTGGGATGCTGACGTTTGTGGGTTCAGAGTGGCCCTAGATACCCCAAATTCATCATGTGGCCTATATGTATCAATCTGGCGTTTCTCAGCTCTCCCCAGTGCACTCTCCCTCCTGGTCTGGAGGCCTAGCAGGCTGGGAGTGGGGTGTCAGCTGGGCTCCAGTGCACCGTGCAGAGCTGGATGGGAAGAGCCCAGCGGGGAACGGGGTCTTGTGAGTGTGATGTGACATGAGGCTGAGCATCCAGACCCTTCCATGAGGACTCTATGGGGCCAAGGCCTCAGTGCAGACCCCAGGAAGACCCTTGGGAGAGTCAGCAGTGTGGGGGTGACCACTGGCATGTGAGGAGTTTGAGTCACTGTGGAATGGACACTTGAAGGAATCCTACTAGGAGAAACGCACTCTGGGGGTGTGGCTGGTGACTGATCCGTGGCCTTTTAGAGTGAGTGGTTGTGTCTATAAGTGAAATTCCTTCTCTACTGAAACTCAGGCCTTGGAATGGTCAACCCCAGCCTCTTCATCCTAGGTCAACAACAGACACCGTGGCTCTAAAACTCATGTGTCCTGGCCCTCCAAAGCCAGACAAAGGCAAGGTGGGCTCATCCAAGGACTTAGAGAGATAATGTTGCCCCGTCTCCTTGGGCGGCTGACATTTGGCATCCACATGGGAATGGCCAGGCCCGAGTAGAAACACATGTGGAAGCTTGGGGCTTCCAGGATGACTCTGCGGAGGGAGCAATTAGGGGAATTCATGGTTCTGGGATCAGTTACATTCCTTGGCCGAGGGAGCTGATGGACCCAAGGTTCTGGGGCCAATTGCCCAGGGCGCCCTCAGTGCCTGCCTGATGCAGGCACCCAGGCAGAAGAGCGGGTGGTCAGACAAGACGACGAGGATTTAAAAATAAACTTCATTTCTTATAAGAGTTTTACATTTACAGAAAAATTACAAAGATAGTACAGAGAGTTCCCATACACCCCACACCGATGGGGGGACCTTAGTGTCCCCTCAGTCACTGTTCCAGCAGGAAACACATGTGTCCAGGGTGTTCCAGGTGCTAGCCTGTTGGGGATGGGCCATCTTGTGAGATTATTCTCGTGTGGTTGTTCTGTTACCATGTCCAATGTTACATCTTCATAAGTCCTGCTGAGGGTCACGTGGCTCTCATGGGCATGCAGTGAAGCTAAACACATCACAAGTGGACGTCAGCGCATGTCCAGCTGAGGAGGGAAGTGTCACGGGGAGGGAAGCAGGCAGGCACATTCCTGGGAGCTGAGGGGCACTCTGTCCCCAGAGACCACCGTCTATGGAATTGAGCTCTACCGGGCAGTTGAGCTGGGCTGGGTGGCCCCACTCCCTCTTCCAGGACAGCTGTGAGCATTGGCAGAGAGCTTCCCAGGTTCTTCCACTCTTGCTGTCTGCAGCAGGTGCATGGCCCTCTCTGCCTCGATGGCTGAAATTGTGAAATATTTTATATATATAAAATAATTTATACCTTACATGGTACTTATAGTGAGGCAAGCCCTGTTAATCACTGAATATTCCCAACCACCCCATGAGGTAGTGGGTATTTCAACACTCATTTTATAGATGAGGAGATGGGCACAGAGAAGGAAGCATCCTACTCCAGGTTAGGGAATCTGTCCCAGAGACTCGGCAGCCAAGTGGAGAAACATAACCTTGCTGAGCTGGTTCCAGCCACTGTTGTTCCTTCTGGTCATGACCCCATTTAAATCCCTGCACAGAGGGCAGCAGAGCAGCCTAGGAACAGAAGAGCTCCCTGCGAGGAAGGAGGCCTGCCTGGGGATGGGTTGAGGTGGTAATGACAGCCTCGGGAAAGGCTTTCACGCAATGAAAGATGCTTTATGTAAAGCGCATTCCCCAGTAGCCTAGCGTGTTAAGATGGAGTTTGTGCTTCCAAGAGGAACCAAGTCAAAGTCAGGGAGGCCTTGGGCTGTGCTGGGGAGGCCAGGGCCCTCTGGGAAGCTAGGACTCACAGTGTGGCTGCTGTAGCAGGTGGTTCGCGGTGGCAGTGTGGCAGTGGGCAGCCTGAGAGGCGTCAGCACTCTCGGCTTTCTTGTGCTTGTCCTGCGAATGCACTCCACTCCTCTGTGCTCCTGGGCATCCTGGCAGATGTTACACACACTAAAAATAATGGCAAATAGCAGGATGTGGTAGGGACAAAGGCCACATGACCAAATGCACCGAGAACCAGGTAGGGGCCATAGGGGTTACTTGTGCCAATGGGCTCCAGCCTTTACAGCCCTAGGCTGGGGGTTGGTTTAAAGAAGCAGGCGCATGGCTGGTGTCTCCAGGACAGGTTGTCTGACTTGGGCATGGGGCTGTGTAAGCAAGGTTCTGCCCTGGTCTCCTGTCTCATCCCCACCCCTGTACTCACTGTACCTCTGGCACAGGTAGGTGACAGGCCAGCCAAATAATGGGGGTATCGGGGGACCTGAAAACCCCTGAAGGAGGCCCCTCAGAACGCCTTGGGTTCTACACATGAGTTTGAAGTCATGGGGGTCTTTGACCCTGCAGTCACCTACAGACACAGTTCCCAAAGACCCACCTCCTGTCTGCTGCCTTCTTCTCCCACACACAGGCACAGGACTCAGTTTCCATATAGTCATTAGCACCATTGAGAGTGGTGTTTGGGAAACAGAGAGAAGGAGAGAGGAGAAAGAGGAAGAGGGAGGAAGATAGGAAGAGAGAAAGAGAGGGAAAAGAGAAACAGAAGGGGAAGACAGAGATGGAGGGACAGAAAGGGACAGACAGAGATAAAGAGGCAGAGAGAGGGAGAGAGAGACAGAGAGAGAGTCAGAGAGAGAGAAAGAGAGAGAGAATCAGAGAAAGAGAGTCAGAGAGACAGCCAGCGAGAGAAAAGTACAAGCATGAGCCTTGGAAGGTAATTCCAATTCTGATGGCTAATGATTTTATTTGTTGTGTTTCCAGTTTCATCTGGGAGCACTTTGCAGTGAAGCTAATTGCGTGTCTTCCTTGTGCTGTGGAATCACGGGCCAAGGTTCTCCTGCTTTTGTTGTGGTGAGAGGAGATTTCTTCCAAAAGATCTCACAGCCAGCCTTCCCTGAACAAAGGAGGATGGAACACGGACACGTCTTTTTGATCAAGAGATGGGTTGTCTGTATTTCGGGCTAGGGAGACCTGGTGGAGGCTGCCCGGGGCTCGTGCCCCATCCACCTCTCATGGAGGTGGTCCCTTTCTTGGCCCAGATGCTGCACAGGCTCCACTTAAAGTTCTCCGGGCACCATCTCAGGGCCCTTGCCCTTGCTTCCCTTTCTCTAATTTGTATTTGTCAAAAGGTTTTGGACACCTTATTATACATCTTAATCATCTCCTGACATTTCTTCCTGGTTTCCCACGACTCCACTCAGATCCCAAATTTCATGGGGGCTTCTCTTTCTATCAAAAGTGCTGTCTCTGTCTTCTCTCAACCAAGCTGAGATTTGCTCCTGGGGCAGGGGAGACAGCCCAGATGCCACTGAGCTGCCGGCCCCAGCTCCTGAACCCTCCCTGCCCTCTCCTCGCACCGCCAACACTGTTAGCATTATTTATTGGCAGTTGATTTTCATTCTGTGAGATCTTCTGGCTAAGAAATACCAATGAATGCCTAAGGCCACGCCTTTGCCCAAACCCATGGAGTTACAGCCCTGTATCAAGTATCTCAAACTCCCAAACAAAACCCATAACAATCACAAACCCCCACCTATGGTCTTGTCTCAAAGAAGAGCCGAGTGTGTTAGGAGCCATTTAGTAGCCGAGGAGAGAAGACCCCAAAGCGCTGTGGAAACCTCTGTGGGGCTGACCAGCAGCGCTGGCCTTCAGCACGCTCATCCTGGGTGGGGCTGCAGGAAATGTTTAAGGCCCTCATCAAATGTCTTATATGAAGTCAGACCATTTATGCTTCATGGAACTCATGTATTCTAGTGACCAAAGTATTTATATTTAAATGCTGGCCTGTGGCTCAGAAACACAATTCTAGGAAGAAGGACATTTTTACTTTTGGATACATATTGCACTTTCTCCACAGTCAGCTGGAACCTGAAGAAAACCTGAAGAGAACACATCTTGGCTCTGTTCTGCAACGAATCCTGGAGTAACAAAACTGTCACTAGTTGCCTTAGATGGCCCACACAGTACGGCACAGCCAGCTGGCAGAGAAACACTCACATCAGCAGAAATGCTTGTTGTACTGTTTGGCTTTAAAAAAAAAAAGCAAAAACTGATTCCTCTTAAGTTGACCTGTGTGTGCAGACCACAGTGGAGCAGCCCTGGTGACTTTTTCTTTCAACCGTTACCCTCTAGGACACAAATTCCCCCACGAGGCACACTCTGATTGGGCCTCTGTCACTGGAGAGTAAACATTTGGATCTTTGTCAAATGGCTTTTTCTTAGGTGTTCAATAAACAACAAAACGTCTAACAAAGAAGGAAGCATTTTCCTCGCTCAGACAAATAAAGTCTCAAACTTTAAAGCTTATTTTAAAGCTGGAAAATACAAATTGTGTAAGTCTCATGATAGAGGCATTTGAAATAAATTTCAAAACTTAATCCAAGCCTCTTTCCTCTGCAAGCAGAAGAAAAACATATGTCTCATCGAGCTTGCTCTAGCTGCTCCCCAGAAAGTCAAGGCTGTGTGAGAGCCCACCCTGCTCGGGGGGCCTGGAGGCAGAGTCTCAGGCCCTTACTGCAGTCCCACAGCCCCCCACAGCCTCTGACAAAGGGCAACACAGAACCTAAGCCATTCCCAAGTCGCTGAGGTTTGTTTTCCCAAATGGAGCTGAGCAGCGGTCATTGAGCATGAATATAATCTTGCTGCCCATAGTCAAATTGGGTTGAACAAGTAGCTTTTTCTGCTTCCAGGCTGCCCATAAAACAAACATGACTCTTGATCCGGAGAACAAAGCTCTGTGGGTGCAGCTCATTTTCTGCCAGGGCCACGGGACCCCGTGGCAAAATGGGTAGAGGTGGAGGAGCTGCAGGAGGGAACATATCCTTCCAGGTCAGAGCCCAGGCCCTTTTCTCTCCCAGAGTCTCTGCCCTGAGGCTCAGAGCTTGTCCTAACCCTCAGCCCCATTGAATACATCTCTCAGTCCAGCCCTCAGGGCACCCTCACCTCAAATATGAGTATTGTTCCACATCCTCCCCCATCCAGTACTTCATTCAGTTTCATGCGAAGATTAATTCTAACCAGCTAATTCACACGAGTGTGCAAACGACTAATAGATCCTTACTACTCATGGAGGCCTTTGCATTGTTACATGAGATGCTTTGATAAATTAATTTCTACTTAATGAATTTGTTAGCACTTTCCTTCCTTTTGAACTAATTTTTGGACTCAGAAGAAGTTGCAAAAATGACACAGAAAGGTCCATGGTCCATCTCCCAGCTTCCTTCAGTGGTGACATCTTGCATAACTAGGGCACATTACGCAAACCAGGAATACTTAACAGAAAGAGTTAAGTATTGTAGTTGGGTGACCGAGTATGGTATGAGCTTGTGGTGGTGTGAACGCATTGAGGTGGTGTGAATGCATTGAGGTGGTGTGAACTCAGGTGCAGAGGATAGGGGAACACTTTCATGATCAGTTCTCTGAGCTAGTCCTTCTCTGGCTCCAGAAATTCTCTCAAGGCTCCCAGCACGTTCATGATCTCCTCTGCGTCCCCCCAACTTCTGCCACCCGTGGATCTCTACCCCTTCCATTATTTGGGGTTGAGGGCTAAGCCCTGGGATCCTGGCAGGAGGGCCACCCTGCTTCCTTCCCGGGCCAACATGTGCCACTTCCACTCCAACTAAATGAGCTCTTTGCTCGGCCGTGGGGCTGGGCCTGCCTTTGGGTTCCCCCTCACCATGGGTTTCCCCACTGGAATGGTCCCCATCTGGCTATCCCAGGCCCTGGTCATCACGTCCTGTGCTCACCTGAGGCTGAACATCCCGCGGCACCTCTCGTTCTGCACAGTTCAAAGCTGCCTGTGTGTTCTTCTCAGGGCAGCTCCTGTGGACTCTGCCTCAGTGGGGGCACCCCCTTCCATGCATGCACCCCCACAGTAGGTGGATCCCACAGCCTTCTGGGTCTGCCTCCCAAACGGGACAGGCTTCCTGCACTTCCCCATCGCAGCCCTGCTGTGCTGGCCAGGGCCATACTAATTCTTGAATAGTGCAGAATCTTGGTATTATCATCCCAAGTGACCTCCCTGCTGGGGATGATGCTGTCATCCACCCAAAGCTGTGGGCAAGCGTATTGGTGAGTTAGAAATGTTAGGAGTTCCCATATGGAAACCTTCCCAAGGTCTCGGCTTAACGCTGTCATGATATCTGGACATTCTCGTGGGCTTCAGTGGGTCCCCTCTTTGGAAGGTTGCAGGCCTGGGCTTGTCAGGTTAATGGCCCACGGGGTAAGGGGCTGTCGAAATGCCACAACCCACCACTCACCTCCTCCATCATCTGGAGGAATGCAGCGCTAACAGCTCCAAGTTGGCTGCGATGCTTGCAGGTTCTCCTATGGCCACGCACCTCGTGGCGGCTGGGCTGGCCTCTTAAGCTGTCTCTGAGATTCACGCTTCACATGCTATTGGCTCACAGCGTTTGTATCAGGAAATGCTGGCCCTATTCCCCGTTTTCCTCTTTGAACTTGACTCTCCTGCCTATTGCATTACTATCTTATTTATGTTATTTGTGTTTGACAGTGCAAACCTCTACCCATCTTTTTATTTTCAATGTTTCAGGGCCGTTCTGTGCTTATGGATGTTACTTTCCATCTGATACAAAACCTTTGTCTGTTAATGAAGACATTTTCAGTTTTAATTTCGGCACAGCTGTTCCCATCTCTGTCCTCTTGCTTTTTGTTTTCTGTTTGAATTTTTTCTTTTGCTTTTTTGCCATTCCTTTTCCTCTCTTTTTATCTGTCCCATGCTTGGCTTGCTTTTATCCTCTGTAGTGAGACAGCAGCCTTTCTATTTTTATTCCTGCTGATGGCTACGTTTCTGGGGAGAAAATGTCTGGTCGCGTCTGTACTGTCATGGTCACATTCAAAGAGATGGTCTTTATGTGTCTGTGTGCATCGGGTGCCTGGCGTGAGCTTGTGTGGATGTGACACGTTCCCACACGTTCCAGGTTCGGGCCTGGAACCAGGGCGGGCTGAGTGCCCCACTCTGCCCTGGACCTCGAGTCTGCAGGCCTGTTCTTGAGGGCTCTATGGTTGGAGGCAGGATCATCTCTGATGGACCCCCTGGCCTGATACCCACCAGCAGCATGGAGAGGCAGTGCCACTGTCGCCGCCCATAAGCATAGGGATCTGCAGCCCCACAGGGTGCTGTCTCCCCTTCATCTCCATGACTGCCCTGGTCAGTGGCTGGTGCAATGTCAAAGGCACCCAGGGCCTGGTCAGAGGATGGAGGAAGCTGGAGAGCAGGCACAGCCAGGACGGTCTGTGGGCCGGTCCGTCACGTGGTGGCCTTTCACGTGCACCAGGGCCCTTCTGGAAGCACAGTGCAGATGGCCACACCCTCCTTCCTGCCCGCCACTGCTGACCCTCAGCCTCCTACCCTCTTCGCTCCTGGTCTCTTGGCTCCTCTGAGTACCAGCCCCCAAGGGCAGGTCACCCCTGGGCATGGATGGATGAGGCCCATGGGCTTGCTGTCACTCTGTGACCCCACAGTTGGTCCTCAGGGTGGGGACTCCACGTGTGCCCAGGGGCACTGAGACAAAGCTCAAAGGCCTCCCTATCCAGCAGGTCCTGCCCTCCCTGGATGGGGCCAAACCTCCTGCACACTCGTCCCTGGAGTAGGCAGGGTCCTGGCTGGGCCTCTGCCTCCCACAGGAGTCCCTGGGAGGGTAAAGAGGAGGAATGGTGAGTGGCCCCTTCCTCAGGCTTGTGAAGCTTCTGCACATGGCGAGATGAATCCCCGGCCTCGAGCAGCTCATGCAGCAAAGCTTTTCTTGGTGTTGCCCCCCTCCCCCAAATGAGTGGGCGGTGAGGGGAGAGGGTCACAGGGGTGCTCAGAGTGCAGCTTGGTCCAAAGAAGCCCCTTTCTGAGCCCCAGTTCTTATTACACACAGGCACCTGAATGGGGCTGGCCTCCTCCTCCTGCCACAGCAAAGATTCTGGGTCCGGAGGAGGGGATCAAACAGCACCTTACGGGGTCTTGTCCCCAGGAGCCTGGCCTCTGCTGGGGACCTCAGGGCAGCACCATCAGAGCATAGGGCATACTTCCATCTAATGACCACTTCAAAATGTCTCCTTGTCCATACGCAGAGTCACGCCTGAGCAAAACTGTGACCCTCACAAAAAAGCAAACTCAAAACTACAAAAAGAACCACAGCCAAGACTTCCTCCTGTACCAAGCAGAGTGGCGATCGATGATGCTGAAATAGCTGGGCCAGCTTCAAAAGGTGTGGAGGTGGGAATGCTGAGATTACCCGACATCTCAGATAGGTGAAGTGGCTTGGCCCTGAGCAGGGTCCCCAAATAATGCATAAGGAGATTTGAGTGTTTCGAGTAAATTCCTAAGCAAAAGGGAACAGTAAAGTACTCTTAACAAAGTTTAGAAGCTCTTAAGCACATAGATCCTAGCAAGGGTTGGTCTATCTGTGTTCCTGGCAAGACAGCGCCCGATGGCTGCTTGCACCATCGACTCTGATGACCTCATCAAAACAGTTCCTTCCAGCTTATCTGCACTGTGGATGCGCAAACATGACAGGAATGAGCCCTGCCTGGGACCTTTCAGGACACCATTCTCGGCATGGGCGTGAAGGCTATGCAGCTCCAGGGCCACGTCTGCCCAGGGTCTTTGCGGCTCACAGTCACCCCGTCAGCCTAGTCACTCCGGTGTGGCACAGGAGAATGAGGGGGGAAAGCCTGATGAGGGTGCAGGCACCGGTGTAAATGCTGAGCAGTGGGAAGTGGAAAAGCGCTTTCCTCATCGACGCTGCCCCACTAGCTAGTGTGACATCTGTGCCAGCTTGGCGGTTCCCCTACCCCTGCCTGCTAGATTGGTAAGTCCCCTCAGAATAGTGGACACAGCCCAAGAAGGGGCAAGCCAGGGCCACAAAGTGAGCCTGGGAGAACTTGCTGGGGGACCTGCCCTCCCTGCAGTCAAGGTCTCCTTCTTGAGTGAATGAGACACTTGAGTGAGACAGCCTGTGACTCTGTCTCACCCACAGATACAGGCAGCATGTCCATGTACATGCACACAACGCAGGCAGCAGGGCTGTGTGGCTATAAGCACGTGCATCACGTCTGTGTACCTGCAGAATGTGCAGGCAGTGTGTCTGTGTACATGTAGATGACGCAGGCAGCAGAGGTGTGTACATATAGGCACATGATGCATGTCTGTGAATATGCAGAATATGCAGGCAGCATATCCGTGTACATGTAGATGTAGATGACACAGGCAGCGCATCTGTGTGCACGTAGACACATGCAGCAGACACAGCACGCTCTGCCTAGCTCCCCAACATCACTCTCCCTGTTCCCAGGCGCCTATCCCTTGGCTTCTGTGGGTGTTTCCTCCACCACAGCACCTGCTGCTCCTCAGAGAACTGCCCTTGAACTATTGAAGCCAAAGGGCCTAGGGGTTTACACCCTCAGCCACCTGTGGGTGAAGCATCCCAGCTCCCCTGCCTCATGGGGACAAGCTCTGCCACTGAGGGTGTGGGTGATAGGGTAGCTTGTGCCTCAGTGCTGTCCATAGGGTCTGGCTGAGTGGGGCCTGTGCTGGAAATCGCAGCCTGGCTTGGCTTCTCTCCTCCCTGACCCCTCCCCAGCCTCCCCTGGGAGCAGTTTCTCTGTGGACACCTGTACGAGAATCCCGCCTCATGCCAGTGTCTGGGGTGCGTGACCTAAAGTGAAGCCCCCCTGTGGGGCCACAGGTCCCACATCCACGCTGCCAAGCTCCACCAGCCTCTAGCCCACATAGCGGCGACTTCCTTCCTGCCTGCGGCCCGCCCCACCTTCTGTCAGCCCTGCACAGGGGAGAGCGGGGAGGGCACCACGTGGCCTCCCCAGATGGCCCCAGGCTACCCTCATCCCCATTTCCCTCGAGCTCTGGGTACTTCTGAGCAGATGTGTTTGAGAGGATGTTTACACGCGCGTTCCAGGCTTCATGTGCGTCTTCCACTCTGTCCACACTGGGGCTTGCTGCATGTTGGAGGGTGCTGCCGTGAAAAGCAGCACAGAACTCAGGGCCTGTCACCGCTCCAGTTTTCCCCCACATGACCCCGGCTGCACATGCCTGGACTGTCTCTCTATCCAGAGGATTGGCGTCCTGGGGCCCAACCTGGGAAGTCTCTTCTGGCTGTGGCATCTCTGACATTTTCTCATGCCTCATCCAGCCTTGTGTAAGCATTGGCATGCTGCAACATCCAGGTGGCAGGTGACACTCACACCTGGCAGAGTGCGCCCTAGGTCCAGTTCATAATAATCAGTATAATAATCAGAGTTCCTGTAATCAGTATGGACTCACGGACCCTGGAGGGAAATGGCATTGCCGGGAGGAGGAGGACTTGACAATGAGAGGCGGCTGCTGCTCCAGGCACGCACCAACCCATTCATGGCCCTGGCGGTTTAATGTGAACGAGGTGTCCTGAGCTTTGATGTGGAGTTGGGGGTCAGGAACATCTGGGCAACCAGAGAGGACCTGAGAGAGTTAGCATTTGGGGAGGGGGAGAGGAAGGCTGAGAAGGCCTCTCGTATACTTTTTCCAAGGTCTGGCTTCAATTGGATCCTGTTCCTGTAAAAATAAAAGAAATTCATAGCAATGTAACAACAACAAAAAATCTTCCAGTGGGTCTGCGAGAAAACAGCTCGGGGGAGAAGAAACAGCAAAGCTCCCAGGAAGGAGGCAGCCGGGCAGACGCATGTGTGCCCCAGCTGCAGCTGCAGGCCGGAGAAGAGGAGGCCCGGATGTCAGGGGAGGCTGGCGCCGCTCAGGACGGAGGACAGGGACAGGGCGAAGCTGGGCCTGCTGTGGAGTGCTGTGACCCATCTCCAGGCTCCCGGCCGGTCACTGGCTTCTGGAATCTGCCCTTCCTTTCAGGACAGGCAGTGTCCCCTAAGAGGCTCCTCCAGCCCTGATGGTTTTCCTGGGATACAGACCCACCTGCTGGGTGACTCCATCTGAGGGTCCGGGTCCTTCCTGATGCTAACACCCAGCCATCGTCTTCTCGTGAGAACCTCTCTCCATCACCGAAGGTGACCCATGTCTCCTCCACCCCTGCCCCACCCCTGCTCGTAGCCTGCAAAGCCCTCCACATGCATCCCAGGCAGCGCTGGCATTCCTGCCTGGCTCCCATCCCACTCTGCTGCCCGGGCCATTACCTCATTGCCTCCTGGTGGGTCCCAGCCTCTGATGTCCCCCGTCTCCACGACACTCCTTCCAGAATCATTGTTCAAAGAAGCAGCTGGTAATCTCTGTTCTGCTGCACTACCTTTGAAGCTTCCCACTGTTAGTAGGACAAAGGCCACACTTTGAGCCTGGCCTTTAAGGCCCTGATGAGCTGGTCCTTGTCTGCATCTCAGCCTTGTGCACTGCTGGTGCAGCTGGCATCCTTCCCCTAAACAGCCAAGCAGGACACACTGGGGGCTCAGCCAGGCATCACCTGACCACTGGGAAAATAAGAGAACGGGGTGAGGACAGGGCTGGGGTGAGACCTGCTGTGAAAATTGGCTGGTTCTGAGCCCAGACATTTTGCGGGTGACCTGAAGGTCAGTCACCATGACCATAGGGGGGTCAGCAAGCACAGACTCGAGCTGAGGTGGCCCCAATCCTCAAGGGCAACTGGTGGGAAGGTTGTGGCTTCAGGCGTCAGGGGGCAGACACAGTAGAGTCCCACCATGCCTCAAGTCTCCCCTTGACCCTGGTCTCCAGACCTCCAGGTCCTAATGCTATATCTTCTGGATGACTCTAGAATCCTCCTCTCTGTCTTCCCTGGCCCTGTCTCCCAGGTGTGCAGGAACAGGAAGCACAGATCCCCTGGGTGGGCCGTCCCTACTCCCGTGCCTTGCTTCCTGGGACTATGCTTCCTGCCCCCCTCCCTGGCACGGTGCGCCGTGGACCGGATGTGAGTGTGGCGTGTGCTGGATCCCAGAGGTTGGTGTCCGGCTCCAAGGGTGTCTTCTCCAAGCCCATCTTTCAGTCTCACCAGTGCATTCCATTCTCACCCCTCGTTTGCTGGAAAATGGATTCCTGGGTCTGCAGTAAGGGTATGCCAGATCCCATATGGGTAGCTTGAACTCTCCCTGAGCTCTCAAAGATTGATGTTGGCTGGGGGCTGCAGGCTTCTGCAGAATAGCCAGGTGACCCACATTATGGCAGAGGGCAGGACAATTATAACAGGGCAAGACCTTAGATGATCCTACTGTCCATCCACATGAATGCCAACTGCTTCTGATCCTCCTTTCTGAGAATGGGAACGGACACACTCGCCTGGTCAGAGCCTGCCTTCTCCCCATCTACAGCCATACCGCTCTGCTCTGGCAAAGACATCGCGTCTGGCCCAGCAGCTGCAGCTGGGGCTAGGGCTTGGTTGGGTCTGTGGGAGCCCACGCAGTCCTCGAGGGTGTGAGCTTCTGGAGGGACTAGACTGGTGGATTCAGTGGGGTCTGAAGAGGCTCACACTCCTGATCTTTTAGGTATTTGACAGTGGCAGGAATTTCTGTGTTCCCAGGATGCAGTACGATTTTTGACTTACTGTCTTGGCTGGGGAGGAGGAATGTTTCGATGGCTTCTACTCACTTTCCCTACGCTGTCACAGCTGTTATCCATGGGTGAAGAGTCGGTACAAGGTGGTGCCAATTACCAAGTATGTCCATTCCAATCGTATGTTTGAGAAGGAGGGAGGTGATTCTTGGTGACCTGAGAACCTACTGTGGTCCATAGCTGGCCAGGACCTCCTTTATGATCTGGCCCCCAGGTGCTCTCCCTTGAACAGATGAGCATGCTCAGGTCCCCAGGCATCAATGTCAACCCAGACACAGAGTCCCACAGCCCTCTAAGTGCCTGACATTCCTCTTTCCCACATGGCTTTGAGGTCCCAGTGCTTCCATCTGGCCTCTGTTACTTCATGACTCTGTCGTCCTCATTATATCAGAGCCTCGTTCTGCAACACCACCTCCCGCCGTCAGCCCCTCTCCCCCTGAGCTTCTCAGTGAGCTGATGCCCCCTGATCGCTGCATTCCTTGTTGCTTTGGTCAATGGGATGTCCCCAGCACCTTTCTGCTGAGCATAGTCAGTGGGGACTTTCTGGCCTCGAGCATCAGGTCCCCTCTGGCATGGCCATTTCTCTGAGTGTTTTGATCCCTTCTTCCAGCCTCTGGCTCTGTGGTTCTAGATTTCCACTGCATTTAGTATGGGTCGTTGCTTTCTCCAAGCTCCCAAGGGCCAACACAGCAGCATGTTAGCACTGTCTCCTGGGGCCTCGCCAGGATGCTAAACCCTGGATCAAGGACAATGCTCCCAGATGAATAAACTCTCCCTTGGCCAACCCATGTTCCCCTGTCCTGGATCCAGCACCCTCGGGATCTGTCTTCCATGTCTTCTACTGACCTTGCTCGTACCCAGGAGCTAAGTTTTGCACCTCCTTTAGGCTAGAGTCCCTTTCTTCTCGTCAGGGGTCCAGCCCATTCCTAGTAGGGTGATTTTGTGACTTATGCCCAGTCTGGTGAACTAGGAAGGAGTTAGGAGAAATATATATATTTTTAAGGCTAAAATATACCATGACTGATTGTTTCTCTGTAAATTCAGGTCTATAGCGGTCTTAATCTTATTGATTTTCAATCAGTCTCTTTTTTTTTTTTTTTTTTTTTTTTTTGAGACAGAGTCTTGCTCTGTTGCCCAGGCTGGAGTGCAGTGGCACGATCTTGGCTCACTGCAACCTCCGCCTCCTGGGTTCAAGAGATTCTCCTGCCTCAGCCTCCTGAGTAGCTGGGATTACAGGTGCCCGCCACACGCTCAGCTAATTTTTGTATTTTTAGTAGAGATGGGCATTCTCCATGTTGGTCAGGCTGTTCTCAAACTCCTATCCTCGTGATCCACCCACCTTGGCCTTCCACAGTGCTGGGATTACAGGCATGAGCCACCACACCCAGCCAATCCGTCTCTTCTTTATTTCATGTTGAAAATCCTAGTTCCCAATATCAGGCCTTTAGTTTTATCTCACAATACATATCAGGAGTCTGAAGAAGTATACCAGCACTGCCATCAACAATGCAATGACTGAACCGACTTTAAGTCTCCATGGTTCTTTTTGTCCTTTGAACATGGATATTCAAATTGTAGTCTTCATTCTCAACGGTAGCTTTCAGCATTATGAATAGTTAAGACAAAAATCCCGAAACAATGCATTGTTCCATTTGTCCCCAATTCTACTTTGTATCTTTTAGGAGTATTTAAAAGTTTCTCTCGTTTTTGATATTTTTGTTAAATTTTCCTAAATTTTACCTTTTTTTGATTGTAATTTTCTGTATATTTATATTTTGATTGTTGTATATATGTGAATGTATTAATTGTGCCTGATACATAAATGAATCCTTTTATCATCTGTGTTTGTTTTATTGTTGATTCCCTTGAGTTTTTCAGGTATACTATCGCATCATCTGCAAATAAAGATGGTAAGTGGTACTATTAATAGTTCTTTTCTAATTCTTAAGCATCTAAATACTACTGCGGTCTAATTGTGTTACCTAATACCTTTTGGTGCACTGCCATGCTGTTGTGAGCTAGAGGACACTCTCGCCTTTTCTCTGATTCGGGGGAAAATGCATCCAGCGTTTGTCCGTTAAGGAGATTGCTGGACTTGGGGGCTGATAATACATACTTCATTGGTGGCTATCAATGTTATATTTCACAAAGGCTGGGCGTGGTGGCTCAAGCCTGTAATTCCAGCACTTTGGGAGACCGAGGTGGGCAGATCACTTGAGGTCAGGAGTTGGAGACCAGCCTGGCCAACATGGTTAAACCCAGTCTCTACTAAAAATACAGAAATTAGCCGGGCATGGCAGCGGGCGCCTGTAATCCCAGCTTCTCAGGAGGCTGAGGCAGGAGAATCTCTTGAACCTGGGAGGCGGAGGTTGCAGTGAGCTGAGATCATGCCACTGCACTCCAGCCTGGGCGATAGAGCCAGACTCCATCTCAAAAAAAAAAAAAAAGTTATATTTTATAAAAATAATTTGAAAGTTTTTTTTTCTTTTTTTTCTGTGTCTAAAACAATTTAAGCAACATTAGAATTACCTGGTCTTTGACAGTTTGGTGCAATTCCCTGCAAAACCATTAGGGCAGGCCTGTTGCTATTTTGTGGTTTTAGTTCTTTGATAACCTTCTATGTTTCATCTGTGGAATGGCTTATTTAAACCATCTCTAATAGGATTAATTTTGATAAATCATATTTTCCTAGGAAGTTATACCAACTTTGAGGTTTTCAAATTTATTTGCATAGAGTTTTGCCAAGTAACTTCATTTAAAAAAATTTTTTTATTTTAATGGCTATTTTACCCTTATCATTTCTTATTCTGAATGTTTGTGTTTTCCTCCTTTTTTATGATTAGGCTAGCTACTGGTTTGTCTTTTTTTTTTCTTTTTTCAAATAACTGATATTTGAATTTATTTATTAGTTCCATTTAATTTTTTTCTTAACTAATTTTGGATTTTATCTTTATTATTTCCTTCTTTCTGCTTTCTTTTGAATTGCTTTATTTTTCTTATTCTGGCTCACAGGATAGAATATTTAGTCTACTTCTTTTTCACTATGTTAGCGATTTGAGCATTAAACTATGAGGTTTTTTCTGATTACTGCTTTGATTTTTTTCCTATTGATTTTACTGTGGCTTTTCCATTATCATCATTTTTTAGAAATTCTCCGATTTAGGTTTGTTTTTGCTCTTTGACCCTAGAATTTTTAGTTGACAGATTTTTTTTCTAATTGTCTGGTAGAAAGGCCTTTTTATTATTAATTTTGAGTTTTGTTTCATTGCAAGCAGAAAATATTGTTTGTACTAATTCTATTTTCTGAAAATGACTGAGCTTTGCTGTGTAGCAAAGCTTGCCCTTCAAGAACGGCCCTTTTTCAAGAATGTTTTGCGCTCACACGCATTCTCTGCTGCTGAGATTGGGATGTTTTGTACACCTGATTGAGTGGATTGTGTAGGATTTCTGGATCCTTATTGATTTGTTGTTGTTCCTTTAACCTATCTTGAGCTGAGAATAGTGTGTTAATGCTTTTGAATAAAACAGAAACACGCTAAATAGAAATTTTATTTATGTTTATTTGTTTCTCTTTCTCCCTGCTTCTCCTGTAGTTTCTAATTATGAACTCTGTCACCTCGTTTGGAACATAAATATTCAAATTGTAATCTTCATTCTGAATGGTAGCTTTCAGGATTAGGAATAGTCATTTTTGTCTAATTTAAGGCTTTTTGGCCAGAATTCTGCCTCCTCCTCCCCCCACTTTCTTTCTGTTTGCATAGTCCCTTCTATTTTCAGCTTTTTAAAATGGTATTCTTTTAGGCATGTCTTATATACAGCACAGAATGGCCCTCTGTTTTGTGAGCTAGTCTTAAAATACTTTTCCTAGAGAATTAGTGGATTAAGCCCTTTTAACGTAACACTGCGACCAAAATGTTTGGCTCCAGCTCTGTCCTGTTATTCGACGTATATGTACCACGTAAAATACATTCTATGTACTTGAGCTCTTTTACCATGTTGTCTGTTCTAATTTGTTCTTTTTGTTTTCTTATTCATTTAGTATTTAGGAAAGATAGTACTTTCATATAACTTTGTGGATACCTTTATACTTAAATATTTATATAATTGTATATTTACACATTTTATACCCTCATATCATGTCCGCAGCCCTCCCCTCTTTTATTATTTAGGCTTCTAGGAGTTGGTTTGTGACTCTTAATTATATGTTTTGATTCCCACCTATTATCACCTATTTTTACCTGTAAATCAGGCAATGAACTTATTCTCGTTTTTCTCCCAGTGGTTTTCTACTTTGTCAAAGGATATAACTTATATACTGTTTTTTTGCTCTTATTTCCACTGCTTTTTGTGGTTGATAGCCTTAAATCTATAGGGTATCCATTGGCTTGAAAATGAAGATATATTTTGGTTTTTACGGATTAAATGTCCTTGAAAACATTGTATACATTGTCTATGCTTTCAGACTTTTTGGAGATCCTATGCAATCAAATACGTCCTGTATTTGCTGAAGTTCTGCCACATTTTCTCTCTTCTCTTCTTCTGGGGACCCATTTATATCTTAGATATGTTCACCTTGTCTTATATTCTTTTTCCTTTATCTTCCTTTTCCTTCTCTGTGTTTCAGTTTAGAGATTTTCTTCTGCTCTATAAGTTATCTAATTTTCTCTTTAGCTGTGTCTATGATTAAATACATCCATTGTTTCCTTGTGTTGATTGTATTTGGTCATTTCTATAATTTCTATTTTTAAAAAATTTCAGGTTCTTTGCCAAAATTTTTCATCTTGTCTTTCATTACTTAAGTGTATTAGTAATAATTATTTTAAATTTTATGTCTGATTTCTCCATTATCTGAATCCTCTTTGGGTTCATTTTTTCTGTCTGTTGTTTCCCTTGGTTTTGATCACTTATTTTTTTCTTGTCTTCTCATAAACCTGGTTACTTTTCATTGTTTTCCAGATATGGTATAGGAAAAATTGGAAAGATAATTGAGATATAGGATATTGTTTTTTCAGAGAAGACTTACATTTATTTCTGGAAGGTGTTAGCAATCCCAGGCTATCTTTACCCTATCAGGATTTGAGATAAAATTGGGTGTCATCCTTGCCAGAATTATTTATTTCTGGTTCACTCATACTCCATAATCTTCAGATTTCCCAAAAACTCCCTCCTTGGCAGACTCTAATTTGTCCTCTTCACAGGGGTGAATCTAAAGCCCTGCTCAGTTTCTTAGCCTTTTCTTCTGGAATTTGACCCTGGAGAAAAGCTGGGCTGAGTTTCTTTCTTTTCCTGGATCTGTGCCTTACAATGTTTCTTTGCTTTGTTAGCTGTCTGATGTCTTCCAACAGGTTTTTTGGTCCAGCTTTTCTACTTCTTAGCTGAAGGGTTGGCAGGAGTGGTTTATTCTACCATTCCTAAAAGTGGAAATTTTAAATAATATTATACTATTTGGTATTTTCCATTTTTTTTTTAAGACACAGAGTCTCTCTCTGTCACCCAGGTTGGAGTGCAGTAGCACAATCACAACTCGTTGTAACCTCGAACTCCTGGCCTCAAGTGATCGTCCTGCCCCGACCTCCCAAGTAGCTACGACTACAGGCACATGCCACCATGCCCAGCTAATCATTTCCCAAGTTTTTGTAGTAAACATGTACTTATAGATAATTAAAGTATTGAAAATAGTGGATAGGTGTAGAGGAATTTCTATCAGGAGATTGTTGGTGAGAATCCCGAATCACTGCACTCTGTATTTCATCAAAGAAATAAAAAGTTATTGACACACTAGGGAGTCTTTCATTCTACACATTGTGGGTCTCTATTTGTTAACTTCACAGGGAGAAAACAGAATGACTGGAAGACTAAGAACATTACAGGAATGTATACTTGGCTTCTCTGTCAACCAGATGTCTGTACTGCTGCCCTAAAATATACTGGGAACCTAATGCCTTTCTGAAAAATCAGTCCAATGTTTGTAAACAGGGAAGTTGCAATATGGACAGTGAAGTCACCTGAATTGTTTTTTTAAATAAATATTTTGAGTATTTCTTTCCACATATCTTGATCTTTCACCTCATTTTTGCTTAACTTAAATTTTTCTCTTTTGCTTTTGGATCAGCTGAAAAGCCCATATAAGTTTACAGCATTAACAGCATATAGCACTGTGATATTTTGCAACTTGAAGCCAAGTTAAACATATGGACATTTTAACGTTATTTTGTTGAAAACCTTTCTTTGGAATGCCTTTTATTCACTTTTAGGCAGATCTAATTATAGATGGAGTTTTAGCTTGCATGTTAAGCACATGATGTGGGATGTCTGAACATGCAAGAAGGGGCCAAATCTCTCCTATGGGAGCAGGAAAATCCTTGGGTTGCACTGGAATTTTTAAAAATATTAACTATTGCTCCAGTAATAATAGTCATTCTCTTGGGCCTCCAACTATCTTACTTATAGCACATTTTTATTATAATATAACTTAATCTGCAAAGTTAAATGTATAAAATTAAGCTGACAGTCTCAATTTTTATGTTTATCATCAATGTAACTTTTAAAGGAGATAGAGTTTGCCTATAAGATGCTCCAGTAACTCTTGATAGTGTCACTCTGCACCCTGCCCACCCAAGGGTCACAGGTGACCTCTGCAACAATTCATGCAACAATTGTTAATTGGACACCTATTGTATGTGTGAGCCAATGCTGGGGCCTCTGGAGACTGCAACTCTTAAATAACATGCAGTCCTTACAATCACACTAGACTGAAAGGGTCATGCAGCACTTGGCTGCGCCCACATAGAACAGCATGGAAGGGTGAGTTTAAGGGAGACTTCATACAGGCAACCGCCTCCCGAGCTTCGCCCATGACAGTCTCTACATCACAGAGTTGTTTTGGGAGTCAAATAAGATATTATATGATAATAAACTTACTTCATTGTCTGGTTCATAGAAACCTCTGAGATATCTGTTTGATGTTTTTACTATTATTGGAAATCTTGAACTGTTTTCCTCGGATGATCCAGAAAAGATGCTTGAACTCTTCACATTTTCTTCCTGACTTCACAATATTACATACAAAATTATAAATCTAAGAAGTGCTTTCCTAGAAGAAACTTTGTTAGAAACAGAGCACTGTGGGGGTCTTTGATTTAACACAGGGTTGGGGTGGGTGCTGGGGGGGTGCCTCTGACCAGTGGAGATGGCTCAGAGAGCCAGACGGTGGTGGCCAGGAGTCACTGTGGGAGCCTGTGAAGGTCAGTGTCAGGAGAATATACGAGATCCCAGAGAGAGAGAATCGAGCCTGCCAAACTGCAGGTAGGGCACCTGGAGGAGGACTGTGGCATTGATCAACAGGAGACGCCTGGAGCGAGTCAGAGTCAAGACCACTTGGGCTTCTCCTGGTTCTCCCTGTGGACAGACAGGCTGTCTTCACCAAGATGGGCTGTAACAGAAAGGACAGGTATTGTTTTATTCAGTAAGAATTCCATTTCCAAAATTGATTGGAATTTTATTTTTTCAATGAGAATGAATCCTATGAGTTTATCTGCTCTCCTCATTCTTATCAAAATGACAAAAAAATGTGCAAATGAAAAAAATCTAACAAGGGTGCGTGGTTTTAAGGCCCAGATATTTTTTTTTTAGAAACTTCTGGAAGATATGAAGAATTGTGATCACATGGCAGGACAAGCCAAGCAGTGCCAACCATCCATAGTCTGTTTCAGGTTGGGAGGGAGCTATCTGTGAAGTGGGCAAATCAAAAGACCCAAATGATGGGGCCAGAGAGAAGCTGGCCAGTGCCTCCACCAAAGTGGGGCTGTCATAGCAAACTGGAAGAAGATACACTGGCATCTTAGTCCACTTGTGTTGTTGTAAAGGAATGTCTGAAGCTGGGCAATTTATACAGAAAAGAGGTTTATTTGGCTTCTGGTTCTGCAGGCTGTGCAAGAAGCATGGCGCCGGCACCTGCATCTGGTGATTCAGGCTGATTCTGGGGTTCAGGCTGCTTCCGCTCATGGTGGAAGGTGAAGGGAAGCTGACATGTGCAAAGAGCACATGGTGAGAATGGAAGCAAGGGGTGGGAGTGGTGCCAGGCTCTTCTACAAAATCAGTTCTCATGGAACTAACAGAGCGAGAACTCACTCCTTGCCTCAAGGACTGCACCAAGATGCTCATGAGGGATCCTCACCCATGACCCAACCAGGACGTTCATGAGGGATCCTCACCCATCACCCAAACACCTCCCATTGTACCTCACCTCCAACATTGGCGATGAAATTTCAACACGAGGTTTGAAGGGGACAAATGTCCAAGCTTTATCAGTGGGTTGTTGATATGTTTAGGTGCAATTCAGTAAGTCTTCATCGTGCTGTGCACTGCAGGGAGTGGACAGTCTCCGCGTGGTGCCCATCCCTTCTGACAGTGCAGCTCCTGATCTACTGCAACACCTGGGAGAAGGCGGCTCTTCACCTTTAACTGAAGTGCTTGGAGATCCAGATATGAAAATGAATCCTGTTAAGACATAAGCCTCACTAAGTAAAGGACTGACATCTCTAATCAAATCAAATAAGATGATGTAAAGTCCATGCAGTAGGTTGCTTGCATTGTTAACATAGGGATATTTTTGCTCTTCCTATGAGCATAAAGCAATGATTTCAAATCTTGTTGCTATATGTAAGATGTTTACTCTTTGTTTTAAAGTTAGTTTTTCTCTAAATAGAAAAATAATCCACAATCCTACTAAATTATCAAGAAGCAAATAAAGTACAAAAATGAAAATCCTCTTTGCATCTCAAACATCCCCTCTCCTGCCTGCAGCCACCACTGTTATTAATAACTTGGCGTAAAGAGACTCCTCCCAGAGGTATTCTGTATGTGAATTCATGTATCTGTAAATGGACCTGTATGTGAATGCACACACACAACCACACACCACACACACACGCCACACATACACACACCACACTCACCACACATACACACACAGCACACACACACCACACAACCACACACATACACAGCACACACACACCACACAAACCACACACACCACAAACCACACACACCACACACACACCACACAAATACACACCACATACACAAAAATACACACACCACACACATACCACACACACCACACAGCACACAAATACACACGCAAATACACACACACCACACACAAATACACACTCATACACACCATACACACACAAATACCCATATACACCACACACAAATACACACACGCACATACACACAAATACACATACACCACACACACACAAGTACACATACACTACACCACACACACACCACACGCCACACATACACATACCACACACACAACCACATACACATACACACACACCACACACAAAAATACCACACACACAAATACCACAGACATGCACAAATACACACCACACACACACCACACACACAAAAATACACAAATACGCACACACACCACACACACATACACACGCACCATACACACACAAATACCCACATACACACACACCACACACAAATACACGGACATACACACAAATACACATACACACACCACACACACAAGTACACACACACCACACACAAATACACACACACAAATACACACATACACCACACACACAAATACACGCACACATATACACACATCACACACACATACACACAAATATACACAGACACAAATACACCACACATGCAAATACACACACCCACATATACACACATACACACCACACGCACAGATACACACACACGCAAACACACACACCACACACACACACATACACACATACACACCCCACGTGTAAAGCAAAAACAGAATTTATTCTCTACATATCATCTTTAACTTGCTTTTAAAATTTATTATGGACATCATAAATACCTTCCCATTTCGAGAAGTAGGAGCCAGCCTCTTTCTTCTGAGAGTTATGACTCAGAACCCACTGAGAGTGGAGGAACAGCGAGGCAGCCAGAGGTCGCATTGACCCCTTTCCAGACTGGGGCTGCTGAAGAACGTGCTTTGGGGGCACTGCTCTGAGGCTGTGCAGTTGCTGGAAGACCTGCGCCCCGAAGACCCCGCCCCAGCAGCAGGGGCCTCGATTGCTAAGCTCAGGGTCTGGCCTGGCCATGAGCCAGGAAAAAGATGCATGCTCAGGTCCTGTTCCAAATCTGCCAACTAGAACTCAGGCTTCCTTCTCTGGGATTGAAGAAGGGCAGAGACATGCTGGGACTGTTACCTGAAGCAACCTCTGTCTACACAGAAACTCCAAGGAACGAGAAAGGAAATTCCCCAATGCATAGGATTCCTGAATATGAGCAAAATGTATGTGACCATTCCCTAATGATGGACACTTGGCATTTTTCCAACCCTTTTTTTTTTTCTTGAGACGGAGCCTCACTCTTTTGAGACAGAGTCTTACTCTGTTGCCCAGGCTGGAGTGCAGTGGCACAATCTCCACTCACGGCAACCTTTGCCTTCCAGGTTCAAGCGATTCTCCTGCTTCAGCCTCCCAAGTAGCTGGGACTACAGGCACACGCCACCAGGCTCGACTAATTTTTGTATTTTTAGTAGAGATGGGGTTTCACCATGCTGGCCAGGCTGTTCTTGAACTCCTAACCTCAGGTGATCCATCTGCCTCGGCCTCCCAAAGTGCTGGGATTACAGGCATGAGCCACCATCCCCAGCCTCTTTTCAACCTTTTTTATTGCCACTCATGTTGAAGTTAATATCATTATGCCTACAACTTTATTCACTCATTTATTATTTGTCTATGGTACATTCCTAAATGTGGAACTATTGGATTAGAGTATCTCCACATTTGAAATGCTAATAGGTATTGCCAAGTTAATTTCCAAAATGGTTTTATTGATCTGTAATCCTACAATCCTACGTGATAGAGCACTTGTTTCCTACTCTCTGGTCACCAGTGAATATTACCATTATTTATACATTTTGCTAATGTTATAGGCAAATGTATAGATGTGTATGGTATGTAGACACATACACATACACATATACACACATATGTACATGTATGTATGCATGCACTTATAAAAACAGATGTAAATACAATAGCTGTTCAAATCTGCATTTCTTTAACTAGAAATAAGGTTAGCTTCTTTTCACGTATGTATTGGTCATCTGTCTTTTTCTTTCTTTAATAAAATGCTTATTCATATCCTTTGCCAATGTTTTGAGTTATCTTTTTTCTTTGGATTGTTGCAGCCTTTTGTATAAATCATAGATACCCATTTTTTCTTTCATATATTGTGAATATTTCCATAAAAGCTGTCACTTGTCTTTTAACTTTATTTTAAAAATCTGTTAATTTTTTTTTTTTTTTTGCGTAATCTGTTAAACCTTTCTTTTATACCTTCTGGAGTTAGTGTATTTAGGAATTTTCTCTACCCCATGATTATTAATATATTTCTTTATTTTTTGAGTACCTATATAGAATTCTTTTTTTAATTTGGCTCCTTAAGTAATCTGGAATTTGCCTACCATTATGGCAGAGAATGCAACCTTGTTTTCCTCCAAGGAGTTAGTCATTTAGCCCATCCTCTGCTCACTGATTGGATGGGCTGTCTTGTTTCAAATATCAGGTCCTCACCTCATTCATGCTTGGGTCTGTTCCTCTTCTCAATGTTTCTGACGTGTGCTGTCAACCTAAACAACAGAGAGAGACTCTGTAAGAGAAAATGGTACTGATTTGGGAATAGAGTATTGCAGTGGGGATATGCATGCCACAGTAAGCTGTGTGCATACCCAGGGAGGTAAGGAAGGACAAAGGTTTGTAAAGGAGAAATGGAGAGGATTACAGCATTGTTTTGAGATCATCACTGGCTGCGAAGTCAATAACAAGAATAACAAGTGTGGCACCAGTCTGAGGTTGCACAGGCAGTTGTCTTTTTTCTCACACGGGAAAATCATTATATCATTGTCCACCGCATGGAACTCCCCCAGTTCCTGGCAGCCACCATTCCGCTTCCTGTGTCTAAGAGCTTCGCTACTTGAGGTGCCTCATATGATCAGAATCACGTAGAATATGTCCTGTGGCTGACCGGTTTCCCTTCGCGTAATGTCTTATGTACACCGGGACGGTTCAGTCTTAAAAAGGAAGAGAATCCTGTTATATGTGACAACATGGATGAACATTTTCCTCTTCATTCAAACATTTCACCAGAATAAATGCAGGTGGGGCATTCGATTCATCTTTCCTGGTGCCCTGTGACTCCTTTACGACCTTTACTCAGCTTGGGAAGCCCTTTTCCCAGCATCTCATCTCAGACCATGGATTCCCACCCGACGAGACCCGCTGTGCACCGATGCCCGAATCCTATCCTCCTGGAACTTTATCTTGCTTATTCCATGCGCCTCCAGTCTGTCTTCTCGGCGTCTTCATTTCTTCACTCTGTCTGAGTTCTAGGGGGTTTTCCAAGCTTGTCTGATCGGATGCGTCGTCTAGGTCTCTGTGGTGACGGCGTGGTGAGAGGTGGAGAGGAGGAGGGGCAGGTGAGCAAACAGCACGGAGTTGAGGGTTGGGGGTGGGGTGAGAGGCAGCACCAATGGAGGAGCCCCTGCAAGGGAAGAAATGTGTCCAGGAGAGCAGCGGGGCCGCGGGACCAGGAGAGCTACCCGCCAAGGCCCCGTGATCAAGGAGCAGTGCTTCTTTCGGGAACACAGAGAGAGACTCTGTAAGAGAAAGGTCCTGTTCCTTTCTAAGGTACTGTTCCTTCCACATTTTCTCTAAGGTCCTGTTCCTTTCTAAGGTCCTGTTCCTTTCGCATTTTCTCAGCCCTCTCCCGCCCCTCTTTTGCCTTCCACCCCCTCCCTTCTTCCCCCAGGGGCTCCTTTACCATTTCTTTCACACCACTCCTTGCCCAACACAGCTGGGCCCTGGGTAAGGAGGGATGGGCAGAGCAGGCGTGACTCCGGCTTCCTGGAGGAAGGCCTCAGTGCGGGGAACAGCATTTCAAGCTGTGATTTCAGTGGAGGGTGACAGTGACTGGGGCAGGGACCCTCAGGGATTGGTCAGAGCAGATGTCCTCATCAGCCCCTGGAAGGGGAAGAGGTGGCTCTGGATGGGAAGGACAGACGGGCACGGGGAGGGACGGGAACAGGGTTCACAGCAGGAGAAGCGGCACGGGCCATGGAGCCTCTGGAGCCCGGGAGGATGATGCTTCTTTACAGTTCTGCTGGCAGAGCAGGGCAGGTGGACTCCTGAAGGTCAGGAATATTTTTTTCGAAAGGAGACTCTAAGAACTAATTATTATTATTATTTTTTTTTCTTTTTCTTTTTTTTTTTTTATTATACTCTAAGTTTTAGGGTACATGTGCACATTGTGCAGGTTAGTTACATATGTATACATGTGCCATGCTGGTGCGCTGCACCCACTAATGTGTCATCTAGCATTAGGTATATCTCCCAATGCTATCCCTCCCCCCTCCCCCGACCCCACCACAGTCCCCAGAGTGTGATATTCCCCTTCCTGTGTCCATGTGATCTCATTGTTCAATTCCCACCTATGAGTGAGAATATGCGGTGTTTGGTTTTTTGTTCTTGCGATAGTTTACTGAGAATGATGGTTTCCAATTTCATCCATGTCCCTACAAAGGATATGAACTCATCATTTTTTATGGCTGCATAGTATTCCATGGTGTATATGTGCCACATTTTCTTAATCCAGTCTATCATTGTTGGACATTTGGGTTGGTTCCAAGTCTTTGCTATTGTGAATAGTGCCGCAATAAACATACGTGTGCATGTGTCTTTATAGCAGCATGATTTATACTCATTTGGGTGAACTCCCATTCACAATTGCTTCAAAGAGAATAAAATACCTAGGAATCCAACTTACAAGGGATGTGAAGGACCTCTTCAAGGAGAACTACAAACCACTGCTCAAGGAAATAAAAGAGGAGACAAACAAATGGAAGAACATTCCATGCTCATGGGTAGGAAGAATCAATATCGTGAAAATGGCCATACTGCCCAAGGTAATTTACAGATTGAATGCCATCCCCATCAAGCTACCAATGACTTTCTTCACAGAATTGGAAAAAACTACTTTAAAGTTCATATGGAACCAAAAAAGAGCCCGCATTGCCAAGTCAATCCTAAGCCAAAAGAACAAAGCTGGAGGCATCACACTACCTGACTTCAAACTATACTACAAGGCTACAGTAACCAAAACAGCATGGTACTGGTACCAAAACAGAGATATAGATCAATGGAACAGAACAGAGCCCTCAGAAATAATGCCGCATATCTACAACTATCTGATCTTTGACAAACCTGAGAAAAACAAGCAATGGGGAAAGGATTCCCTATTTAATAAATGGTGCTGGGAAAACTGGCTAGCCATATGTAGAAAGCTGAAACTGGATCCCTTCCTTACACCTTATACAAAAATCAATTCAAGATGGATTAAAGATTTAAACGTTAAACCTAAAACCATAAAAACCCTAGAAGAAAACCTAGGCATTACCATTCAGGACATAGGCGTGGGCAAGGACTTCATGTCCAAAACACCAAAAGCAATGGCAACAAAAGACAAAATTGACAAATGGGATCTAATTAAACTAAAGAGCTTCTGCACAGAACTAATTATTTTTTAAAAATTACTAGATTTCAAGAAAAAATGATTTTTCATGTAAACATATCAGATATGATGATTTTAGAGAAAATTCAGTTAACTTTTAATATTCTTAAACCAGTAAAGGGATTCCAGACCTTGAAATGTTGCATTGCTGCATACGCCAACATCATGTGAAAAATTCATATATCTAAACCCCCAACACAGGCACACAAATACTTTCCCAAGAGCCTCACAGTTTCCAGAAAAGTTGTGAATTCTGAGGCAACATAGTTTTTTTGTTTTTGAGGTAGGGTCTCACTCTGTCACCCAGGCTGGAGTGCAATGACATGGCTCCCTGTAGCCTGGACATCCTAGACTCAAGCGATTCTCCTGCCTCAGCCTCCCAAGTAGCAGGACTACAAGCATGCTCCACCACACCTGGTTAATTTTTACATTTCTTGTAGAGATGGGGTCTCACTACATTACCCAGGCTGATCTCAAACTCCTGGACTCAAGCGATCTTCTTGCCTTGGCCTCCCAAAGTGCTGGGATTACAGGAGTGGGCCATCATGCCTGACCCTAAGGCAATATTCTAATTAACAAATTGGTTTGTACACATTCACACGTTTTGCAGTATGTAGGTTATTGTTTGAAGCTTTGAGAACTCTCCAGTTTCTAGAACTGCTGAAGAATCTAGGCCTCTGCCTCTCTTGCTCAGATTCTAAACAATGGAGATGTGTGGGTTTGGCTCAGCAATGCTAAAACATTTAGTAAAACAGGACAACAGCTAAAAGTATCGAAAGCTTAATGTGCAGGATAGGTTGAATTTGCTAAAGGAGCAGTTTTTGTGGCACTGGAGAAACTGAGCATGTTTTGGTGTCTGCCTGGGCTGCACGTCCTCATCCTGTAGGGTCCCTATGTGTCTGGGTCTCAGCAGAGGCTGAGGCTTTGGCGGACGCCCATCATGGACAGACACATCCACATGGGGGTGGGGCAGCCTGGTCCTCACACATCCCGGCGCCCCGGCCTGTCGCCTGGAGACTGCAATTATGCACAGAAGACGCCAAATTGCTGCGTATTTCCAAACATTTGGAATCCTAATCCCTTCAGGAAAGTTTTTTCTTGGATGCCACACCAAATCTAAATGGCAGAAACAATTCTTGTGATTAGGTGCAGGTTGTATGTAAAGGGAAAGAACCCTGGAAAAGTGACCTGGGTTTTGATGTGGACATTTAAAGGCTTTAGCAAGATGCTTTGGTGATTTGGCCTCGGTCTCCTCAACAGAGAATGAAAGGGATGAACCGAACAAAGCCTTTTAAGCTTGAGAGGGTCTGAGGAGAGAATATGCTCTCTGTAAGTTTCACGCCCCCTGAAACTTACAGGAGACACCTGTGCCACCTAACAAATGTTTCTAGGGAAACAGCAAATGCGAATGCTTCCGAGTAACCAATCGGTGCGCACACTCCCCCGGCCCCACCACAAGAGGGCGGTGTGACTAGCAAATGAAGCGTAGAAGACCCATCAGCAGTGGAGGTTGCTGGGGACAACGGCTGATGAAGCCTTCTCACGGTGCAGGGTAAGCTCGAGCAGCTCAGCTCCAGGTGATGTGTTCTCTTCCTCTGAAGCGGAGCCTCACATTCCAATGGATAGGAGGAGGTTGAGTCATTAATGTAGCCGTGCTGCCCTATCCCAATGATGGGTTACAAGCACAGGGTCACCAAAACGGTAGGTGAATCACCACCCTACTAGTCCATACTTGCTCCCTCTTCCCAGCTCAACACTCAGACGAGGATAACGATTTCTATTGTGCAACCCAGTATTACACAGAAGAGGTGCACTGGGAGGTGGCGGCTCCTCCAACTCAGAAGAGATGGAATCCTCAAAGCATGAGGCAAGGCAGGAGGGGCAGAGGGCCAGGGAGGTGGCATAGCATTGCATGTTCTGCGTCTGTATCGACCAAACACATGAAAAACCTACAGAATGCACTGCATTCCATAGTGCTTTGGAGACCCGTCTCCATTCTCTCCCATCTTGAATCTGCTGGAGCCAGAAGAATGCCTCTCAAGAGCTGAATGGGGCAGGGCTGAGCACTGCAACCTGTGTGCATGAAAACAACTGAAAAGCAGTTCTCAGGAGGGCAAAGGCTCAGACACTGCACGACTATTCCTCGTTCCTGAGTTTCTCCAAACCTGCACTAGACCATCAAGGGGCAAATAAAAATCAACCACCCCCAGATAGCAAGTCCTCGTATAGGACTAGAGGTGGATATTGAAATTAGTAAGCATTAGAGAGGAACCGGAAATACACCAAAGCAAAGCAGAATATAAAATGGAAGGACAAAGATGAAAATAACTTGAAAAGTGTACTTTACATGAGAAAAATACTTAATAAAAGTCTGCGTATTTACTTCTGAGTAAATTATAGAAGATGGAGGAAGAACAGGGATTGTTAAAGAAGAATGAGAAACATGCAAAGCGACTTATTCTATATAGGGGGAATTAAAAGAGGAGTTTATTTTTGGTTCTTAAGTAGATTGACAACAACAATATCATTATAGACCAGTGACTTGTTCCACAGATAATTACTGAGCATCTGATACACATAGCACCGTTCTGGCACAAACAACTTAAAAGACACAGAGTACGGAAAGCTGGAAATTAAAACAAATAAAATGGCTAATTGGTAGTTTGTCAATTAGCCAATTTACCCAAAAGACAAAGGCCTTTTGGCACGGACAATTCATCCAAAGGCAAATTTGGCTAAATGATTTCTTGTCATAATAGCATTATAGTCATAAATAGATATTTCATTCTTTCTAATCAAAATTCCGACAATCTCAGATTTGGTGGAAAAAAAAAATCTCCAAGCAGCATGGAACACAGCACGAGCTTTGCAACCAGATAAATTTGGGTTCAAATCTCAGTTGGCCATTGATTAGCTGTTGAGTCTTTACCCTGCTACTTAATTACCTCAACCAAAAAACGGAGCTCATAGCTGTGCCTTCGAGGATTGCAAACATCAAATGAACCAAACAGTCCCAAGCAAATCGATGCTCAACACCGTATCAAGAAATACGAGGAAGAGGAGGAATTGCTTAAAATTAACACTTAAAAATGTATTAACACATAAAAGAAAAAATTGAAGAGTGGGGAAAAAGTGCGTCTACTTGACACAAATACAAAGAAAGCAAAAATTTAAGAATGCTTCAGAAGTATTTGAAAAGCATCAAATGGAAAAAAGTTCACGTTATAATAAAAGATAAAATCCGTGAATATAAAAAGTGCTAAACTTTGTTGACTTAATAATATGTAGGTTTAAAGTAGTCAGAAATATAAGGTTACACAAAAACGCAAATAGAGCAAAAGATATCAAAGTACTGTGTCCGGAGTTGGTGGGTTCTCGGTCTTGCTGACTTCAAGAATTAAGCTGCGGACACCCGCAGTGAGCGTTACAGTTCTTAAAAATTGCGTGCCCGGAGTTTGTTGCTTCAGATGTTCAGACGTGTCCTGAGTTTCTTCCTTCTAGTGGGTTCATGGTCTCGCTGACTTCAGAAGTGAAACTGCAGACCTTCGCGGTGAGTGTTACAGCTCAGAGAAGCAGCACTAACCCAAAGGGTGACCAGCATTAAGATTTATTACACAGAGCTGAAGAATACAGCTCCCAGCGTACAGACCTGGATCCAAGCGGGTTACTGCTGCTGGCTCTGGTGGCCTGCTTTTATTCCCTTATCTGGCCCCACCCACATCCTGCTGATTGGTCCATTTTACAGAGAGCTGATTGGTCCATTTTACGGAGAGCTGATTGGTCCGTTTTGACAGAGTGCTGATTGGTGCATTTACAATTCTTTAGCTAGACAGAGTGCTGATTGGTGCATTTACAATCCTTTAGCTAGACACAAAAGTTCTCCAAGTCCCCACCCGTGCCGGAAGCCCAGCTGGCTTCACCGCTCTCTGGCACTGCAGCGGGACTTTGCCACACCTAACCCAGACAGTCTGGCAGCCCAGAGGGAGCTCATTCGAGACAACCAAGAGGAAGAGGGGGGAAGTGAGAAAGAGACGGAGGCCCCCCATCGTGGCCAAAGACCCCGCGAAGAGGGAAGGGGGGCCCACGCATGGGAGCCAGCTTCCAGTCAAACCCAGCCGGCATTGGCAGGCCCCACGGAGTGCGGGGCCGCTGATCCCACGCCCACACAGAACCGGTGCAGGCCCACGAGCACCGCGACCAGCCCCACGTCTCCCTCCACACCTGTCCGCGAGCAAAGGGAGCTGGCTCCAGCCTCGGCCAGCCCCAAAGAGGGGCCCCCACAGCGCAGCGGCGGGCCGAAGGGCTCCTCGAGCGCGGCCAGAGTGGACGCGGAGGCCGAGAAGGCGCCGAGAGCAAGCGAGGGCTGCTAGCACGTTGTCACCTGTCAGTACCGTGGGCTTTTGCCACACAAAGTGGATGAAAAACAACAAAAATAATATAGTTTAATTTCAACAAAAAATAATATAGTTTAATTTCTCAGTGCCCTCCAGCATTGAAGACCACTGAGTACACATCTATAGTTAAGCAAGTCGGATTTATCGCTCAGCGTCACAAAGGAGAATGTATGCCACGGTGATCTGGGCTTGTGCTTGGTGATTTGGGGGGAAGAGTTTAAGGAAGGGGGACTTTTCTCTGCAGAGGTAATTCTCTGTGTAACCTAAGGAATCTTACGTAGGGGAGGAAAGTCAGAATGAGGCTGTGATGGGTAAGGAAGCACCTGCCATTCTTCTTAGATGGGAGAAGGGCACGTTTTGGTACTTTGCACGTGATACTGTTGTTGTCTCTGCTTAGACAAGACTCCAGAGTGGTGGTGTTTGTTGCCTCACTTTATCATGGTAATGAAAGGACTCGTCTGATGTATTAGTCCATTTTCACACTGCTGATAAAGACATACCCGAGACTGGGTAATTTATAAAGAGAAAGAGGTTTAATGGACTCACAGTTCCACATGGCTGGGGAGGCCTCACAATCATGGCAGAAGGCGAAAGGCATGTCTTACGTGGCAGCAGGCAAGAGAGAGAATGAGAACCAAGCGAAAGGGATTTCCCCTTATAAAACCATCAGATCTCATGAGACTGATTCACCACCACGAAAACGGTATGGAGGAAACCATCCCCATGATTCAATTATCTCCCACCAGGTCCCTCCCACAACATGTGGGAATTATGGAGCTACAATTAAAGATGAGATTTGGGTGGCAACACAGCCAAACCATATCATTCTGATGTTGTGTTCTTTAAGATTGCTTATGTTCAACAAGGAACACCAGGACTGAGCTGTGAGTGTCCAGCCTGCTGCCAATGTCAGAGGCTTTTTTTTCTCTTTCTTAGACTCCTTCTCAGATTGGTAGCTTGAAACGTGTTTCAAAGATAGAATGCCCCTTACTTAAAGCATCAGTGGACTATCTGCGAAAATGATCTTATATTTGTCATTTTAAAAATCTCATTAATTTTTTCACCCTTATTTTGTTAAGGATCTTTGCATTCATGTTAATGAAGGAAGTTGTTCTGTACTTTTCTTGTCATGTCTGTTTTTTGTTGTTGTTGCAGGATAATATTGACCTCATAAAATGAGTTGGAAAGTGTTCCTGTTTTTCTGTGTTCTGAAATAATTTGTGTAAGGGTGGTGGTATTTGCTCCTTGAATATTTGATATGTTTCTAGTGAAACGATTAAGGCTGCTGTTTTCTTAGAGGGAAAGTCCTTAGTTATGAGTTCAAACCGTTCAAAGAGATATAGGACTATTCAGACATTTTATTTCTAATAATAATTATCTAATAAAATACTTTAGTATATAGTACATATTAGTACTAAAACATATTTAGTACTAAGCTTTCAAAAGAAACCTGTTAATGAGGTTATATATCTTGATGCAAAAACTATGGTGATACTAAAGGGAAGTACAGGGGGAAAAAGAGATATGTTTAAGAATTAACAAAGCGTAGCCCTAAATAAATACTGGATGTCAGGGCTACAAGAGAAGAATGTCTAGGCTGCCTGCCGAATTTCTGGCTTCTGTAAGCGTGCTCTTGGAGGTGTAGGCAGGAAGAGCAGCAGGCTCAAGGGACAGAGACGCGGCTGTTGCACAGACTCATGGGATCTGAGATGCCTTTCTGGCATTCAGGTGGATAAACTCCATCAGCAAGAGTTCCATGGCAGCAGCTTGGAGGAGGACGGGGCGGGAGTCAGGTTAGGCATTTCCAGCAAAAAGAGGGCAGCTGGAGCCTGCGGTGTGAATGGATTCACTCAGGGGATGGTCAGAGAGTTCACTCAGAAAGGACCAGAGAGGATCAGGAGCCAGGGGAGACTTAGAGGTATATGTTTTGGTGGATTATGTGCTTTTTAAGGTAGGTGTGGCTAAGGGGCTGGGTAGGAAGGAGATTCAGAAGAGAGGATGATCATTGATTAAATAGGTTTTCAATGAGAGTTTTAGTAAATCCAAGGTTCTAAGGGTGAGTTTCTCCTTAGACAAGAGGACAGACACCTTGTCCTCAATGAGAAGGAAGGTAGGAGGACAGAGTAGGGAAAGGCTCCCCCATGGAGCTCTTGGGCGTCTCTGCGTAGGTGAGTCTCAGCCTCAGTCGGACCCATGTCTTGGCAGAACACTCTGTGATCCTTCCTGGGATTCAGCAAGCAGGGCAGTCTCGTAAGGGTCATCTGTAGGTCATTTTCCATCCACTTCCCTGTCCTATAGGAGGCTCCCTGTCTTGTGAGGGGCTGCCACAAGACACTGTCTTATCCACTTCCCTGGTTCCAGTGAGAAGTAAAACTTTCCACATGCCCCCCTTAGGGCATAGCTCCAGCTATAAAGGTGCTTGGTTGTATTTTAGAGTGAGATATCCCAATGGAGCAACCCACTCCTCATGTCTGTCATCTGGCTTCTCCAATTTGGTGTCATCCTAGGGATGTGGAAAGCTGACATTATGATGATGTTGCTTATGCCGTTAGTGTAAGTGATAAACAGTCTAAAACCATCTCCATATTGACCAGATCTATGTGGTCTGAATGTAGGTTTCATGTTGCAGCCTAATATCCAATGCGATGGTATTAGAAAGAGCAGCCTTGGGAGGTGATTGCCTCAGGAAGGTAGAACCCTCATGAGTGGCATTAGTGCCCTTATAAAACAGACCCCAGAGAGCTAGCTGGTCCCACCCACCCAGTAAGGACACAGCAAGATGGTGCTATCTGTGAGCCAGAAAGTGGGCCCTCACTAGACACCAAATCCATCTTGACTTTGGACTTCCCAGCCCCCAGAACTGTGAGAAATCAATTTTTGTTGTTTATAAATATTCAGTCTGTGGTATTTTATTATGGTAGCCTGCATGGTCTAAGGCGTGTGGCCACTCAATTTTGTGATGAAGTCAGTGGTGCTGCTGGGGATAGTGTAAGGCTTGACAGGAAGTGTGGGCAAGAGGGTGGGCAAGACGGTGCTCATTCTGTCTGAGAAGTAGGCAAGGTGTTCTAGGGCAGTGGTGAAGACAAAGTTCAGGAGATGGTGAATGTTTTGAAAGGAAAGTTTAATATGTTTTCAAATTATTTATTTGCTTTTTTTGAGAGTGGATCTCACTTTGCAACCCATGCTGGAGAGCAGTGGCACCATCATAGCTCATTGTAACCTGAAACTCCTGGGCTCAAGCCATCCTCCTGCCTCAGCCTTCTGAGTAGCTGGAACTACTGGTGCACACCAGCACTTCTGGCTACTTTTTTCTTTTCTTTTCTTTTTTTGTAGAGATGGGAGTCTCACTACATTGCACAGGCTGGTCTCAAATTCCTGGCCTCAAGTGATCCTCCCGCCTCAGCCTCCCAAAGTGCTAGGATTACAGGCATGAGCCACTATGCCTGGCCTAGAATGGGTAGTTTAGAACAGACCAGCATCTCTGCATGTGCCTGTGTCCTGTAGGAAAGACCCAAACTCTCTGGAGGTCTCGCTACCCAAGGAAACATGAGCCTGGCCGGCTTCTGGATGTGGGGAAGCCTTTCACAGAGAGCAGGGTTCCCCATTGCTGAATTAACCTCTTGTCCTGAAAGAAGTAATGGTCTCGTTCTGGGACATCTCATATCCCTCATGGTCCCAAATTGGGCCCTGTGCAGCACAGATAGAATTGAGGAGGAACCTCTCAGTCCAGAGGGACGAAACTTCACCTAGAAATGAAGCAATATCTTTCTCAGCAGCTGCTCACTGAAAAAGTAGGGTGCCTTGGCTAATGTGAAGGGTGGGGTCCCAGAGATGAGGCCTCCAGAGGTTCTGGCGGGAGAAACACGTGGGATTTTGTGGAGTACAGTTCAAGAGCCATAGGTCTGCTGCAAACCCGCACTATGACTGTCTCATGGAAGAGCAAACGAGGACACTGAGGCTCTGAGCAGTGAAGCAATATGCCCGGAAGCAGGCAGGCAGACAGTGGCAGGACCAATGCCGACAGCCGGTTTCTGAGTCTGGAATACCAAGTTTGTTGGGGAAATGTTCCAAATAGGTGTCAGGAGGGCACAGGGCCAGGGCCAGGTGAGATGTGTGCAGAGCAAGGTGGGAATGAGGGGTCCCTGAGGATAGCACTGGGGTTGAGGTGGAAGAAAAAGGGAACCCGTGCCAAGCTCTTCTTTCCTTAACAAATGTTTACCGAGTATCTCCTCCGTGTCGGTGTGACATTAGGTGCAAAGGACAAGGCAACGGGGACTGTTTCTGTCTGTGTGGCACATCGAGTCCTGTGGAGAGAGACTCCCAGCAAGGAGTAATGCTTTTGCATATAACAAGACTTACACGTGACTATAGATTCCACTTGCACCATGCTTTTCGTGGACTCATTTGTTCAGGGATGTGGATGTAATTGACATTCCATTTTACTAAGCACATCGTGTTATTCCATTCTCATGACAACACCCGGTTTATGGATGAGATATCTGGAGGTTGCATGGTTTTCGTAACTTGCTGAGGGTGTCACAGCTGGGAAAGACAAGAACCAGGGTTCCTACCCAGCTCTGTAGGAGTCAAAAACCCAGGCCCTTGGCACCTGCACAACACCTCTGCCTCATTTCTCAGTGAGCTCTTGTTTTGTCTGCTCTCTACCCTTGTGCCCCCACACGCTGTCATCTCCTGCCCTCCTTTGGAAGCATGAGGCTGGGGGTCACAGAGGGAAGCTGGCCCCTCTGGAATGGTCCAGGTCTGTTCAGTGGATGGGAGGGGCATTGGGCTGCAGAGCTCAGCCCAGGGGTGCACATCTGGGAGCCTGTCAACCACAGGGTCCGCCTGTAGACCCAGCAGAGAGCATCGTCACAGGAGCCAGCCTTGGCCCGGGACATTCAGTTAGAACAGCTCATTTATTTGGCAAATTCCACTCCCAAGTTGGAAGTCATGTTAGGATTTGCTCATGGGTGCAGGGTATTTCTGGAACATTGAGTGCAGATGAACAATGAAATTCCTCCCTGGAGGGCACCTAGGAGAACTTGCGGGCTTATTAAAATCGCAGCAGTGGGGAGATCACTTCACTTCACAAAAGCAAACAGCAAGGTCACTTAAAAATTGTTGCCTCTTTTCTCTCATTAAAAAAAAAAAGGAATGCTTGCTTGGAGCTAGGGCTATCTTGACTTTCAGCCTGCCAGGCAAAGGGATGCTCACGTCATGGACCATTATCTGATTGTAATCTACGAATTCAGAGAAGTTTCTGGGTAAAATCATAGTGGGAAAATCGAGTTTTTGGATCTGTGTCTTCAGAACGATGCAGTTATGTGGAGGAAGGCACTCCCGGGCCTGGGCCTGCCTTGCAGCGGTGAGTTACTAAAGCTGGAGAGTTCAAACTCTCCAGCTCCGTGCAGATGTAAGTTTTCAATTAGGTTGCCTGGGTCCAAGATTAGTCAGAAACACTGCAGTAAAACTTAATCCAATCATTCTGATTCTTCTCCAAACATGATTTATCTTATGATCATCAGTACTTCGATGAAAGGGGAAACGCCAGTTCACTTTTTTTTCCCTTTGCTGTGATTCATGTGTCCATTATCCCAGAATCTGAGTCCTGTTTCAGTTTGGCAATAGCTTCCTTTGGCATTCTATTTTTGTATGATCATTAGCATTCCTTTTTTCCTAAGCTTTCATAACATTCAAGTCAGCCTTTTATATCCTTCCCCAGAAGGGCTGGAGATCTTGTAAGCTCCCGCTGTAAGCAGGGCCTGCCTAACCTTAAATGTGAAACATGTTTTAGTGCTGAAGTCATTCCTCAAAAAGCAACGTGAACTTGGGAGGCTGTGCCTGGCAGAATTCAAAGTGCCCCGTGGAGAGACTGCGGGGAAGGACAAAGAAATTGGGACCTGCCTGAGGCCATGAGTCCAGACACAGGCATGAGCTCCTTTCCTGTGCTGTGGAAGCCAGTGGGACAGAGGGTGTTGTGCTGAGGAAGCAAGCCAGTAGGACAGAGGGTGTCACCCTGGTCTTAGGGCCAATCAGTCAGGCACAGAGCATGGAGTTCAAGTCCTGCCTCCGTTGCTAATTAGCCAGGAAATCTTGAGCAAGTGGTCCCACCTGCAGTGCCTCGGTTTCCTCATCTCTCACATGAGTCTTCCTCACGGGTGGTTTTGAGACTCAAATGTCATAATGAGCATGAAATGCTGAATATCTGACCAGGCAGGTTGGATACATTCGATGTCCCCTTAGTGAGCCCCTACTGTGTGCTAGTCCTGGAGGTGCAGGGATGGAAGGTGTGGTTCCTCCCTCCTGGGAGCTCCCAGTGTAACTCAGCAGTTACCAGTTGGAGCTGTTCTGCCCCTAGGAGACACTGGATATCGTCTAGAGACATTTCTGGCTGTTGTGATTTGATGTCAGGGAGCTGCTGCTGGCATCTAGTAGGTAGAGACCAGGGATACCGCTAAACACGCTATAATGCACAGGACAGCCCTGCCCCCAGAGCAAAGGATTATACAGGCCCAAGTGTCAACAGTGTCGAGATTGAGAAACCCCGGTCCAGCTGAAGAACTTCATGGGTGACCAGGCCGTTGAAATTCAATATGACGAGGGTCTTAGTAACAGGGTGAACTCAGGGGGCAGAGAGACCACCCCTTGTTTACTCTGTCTCAGTCATTGGGTCAGACTTAGTATGACACCCATGAGGCTCCCAGTCCCTGCCCATTTTTCAGGAGAGCTGAGGTGGTCCAAGCCCAGTTTAGCACACAAGAGGGCTCCTTCAACGACCCCCATACCACCATCTAAGAAAAATCTGCCAAAACGTGTGCAAAGTATGACAGCTGCTCTGTGCCAGGCACCATGCTAGCACTGCTCCTGCCCCTGCCCGGTCAATAACTAGTGCATGGCCAGCCTGGAGCTCCTGCCCCTGAAGCCTGAGCCTTGGCCATGATCCCAGGCAATGTCTCCATAAAGACGCCTTAGGACCTCGCGGCCTAGGCACTTTTCTTACCCCAAGTCTTCCAGAACCACGGATCAGGAAGAGGTACCCAGAGCCCTGGAAAGCTCCTGGGTTGCTGAGTTCTGGGAAGAATTCCTTCCCTCCTCAGTAGGGACCTCAGACAGAAGGAGCCGTGGACGGCCGCTCTGTTAGCTGAGGCTTAGCACAGCCTGCCCCTCCCTACATCGCTGCTGGGACCCAGCTTGCTGCAACACAGCGGTTCTCAGAGTGGGGTCCCCCAAAGGCAGTACCAGCGTCACCCGGGGACCTGTTAACTATGCAAAATCTGAGACCCTACGACCTACTGCATCAGAAACCCTGGGGATAGGGCCCAGAAGCCTGTGCTATGAAGAGCCTTGTAGGTGAGTCTGACGCGGGCTGGAGTGTGAGAACATGCCTGTGGAAGGCAAGCCCCTGTGGGTGGTCAGGTAAGTCCTTCCACTGCTGACAGTGCTGGGCTGAATGCAGCTGGGTTCCCTGGGAGCCCTCTCAGTACAGTCTCTCCCGCCTGCCTGGGAAATTCACCTTCAACTCCACGAAGCCTCAGCTCCCCTCTGCAAAAAGCACAGAATTGCTTTGAAGTTAAACCATGTGGCAATCATGATCATAAAATTCTTAGGTTGGTGCAAAAACTGCGATTACTTTTGCACCAATCTAATAAATTCAGCCCCCTTAGTAGAAGGCTCTAAGTTGAAGAAGTTTACTATAGTTCCTCTGTTTTGGTAAAAAGCAACATTGAATCAATGCAGGCAGCAAGCAGGAAACATTTAAAATGGACGCCAGTGAGTCAAGACATGGAGCGCTGAAAATGCTGGGACTGCATTGGAAATGTGCATAAAACTTAAAACAACAGAGATGAGAAAGATACATTCTATCTCCATCTGGCAAGTTAAAAAAAAAAAAAAAACCAGAATGCTGGTCGTGCTGTATCTTGAGTTTGGTGATAGTTACAGGAGTTTATTCATTTGTAAAAATTCATTGAGATGAATGAATGCATTTAAGATTACATATAAAGAATATAAATTGTCCAGGCACTGTGGCTCGTGCCTGTAATCCCAGCACTTTGAGAGGTTGAGGCTTGAGGATGACTTGAGCTCAGGAGTTCAAGAATAGCCTGGGCAACATAGCAAAGCCCTGTCTCTGCAAAAAATAAAAAATAAAAAAAAATTTACTGGGCATGGTGGTGCATGCCTGTAATCCCAGCTACTCAAGAGGCTGAGATGGGAGAATCCCTTGAGCACAGGAGGTTGAGGCTGCAGTGAGCCTTGATTGCACCACTGTGCTCCACCCTGGGCAACAGAGCAAGACTCTTTCTCACAAAGAATAATATAAATTATGCCTATATGTCTATAAACATTGAAAAAAATTCTGTATTTTACAGTTTGTATGTTACACTTTAAAGTATTTCAGGTTGACAAAAAAAAAACAGATAAATGAACTTTTGGTGAAAGAGCAAGGAGACTGAGACTTTCAGGAAGTGGTACAGGCACAATGCATGCTGGGAACGGAATGGGCAGGTGGAGAATGGCCTTAGGAAGCACTGTGCAGTCTGCACCACTAGTGATGAGCTTGTGAGTGTATGGTCAAGGCAGAACTAGGTATGGACTTGTAAAATCTATTGACAATTACAACTTAGCCCTGAATTTGAGAAAGCTGGAAGGAAGTCGTCTGGAGGACTTCTTGGGTGAAAAGGCGTGCAGTAACCAGACTTCCAGACTTTTATTTACAACTGGGCATTAAAGCCAACGCTTAGTCTCAGAAGGTTGTGGTGTGAATTAGAAGCCACCTGGGAGTTGAGCAAGACTGACTCAAACTCCAGTTCCAAGCCCTGGGACAATCTAATGCTGTTTCGGAAAGTCTATAACTTCCTCATAAAGTTTCTGGGTTTTTTCCCCTTTTTTTAAAACTTCTTACAAAATGAATACACATTTTTTTTAGAACAGTTTTAGATTTACAGAAATACTGACCACAGCCTTTTCAGACTGGCTTCTTTCACTTTGCAATATGCAATTAAGGTCCCTCCCTGTCTTCACAGTTCTGTGGTTTTCTTCTTGTTGCTCAATAATATTCCATTGTATTGATGTACCCGTTTGCTTGTACAACCACCCATTAAAGAACATCTTGGTTTCTTCCAGTTTTTGGCAATTATGAATAAGATAGCTATAAACATTTTTGTGCAGGTCTTTGTATGGATATACTTTTTCAATTCAATTGAGTGAGTACTTAGGAGCACAATTGCTGGATTTTAGGGTAAGACTGTATTTAGCTTTGTAAGAAATGGCCAACTGCCTTCCAAAGTGGCTGTACCATTCTGCATTCTTACCAATAATGTATGTGAATTCTTGTTGCCCTGAACCCTCATCAGCACTTGAAATTGTCAGATTTTTGGATTTTAGCTATTGTAACAGGTGAATAGTGGTGTCTCGTTGTTTTAATTACAATTCCATAGTGACAAATGGATATGAACATCTTTTTATATACTAATTCACCATCTGTACATCTTTTTTCATGAGATATCTGTTCAAGTCTTTTGTCCATTTCTAAATGAGTTGTTTCTTTTCTTAGATTTGAATTTTAAGAGTTCTTTGTATATTTTGTTCTTTATAAGTTACGTATTTTGCAAATATTTTTCTTTCAGTTTGTGGCTTGTTTCTTCTCTCTTAATAGTGTCTTTGGCATAGCAGAATTTTTAAATTTTAGGGAAGCCTAAACTATTAATTTTTCTATCATAGGTTGTGCTTTTGGTGTTGTATCTAAAAACTCATTGCCAAACCCAGAGTCACCTAGATTTTTCTCCTATGTGATAGTCTAGAAATTTTATAGTTTTACATTTTATATTTAGCTCTATGACCATTTTGAGTTAATTTTTGTGAAAGACATGAAGTTTGTATCTCGATTTTTTTTGCATATGGATGCCAAATTGTTCCAGTATCATTTTTGAATAGAATATGCTTTCTCTATTGAATTGCCTTTGCACTTTTGTCAAAGATAAGTTGACTATATTTGTGTGGGTCTATTCTATTCCATTGATCTATTTGTCTATTCTTTCACCAATACCAATTGTCTTGATTACTATAGCTTTATAGTCAGTCTGGAAGTTGGGTAGTGTCAGTCTTCTGACTTTGTTCTTCTTCAGTATTATGTTGACTCTTCTGAGGGTTTTGAATTTTCATGTAAGCTTTGATCAATTTATTCATGTCCACAAAATAACTCACTGGGAATTTGATCAGGATTGCACTGAATACATAGGTCAAGTTGATAAGAATTGAGATCTTAACAATATTAAGCCTTTCAATCCATAAATATGAAATATATCTCCATTGATTTAGAACTTCTTTGATTTCTTTTATCAGATTTTTGTAGTTTTCCCCATATAGGTCTTGTACATATTTTGTTAGATTTGTACTTAAGTATTTAGTTTTTATACTCATATGAATTTTTTAATTTTAAATTTCAAATTCTAATTGTTCATTGTGGGTATATAGGAAAGCAATTGATTTTTGCATATTAACTTTATATCCTTTGACCTTGTTATAATCATTTACTAGTTCCAGGGTTTTTTCTTGTTGATTCTTTGGGATACTTTATTTACATAAATAATCACATCATCTGAGAATAAAGAGTTTTATTTCTTCCTTCCCTATCTGTATATCTTTTATTTCTATTTCTTGTCTTATTGCACTAGCTAGGACTTCTGGTAAAAATGTTAATTATAAATAGTGGTAAGAGAAGACATCCTTGCCTTGATCCCAATTTTGGGGGGAGCATCCAGTTTCTAACCATTAAGTATCGTATTAGCTGTTGGATTTCTGTAGGTGTTCTTTATCAAGTTGAGGAAATTCCCTTACATTTCTAGTTTACTAAGAGCTTTGATCATGAATGGATGTTGGTTTTGTCAACAGTTTTTTTTTCTTCAATTGATGATTATATAATCATTCTTCTTTAGCAGTTGATATGATGAATTACATTAAAACATTTTTTAATGTTGAACCAGCCTTGAATACGTGGAATAAATTCCACTTGATTGTGATGTATAATTCATGTTATGCACGGTTGAATTTGATTTGCTAAAATTTTATTGAGAATTTTTGTGCCTATGCATGGGACATATTGATCTGTAGTTTATTGTAATTCTTTATTTTTGGCATTAGGGTAATGTTGGCTTTATGGAATAAATTAGAGAGTGATTTTTTTTCTCTCCTATTTTTCTGGAAGAGTTTGTAGAGAATTGGCAGTAGGTCTTCCTTAAATGTTTGGTAGAATTCATCAGTGAAACCAGCTAGGTCTGGTGCTGTCTTTTCAGAAGATTGTTATTTATTCATTCATTTAGAAATATTTATAGGCTTATTCAGATTATTTGTTTCTTCTTGTGGGAATTTTGTTAGTTTGTGTCTTATAAAACTGCAAAACTCTGATAAAACGCATTTCATCTCAATTATCAAATTTGTGGGCAAAGAGTTGGTCATAGTATTTCTTTATTATCCTTTAATGTGTATGAGATCAGCGGGGATCATTTTCTGTTTATGATAATAATACATGTCTTCTGTCTTCTTTTTCTTGGTTAGCCTGACTAGAGGTTTGCCAAATTTATTGGACTTTTCAAAGAACCCACTTGTGGTTTTGTTGATTTTGTTTATTGATTTCCTGTTTTCAATTTTATTAACTTTTGCACTAATTTTTATTATTTCTTTTCTTCTCCTTACTTTGGAATTCATTTGTTCTTCTTTTCCTAATTTCCTAAGCGGGAAACTTAGGTTACTTATTTTAGGTATTTCTTCCTTTCTAATATGTGCATTAACTACTATCAAGTTTCTTCTGAGCACTGCTTTCCCTGCATTCCCCACATCTTGATGAGTTATGTTTTCATTTATTTCAAAATATTTCTCTTTAGACTTCTTGACACATGTTATTTACTTATTTATTTGTTAGCTGACTTATTTATTTGTCAGCAAGTTTATTGTCTTTATCTTCAGAGTCCTTATAGACAATTATGGTTTGGTTTAGCTCTCATCTCAGCAGTCCGCTCCTGGGCTCTGAAGAAGGTTGCCTTCTTTTAAGCTATCTGCTTTTTCTTCTGGGCAAGGGATATTGTGGAACGGTTCCACCTCTTCTTTTAACTTCTTTTTTGGGCTTCTCTTAGACTGTATTTTGTCATATAGCAGCGTGAGTTTTCTTATACATCTCTGCTGTTGTGTCTGGAGTTAATGTTGTTCTTGATGTATTGAAAGGATTGTTTCTTGTAAGCATCTTGATCTTCTTTGATTAGGCAACACATATTATCTGCAATGTTCTGACCCGTGAGACACATATGTTGTTTGGAGGTGTGTTGTTTGATTTCCAAATATTCTGGGATTTTTCCAGCTATTTTTTATTATTGATTTCTAGTTTAACTCCCTTGTGGCTGGAGAACATACTTTGCAAGATTTATATTTTTAAATATATGTTAAGGTGCATTTTAGGGCCCAGACTGTGGTCTACCTGAGTAAAATGTTCCATGTGATCTTGAGAGAAATGTCTATTCTGCTGTGTTTGAATGAAGTCTTCTATAAATATCAATTAGGGCTGGGAGCTGTGGCTCATGCCTGTAATTCCAGCACTTTGGGAGGCTGAGGCAGGCAGATCACCTGAGGTCAGGAGTTTGAGACCAGCCTGGCCTACATGGTGAAGCCCCATCTCTAATAAAAATACAAAACAATTAGCCAGTCATGGTGATGCACACATATAATCCCAGCTACTGGGGAGGCTGACACAGCAGAATCGCCTGAACCCAGGAGGCGGAGGTTGCAGTGGGCCAAGATCGTGCCACTGCACTCCAGCCTGGATGACAGAGTGAGGGTATGTCTCAAAAAAAAAAAAAAAAAAGTCAATTAGGTCCAGCTGATCAATTGTAGCTCAGTTCAACTATATTTTTTACTGATTTTCTGTCTGCTGGAATCTATCAATCACTGAAAGAGGGATGTTGAAATCTCCAACTGTATTAGTGGATTTCTATGTTTTTCCCTATAATTCTATCAGCTTTGCCTCTTTCAGGAATGTTAGGAGAATGGATCGCTTTATCATTATGTAATGCCCTGATTTATCTGTGTTAATTTTCCTTATTATGAAGTCTACTTTGTTTGAAATTAATATGGATACTATTGCTTTCTCTTTATTAATGTTACCATGGTATACGTTTCTCCATCCATTCATTTATGTGTGTGTTTACATTTAAAGTGGCTTTCTTGCAGACAACATATAGTTGGGTCTGGTTTCTTAATCTACTCTGACCACTTGTCTTTTAACTGGTGTATTTAGATCATGCACAGTAAGAGAGATCATTGTTGATATAGTTGGATTAATATCTACCATGTTCATAATTATTTTCTAACAATTTAGATGTTCTTTGTTTCATTTTTTATCTTGTTCTTTTTTTTTGCTTTCTCTGTTTTAATTGAGCATTTTGTATAATTAAATGTTCTCTCCTTTCTTAGCATGTCCATTATATACTTAATTTTTTTTATTGGTTGCCATGGAGTTTGCAACATACGTTTATAATGGATCTAGTCCATTTCCAAATAACACTATATAGCTTCGTGGCAGTGTAGGTGCCTTATAACAGGGTATTCTCACTTTCTCCTTCCCATCCCTTATAACACTGCTGTCATCTATTTCAATTATCTATGTTATAATCACAAACTGCAGTATTAATTATTACTTAGAGCAAACCATTACCTATTAGACCAGTTAAAAACAGGAAAGAATAGGCAGTTTTATTTGATCTTCATTTATTTTTATTTAATACTTTTTTCTTTATGTAGATCTGAATTTCTGGCCTATATGATTTTTCTTCTCCCTGAAGAATTTCTTGTAGGATTTTGTGGAGGGCAGGTCTGCCGACCTCTGTTTTTGTTTGTCTGAGAAAGCCCTTATTTCTCCTTCACGTTTTAGGGATAATTTTTCTCAACATAGAATTCTAGTTTGGTGGTTTCTTTCTTCCAAAGCTTTACTTTCCTCTTTTCTTACTTACATGGTTCTGAAGAGAAGTCTGATGTAGTTCTTCTCTTTGTTTCTCTATAGGTAACGTGTTTCTTTTTCTCTCTCTCTCTTTTTTTTTTTTTTTTTTAACCTCTGGCTTCCTTCAAAATTTTCTCCTTGCCATTGGTTTTCTGCAGTTTGAGTGTGATATGCCTAGGTAGACATTGTGGTATTTATCCTGCTTTGTGTTCTCTGAGCTTCTTGGACATGTGGTTTTGTGTCCTTCATTAACTTTGGAACATCCTCAACCACTATGACTTCAAATAGATCTTTTGTTCTTTCCTCTCCTCCTGGGATTCTCATTATATGTATATTACACCTTTTGCAATTGTTTTACAGTTTTTGGATTATTCTTTGCTTTTTAAAATTCCTTTTCCTCTCTGCATTTCAGTTTTGGAAGTTTCTATGGACATTTCCTCAGCCTCACTGATTTCCTTCCTAAGCTGTGCTCAGTCTGTGGATGAACACAGCAAAGGCATTCCTCACTGCTGCTGTGGTGCTTCTGACTCCTACCATTTCCTTTTGATTCTTTCTTAGCGTTTTCATTTCTCTGCTTACGGGGCCGACTCGTTCCTGCATGTTGCCTACTTTTTCCATTAGAGCCCTTACTATTTCAATCATCCCTCTATGAGAATTCCAAAGTCTGTTGTTCTGATGCTTGATTTGTCTTTTTAGACTCTTTTTTCTTGCGTTTTAGCATACCTTGGAGTTTGTGATGATATCTCCAGTTATAGGAATTGATGCAAACAGGCCCTACTGTGAGGTAATCTCACTAAGTTGGCTAGAAGCCAACTGATGCTGAATGTTTGCTGTAGTTTTTGATGCTATGAACATATGAACATGATACATACGTACATATACAAGTATTCATGTGCACGTATGTTTTCATTTTTCTTGGGTGCCTACCTAGGAGTGGAATCTGTGGTAACTCTGTGTTGAGCCATTTGAGGAACTGCCAGACTGTTTCCTACGGTGCCTGCAGCATCTTACAATCCCACCTGCAATGGATAAGGTTGATTTTACTCTTCTTCCTTTATCCAGGGTCTTAAGGTAGTAGGTATTAAGGTAATAGGTAATAAGGTAGTAAGACCCTTTTCCAGGGTCTTAAGGTTAAGTTGTTAATTTGGGGTCTGTCCCTCCTCTTTCCTGGGTTGGATTCTTAGATGTATGAAGAGAGGAAGGTGCATGCAGACAAGGGGATTGGGCAAACCAGCAGGTGGGTGGCCATTCCTCCCAGGCTCTGGCATGCCTGTTCTTCTGTTACTCGATTCTCCCACGCCACTGACAGTGTTTGCCTTTCTCCTGGGATCTCACTGACACTTTACTAGGAGGTTGGAGTTGCGCTTTCAGATGCTTTCCTCTGCCTGGCTGAAGGCGATCCTGCAGCAACCCGAGCTGCTCTAACCACACGTGGCCTTCCAGTGCTTGTCTTTCTCTTAACTCAAGGTGTTTTTCTTATTACACACTTTGTATTCTTTTCTTAGAGAACATGACCTGAGCTGCATGATATAAGAAAAAATAACAGGTGGGTGGGATGCTCTCTGGAGTTGCTCCGACATAGTAATTGGATGCATTTAACAATGCCACAACATTTTGGAGAGTAGGGCTTCTTCCTGACTTCTTTTCTTTAGCCTTGTTATCGTTGGCATTGAAAAATAAGGACAGCTGAGTGCTGTATGTGTCTCCCCAAACCCTCTCCTTGTCAAGGGATATTTTCACAGGGCTCTTCCGTCACAGCAGGACTTCTCAGGATGTGGATCCTGCCGGAGTAAGCATCCTAAAATGGATCTCCACCTCGACATCTATCCCAGAGACTGGGAGCCCTGGTCTGTGGGCAGCAGGGCCCACTCCTGGCCCCGTCTCCCATGGAGCCAAACCTACTCAAGTGTAACTTGGCAGTCAGGGATAGCTGAAAATCGGACCCCTTGTTTTGAAATCCCTGCTGTTTTTGTTGGAGATTAACGGAAGGTGTCAGTTTCTTGGTGATAGCAGGGGTGATGTGGAGGACAGCTCAAGAACCTTGAAAGGAATCATTGTTCAAAATCTAAGTAAGCAACAACTGCCATTTCCCCCACTGCAGACCTATCTTCTTTTGCATATACACGGTTACCTGGATTGCCCATGGGAGCGTCTAGAACAAATTAGGTGATGTTGGGCAGTGTGTGTTGTGGGGAAGTTACATTTGTGGTCTTACTAGCTGCATTAATCTGTTCTCATGCTGCTAATAAAGACATACTTAAGACTGGATAATTTATAAAGGAGAGTTTAATTGACTTACACTTCAGCATGATTGGGGAGGCCTTCGGCAACTTACAGTCATGGCAGAAGGGAAAGCAAACATGTCCTTTTTCACGTGGTAGCAGGAAAGAGAAGTGCCAAGCAAAAGGGGAAAAGCCCCTCATAAAACCATCAGATCTCGTGAGAACTCACTATCATGAGAACAACAGCATGGGAGTAACTGCCCCTGTGATTCAATTACCTTCCACTGGGTCCCTCCCACGACACGTGGGGATTATGGGAACTACAATTCAAGATGAGATTTGGATAGGGGCACAGCTAAACTATATAGTAGCCAATCCCAGTTAAGCTGTAGAGTGTGTTCTAGAGACAGCGCCCTCTGGAGCCTGGGAGAAGGTGCCTATCTTTGTGATTTCCCCCCATGTTGTTTGATCAGACCAAGCACAGTGGGGTTGGACCTCAGGCTCTCGTAGCTGAATTTTGAGTTTGCAAATTCTGAATTTTTATTCACTTTGATTCAAAGAGTGCACTTAAAGCCCCTGGGCCAGGGCAGGAGGTGGAGGAGGGCTTGTTACAAGTCCAGGTTAGGGTCGGCTTCTCATGTGGACAGAAGAGCTTGCTACCCTCAGACCCTCTAGATGGGCTGCTCCAGCATGAAGCACAGAAAAAATGGCCACCAAGGCCAGGCAGTGTCATGGCAGGTGGACCTCCGAGGGCCAGAGAGCCGGGGGGAGAGAGACATGAGGTTCCTGCTGTGTTTGAGAACAGGCAGAAGGAAGCCGAAGTCACCCTGAGACATTCACTTCTCTCTCTCTCTCCTAGATACTTGTCTCTCCCAAACCAACCAAGGCTGCATTAACCTTTCCTGAAAATAAAAAACAGTTCTGCTTTTACCATTTGGGGGCCTGAGGCAAGTGTTCAAATAGAAGCCCTCCTGCCAGTCTATTAAATGAAGCTACTAAACTATTAAATAGAATATGTCTGCTCCTCTCACCTTCCTCTCTGCTCAGTAGTATGTCTCTTACCACCTGGAGGCTGGGTCTACTTACTGCCTTTCCTGCCACAAGACCTTGTCTTGTGCCCAGAGGGCCTCAGGCACGTGCGTGTGGACACCACATTCCCATCCACTAGAATGGCAAACATTACAAAGACTGTTTAAAGTGTTGTCAAGGACGTGAAGCAATTGAAACCCTTAGACACTGCCGGTGGGGATGCAAAATGGCACAGTCGCTTTGGAAAACAGTATGGCAATTTCTAATGAGGTCCCACATGCAGCTACCATGTGATCCAGCAATCCCACTCCTAGGCATGTACCCAGGAGAAACACAAACTTATGGACACAAAAACTTGTACGTGAATGTATATGGCAGCTTTCATCATAATAACTGGATACAGTTAAAACTGGATACAGCCTAAATGTGCCTCACCTGAGGAACAGATGAGCATCCCGTGGTATATCCACACAAGGCAGCACCACTCCCTCAGCAATAAAAAAAGAACAAACTACTGACCCATGGAACAACACGAGGGCATCTCCAATGCTTTGTGCTAAGCAAAAGAAGCCAGATCCCAAAGCTATACTGTATGTTGTTTAATTCCATTTATATGACATTTTGGAAATGGCGGAACTATAGGAGCAGAGAGCGGGTTAGTGGTTAGCAGCAGTAAAGGGCAGAGGAGGGAATATTTTGGGTGATAAAACTGCTCCATCTTGACTGTGGTGGTGGGTTCATCAGTGTGCACTTGTTAAAACACCACAAAGAATGAATTTTACTGTATGTTAATTGAATATACTAAAAAATATCAGATTGCTCTTTGGATAAAATCCAAAATCAGCTGCTTGGCTGCCCCAGGTGCTCACCAGTGACTCGGCCTGCCAGCCTCACCTGCATTTCTTTCTGTTCCTCTCCAGCCACTCCAGGCCTCAGGGCCTTTGCACATGCTGCTTGGTCTACCTGGCTGACCTCTGCTACCCTCCATTCTACAGTATGGGCCCACTTCCAGCCATTCTATACACACCTTGGTGTTCTCAGATCAGCACCTGCCAAGCCAGGTCAGAGCAACCTCCTATTGCTCCCTTAGCCTCTGTGTTTCTCCTCTGTGTCCTGATTACACAGGTGATGAACTCTTGAATGCTGGACTCCCTCTACAGCCTAAGCGCCATGAGGACAGGGATGGCATTTTTCTTTCCCACCACCGAACCTGGCTTTCAGGGTGGCTTGCACAAACTCCATGCTCAGTAAATGTTTGCCAGAGGGATGGACTGATGACTCCATCACTTTATAGATAAAGGTCCTCCAAGGCCTGTCGACAGAGCCAGGATGATCCCCCCGTCTCCAGGCCCGCTTCCCATGGGCTTTTCCTCTTGCACAGCTGCCTTTCCAAGGAAGGGACATGGAATGAGAGTCCTGCCTGATCAGAAGGGGCTACAGCCCTTAGGAGCTAGAGGTAAAAAAGGATGGAGACTTCAACCGTTTCAAGAGCTTCCCCACACAGAGCTGAGCACTACAGTCTGGACTTCAAGAAGTTCAAACAAAGGAATTCCAGAAGTGCATAATTGCAGGCTTGGACTCCACATGAAAAAGAACAGAGGCAGGGTGGAATTCAGATTCACAGGAGGGAAAATGGAGCTCCAGAGACATTAACAGACTATTGACAGAGCTCCTATGGGGAAACCTTGGTGTCCACATACCCAGCACTGTGGAAGTATGCAGCTGTGGGTTCACACCAATCTGCCTTTCCCTAAGCTGAGCCAGGGACCCACGTGGCTCATTTGGCCCAGGAAGAGAATCCGGGGGAGGCCACAGAACAAAGCAAAATTAACCAGCCTCAAAATTACATCACCAACCCAGGGTTCTAGCAATCGAGATAAGCAAATGACCACATTCAGGCAAAACCCATACCAAATGAGTGGCAAATCCCCACTTAACAGATGAGAACACTGAGACTTAGGCAAAGTGACTTGCTCAGGGTCACACCGCTGGTCGGTAGCTGAGCCAGGCTGGAACCAGGTCTCCTGGGTTCACTTCAGCATGGCCTTGTCTACCGCGGGTACCAGGATCTGCCTGGTGTGGCTACAGCTGCTGACCACCAGCATGGCCAACAAGCCACCCTTTGTAATAAGCCACCCCAAAACTCAGTGGCTCCCAATGACAATCAGTTATTTCTTGTGGTCATAGGGCTTGACGGGGATTAGCTGGACAGCTCTCACTTTAAGCATCTCACTGCAGGTGCAGTCCAATGGGGCTACCTAAAGGCTTGACTGGGCTGGACGTCCAGTGTGGTGCCTCCACATGGCTGCCAGTTGACTTTGGCTGTCAGCTGAGAGCTCCACTGGGGCCATCGTGTGACCTCTCCACGTGGCATAGGCCTCTCACAGCATGGTAGATGTGCACTGAGAGGAAATGCCACCAGAAGTCAGTATTCTAAGAAGCAGGAAGTGGAAATGGCCAGATCAGGTAAGGGCTATGCCAGGGACGGCCGGGCGTCCTCTCTGCTGCATGCGAGTGGTTAAAACAGCCCCAGGACCAGCCCAGGGCCAGGTAAGAGGAAATACATTCCACCCCTTCACTGGGTGAGGGAGAAAGCCAACTTCCAAAGAACCTACGTGATGAACAATGATGGACAACAGTGTTGTGGCTGTCTCTGGGAAAATACAATCTACCACCATAGCCATGGCAACCAGACCAGGCAATCCCTGTGACTGGACCCTTAGGAGAAAGCGTAGAGCTCCTACCAAGTGCCCTAGAAAGGACAAGCCAGGCCCACGTGCCAGCCAGGCTGGGAGCAGCTGCTGTGGCGAGTGGAAAAGCCATACTCTGGGAGCGGGAGACGCCCCTAGAGGCCTGACCCCGCCCAGCGCTTGCTCTCTTGGGGCCTCAGATCCTCGTCTGAAATGGGGGACCAGACCACACAGAGACCCCTCTGGGGACATTCGGTGATTCTGCTGAGTCAATGGACTAATTGCTCATGCAGACACAGCCACCAGCCCATCACACAGTGGGTCAGCAGTATCTTCCAAGCCACTGATTTGAGTGGATATTGAAGGAGGCCATGAAGCCCTCAGTAAAACTGAAGTCCCAGTCAAAGGCCTGACCTCGAAGCCTAGGGCATGTGTGAGTGGAGGCTCTCTACGTCTGCTGCAGAAAGGGGGAGAAGGGAGAGGTGAGTAAGGGTTGGGGGTCCTGGGGGAGCAGATCTCAGGCCGGGCAGTTCTGGCTAACGTGCAGAGCAGGAGAGCAGTGGGGCTGCATGTGAAGTGTTAATGATTTCCTCAACTGCCGTGGGGGAAGCAGAGGGGCCAGAGCCCAGGCCTCAGCAGATAAGTGGCTTGGCGTGGTGTTAAGTCCTGTATTTAACAGCTTGATTAATGGGCTGGAGGAGAGTGACTCAGCTAATGAAATGTGCAGGTGGCTGCTGGCGGGTTGGGGACGCTCATGCAACAACGGACATGGAGACCTCAAACACCGGGTATGCCGGAATGCCCTGCACAGACGGCACTCTCCAGTGTGAAGACGACAAAGCCAGCCTCTGGATTTTGTGTGTGTGTGTGTGTTTTATTTTTTAAAAATTATTTTACTTTTTCATAAGTTATTGGAATACAGTTGGTGTTTGGTTACATGAGTACGTTCTTTAGCGGTGATTTGTGAGATCTTGGTGCACCCATCACCCGAGCAGCGTCCACTGCACCATATATGTTGTCTTTTATCCCTCGCCCCCCTCTCACCCTTCCCGCCAAGTCCCCAAAGTCCATTGTATCATTCTTATGCCTTGTGTCCTCATAGCTTAGCTCCCACATATCAATGAGAACATACGATGTTTGGTTTTCTATTCTTGAGTTACTTCCCTTAGAACAATAGTCTCGAGTCTCATCCTGGTCATTTCAAATGCTGTTAATTCATTCCTTTTTATGGCTGAGTAGTATTCCACTGTGTATATATACCACAGTTTCTTTATTCACTCGTTGATTGATGGCATTTGGGGTGGTTCCACGATTTTGCCATTGTGAATTGTGCTGCTGTAAACATGCGTGTGTATCTTTTTCAAATAATGACTTCTTTTCCTCTGGGTAGGTACCCGGTAGTGGGATTGCTGGATCAAATGATAGATTTACTTTTAGTTCTTTAAGCAATCTCCACGCTGTTTTCCATAGCGGCTGTACTAGTGTGTTCATTCAGGAAGGTTTTAATGAGCACTTAGGATGGTCTGTGCTTCCCAGGAGATGGCTGGAGCAAGGCGTGGTGAGATATGGTCCCAGATTTCCAGAAGCTCACAGACTAGTGAGCATATCTCAAACTAAAAATACTGGAAAACAACTGCCTTGTAATTAAAAGTGCTTTTCCAAAAGATGTCAAAGAATTTCAGAGACTTGCACAATCCCAGGTGCAGGGAGGAGAAGCTTCGGTCCAGCCTGTCCATGGGTTCGCTGAAGGCGTCTGATGATTGAACTAAGAGCAGAAGGAGCTTCTCCTTATCCGCATCAGGGTGGTGCTGTTCTCAGACTGATGCTCGCAGGCCCCCAGGTCCTGGCCTCGGAGCCCCTGGGAGTCTGCACCACCTTTCATAGCCTGATTGGTTGCCTAGACCTCGAGACTCTGTTCTGCGCTATGGTCATGCGCTTCCCCCTTTGCCCTTCCGCCACCCTCCCACTTTGGGCTCCAGTCTCATCTCAACAAAGAAATAGCCCCTGTTGGCCTCCCTACTGCGGCGCTTCCCTGGGCACACTGCTGTCCACCTCGCCCCCTGCTCTAAGGTGCCATGTGTCTCCCCGTGACTGTGGGACCTCGGAGTGCCACCCTCCATCATTGCCCACACTTCCGCCTTCCCACCCACCCTCCCAGCACAACCCAAAGCTCGCCCAAACTCACTTCCTTCCTTACTGTGCGGGGCACACCCTTCGGGGGGTCCTCACTCTGCTGCCTGCTGTCCAGGCTCCTTCAGGATCCCACGCCAATTCCAGCTCCTTTCTGAATCATGGCTGATGTTCACAGCAGTGAGGAACCCTGGTTACCTAAGGGACAGGAATGCCAGCAAGGCTCCCAGAGCAGCCCCTGGGAGGGAGGGACTCGGAGCGAGACGCACCAGGCTCAGCCCCCGGGATCCCATAAGGAAGGAAGCGGGCTGATCTGGGTCCAGATGAGGAAGGACCCGCTGCTGAGTTTTGCAGGGGGTCTTTCTGAGAGAAGAGGGGAGCACGCCCTGCTCTCAACAGTCCAAATGAGCTGAGACGATGATGGTGAGGAGGGCTCCCAGGTCCCAGGCATGGCTCAGAGATGCTCTGTGTCTGCACCGTGATGCCGCGTCCCGAGGAGGAAGGGACTGGCACTTTCCTTATTTTACAGTCAATTAGGGTAGGCAGGAAGGGGAGGAGCCTATGCTGGCCACATCAATGACACTTAGTGGGGACCCTGCAGCCAGACACCAGGGTCCAGGCTCATGGCCTGAGCGTGTGGAGTGACATGAAATGCACTGGGGTGGGAGTTAAGGGGGCCTGGGCTCTATTGCTGCGAGCCATGCCATGGAGGAAATCATGGAAACCAACGGTCCAGGCAGACCTGGTGTCTCATCTTCCCACCATCCTCCAAGCCCACTGCCCAGTGCTGCTGCACCTCCTCTCCTTTCCCCACACACCTGCCCCCGCTGGGCACTGTTTGCCACACCTGTTCTATTGCACCAGTGTCCTCTGTGGCCTGAAGTCTGGTCCTGCCCCTCCAGCCTGTGCCCCCCACTGTGGCCAAATGATTCTTCCAAAGGAACGATTTGTCCTGTCCCTGCCTTCCCCTTCATGCGCCTTCCCAGTGCCCCCAGGATGACAGTGAGACCTTCTGATGGCTCCAGGTCCCCTGCAGCCTCCTCTCTCACTGCCTCTCCCTGCCCTGATGCTGCCTGAGCCAGGCTAAGTTCCCCACGCTCCTGAAACAGGGCCCTGGCTGTTTTGCTGCCTGCTGCGTCCCTGAGCATGTAGGCCTGGCTGGTCAGCACTCGCTCCCCACCCCTCCTCCCTCTGAAGCCAGCTTTTCTCATCCCTCTGATCTCAGGTGAGCTCTTGATTCCTCTAGAAAACCTTCCCTCACCCCCAAGACTGGCTGAGGCGTCTCTGCTCATCCTCCATGGTGCCTGGCACTGCCTCGGGATTGAGTCTGCAAGCCAGGCTCAGATGCAGCTCTATCCATGCACAGCCCAGGTGAGGGCTCCATCCACACTCCAGGGAACCCCTGTGCTCCCTCCTGTCTGCTTTGCCAATGCAATTCCACCAGTAATCATGGCCCATCTGCCAGGCACTGGAGTGGTGCTCAGAGTCACTGGCATGCAGAGATGACAAAGGCCCTTCCTGACCTGGGGGAGAGGAGCTGACTTGGAGAAGGCAGGACATGGTGGGAATCACAGACGTGACCCACACCCTGTGAGCTCCAGCCTGCCCTCCTGGGTGTCCGCAGAGCCTCTGCTGGTACCACTGCCCACCAGAGAGCTCCTCCAAGGCCACACTGTGAGAGATCAGGGAAGGTCTCGGCTGGGTTCCCTGTTACTTTGGGAAAGGACAGATTGTAAAGCAATGCATGAAGTTGCTCATCCTCAGTGAGCACTTCTCAGCTGCAGTGGAGCAGGGCAAAGGACACTGAGTCAGGAGCTGAGAGGGCAGATTCTTCCTGGTCCTGCCCCGTATGTTATGACCTTTAGCTTTGTCCCCTCGTCTCGGTCTACGAGACCAAGGCAGGAAGCACCAGGCCTTTCTGAGAGTGAGGACTTTGCTCCTCTCCAGGCCCCAGCCCCACGCTTTCCCACAAGCGCTTGCAAGGCCATTGCTCTGGTCATACGGCGTGGACATCTGCCGCACCCCGTAAAGCAGCAGCACTTGTCAATCACCCAGACATCACTCCGTAAATCTGCACGATGGCTCGGCGAGTTGTGAGGGGACGGCAGCTTTACGAGGTGCCACCTCTGTGACTAATGGGGCCAGGAGGCTGTGCAGGCGGGAACGGGGGGTTGGAGGATGAGAGAACAAACACTGGTGTGAGTGCATGCTCACACATCATATATACACATGCATACACACACATATACACATGCACAGTGCACACACACATATGTACCTACACAGTCTCATGCACACACATACATACACACATATGCATACATACATATGCATATACATACACACATATACACACGCATATGCATATACATGCACATACTTATATATGTATGCACACATATATACACACATGCACACACATACACATGTACACACACGTGTGTACCTACACATTCACATGCACACATACATACACACATATGCATACATACATATGCATATACACATATACACATGCACACACATATACACATGTACACACATATCTACACATGCACAATGCACACACACGTGTACCTACACATTCACATGCAAACACATACATACACACATATGCATACATACATATGCATATACATACACATACATATACACACATACACACATACACATACATATGCATGTACACACACATATTTTTATATATGCATACATACATATATACTCATACACACACATGCACAGACACACACACATATACACACACACTCGTGTATACATACATATACACACATACACACCCATGGGATTTCAGGCCTTGCCAGATTATGCCAGGGACATTGAATGCATTTCCTTTCAGAATTTACTTCCTGGGCTATGTCTAACCAGTGCTGGAATAGACAATTAAAAAGTGGAGAAACGTAACCGGAAATCCAGACATTTGCCTTTGCATTGATGACACGCCCACTGTGCATTATTTTCTCTATGTTGGAATTTTGTTTTAGGTATTTGGGCATTGAATAGATACACTTTGAAAAAATCTATTAGACATAGCTCATAATAAGAAAGCAGAGGAAAAGGAGTGGGCGTCCCTTTTACTGAGCACATACTATGTGTCAGAACCCCACCCCACCATTGTTTTACATTTGTCATGTCTTTTAATATTCACAGCTACTCTCTGGAAGAGACACTGTTTCCCACATTTTCCAAGTGAAAAGAATGAGGTTTATAGCATTATGAGGTTTATAGCATTATGAGGTTTATAGCATTATGAGGTTTATAGCATTCTGAGAATGAGGTTTATAGCCCGCCAACTTCAGGCTGCTGGGTACCACTGACCCTCTACTGATTCATGCCCTTCATTTCACTGATGATGAAGGCCAGAGTGATAGTCCTTCAGGCCACATGTTGGCTCATTTCTCCATAATCTTGAACTTGACAATTGTGTACCCACTTGTTTTATCACAAAATTGAGAAGAATTTATTTTATTCATTTATTTCTTTATCTTATCATTCTTTTATTAAACATCTGATGAGTATCTTCAATGAGGAGTTTTGGGTTGAGGTATGGGGAAGTCCCCAAGCTGGAATCTCCCAGCTTCAATGCTGTAAACTATAAAAATTAAAGAAGTTGAATAGATACCATGAATTGACAGCACCTCCAACTAAAATTAACTGTTGTCAAGAGAAGGATTTTAAAGAGTTATACATTTTCATCATAATTCATATCCTTTGTAAATACTGATTACATTTTGAAGGGATTTGTTAAGCATGTAGCCAAGTTTCAGGGGCAGTTTAATAAACACCTGTTACAACAGTAGGATGTACTAGAGCAAGCACAGACACTGGCATCAGCAAGCAAGTTTGGCTCCAGCCCTGCCACTGCCATCAGTATGGATTCAGCAAGTGGCAGGGACTCATCCTTTTGCACACAGTGGGCAGCCATTCTCTTACAGCCTGGTATTCAGGCAATATTTGGAGGCCACTGTCTGCAAGAGAGAAGATGCTGGCAAGAGTAAGGAGGGCATCAAACAATTCTTCTGGGAACAGAAGGAAAGTAATGGGCTGAAGGATATAACCAGAAGGCGGGGGGCGCCGTTAGGAGGATTTTGAATCCAGTCATGCAACGGGGCATGAGGTTGTGGAACAGCAGAGACAGAGGAAGAGTGGGGACAGGTAGACAAGGGGGAAACACCAATACGAGTTCAACTCCAAATGTGTGAGAGGGGCAAGGAAAAGTCAAGGATGACTCCCAGACGCTGATCTTGGTTGATAAGGTGAAGGAAGAGTGGACTCTTTCTTGAAAAGAGGGAAAAATGAGGGAAAAGAATGTGGTCACAGAAACCAAGGAAGGAGGCATGCTCAGAAGGGGAAAAATGAACCACATTGCCAATATCATACCTAGAAGCAAAATTTTAGAAATACTGAAACATGGAAGCAGTGATTCTTCTATTCCTTATCATGTTTGGAGAAATCTCCACTGCGGAACACCTAAAACGCTGGATACAGTATAGAAAGAAAACATCTCCTATGCATGGCTGGGTTAGTGGGGAAGTATGGGAAATTGTCTGATCCTGAAACAAGGAAGCATGAATCTGGAGGGGTGGTCCAGCAGCTGAAAACGGACCTTTGCTGGGGACATCTGCCAACCCCTGGTGACCTAGATCCTAGATTTAATAGGCCACTTGCTTAGGGACAGAGCACAAACCTGGGCGCCTGAGCCAAGTAGCAAGTCAAATTGGAGAATCTCAAATAAGGCCAGAATCCTTAAAATGTGATACTTCAAAAAGTACAACTTGCAGTGGGGGAGGGGGACAACACACCCTGCTGAAAGAGATGGTCCGGCTCTAGACCGACCTGAATAAACAAAGAGTATCTCCAAAGAATTCTTAAATCTCATCATACTCACAGGAGCTTGGGACTGGAATTCATACTACTTGTGTGGGGATGAAGAACTTAAACTTTAGTTTAAATAAAGTCTCAGGTGAGTCAAATCCCCAGGCAAATTTGGAGGAGTCAACTTTAAACTCAGGCTTTAACAGATAAAGTTTTATGGAACATAAGTTAACTATCAAACAACACAATCCACACAAGGAAATAAGCCACCATGAGCAAGAGTAAGCAGAAACTACAAAACGTAGTATGCGATTCACAAAAATCAAAGGTGTCATAATGATCAGATGCTAGAATACAAAATAAATCTCTTTTATATGTTTCAAGAAGTAAAAGAAGATTTTGAATGTATGATGGTAAGGAATTATCAAGGAAATAAGCACTTATGAAACAGAGCCAATAAAAGTACAAAATATGAAAAATATAATGGCTAAAATCAGAAACTCAATAGATGAAGTAAACAACAGATTAAATACAACTGAAGAGAGACTCAGTAAATTTGAAGGCGGATCTGAAAACATACACAAAGCTGAAGAGAGACTAAGTAGATTAGAAGGTAGATCTGAATAATTTAGATAAAATATAAAATATAAAGGAGATGGAAAACATGAAAGAGATAAAGAGATGGAGATGGACAGACTGTGAGAGAGGAAATATTTGAAGAGATAATTGAAGAGAATATTCTATTATTATTGAAAGACTCTAATATTCAGATTAAGAAACTAGTGAACACCAAGCAGAATAATAATAATAATAAGCACTCTACAAGCATCATAGTGCCTTGAGGGATACCAAAGATAATGGGAACATCTAAGAATGGAGAGAAAAAACAGATTACCTAAAGGTGAACAGTTTGATAGCTGACATTTCAACAACATAAAAGCCAAAAGACGGTAAAATAATATCTTCAAAATATTGTAAGAAATCATTCTTAGTCTAAAATTTTATGCCCAGAATATCTCTTCTCCAAGAATAAGGATGAAATAAAGATTCCTCAGACAAACAAAAATGGAATTTACAGCTGACACACTCTTTTGAAGATATGCTTTTGACACACTCTTCTAAAAGAGTGGAGGAAGAATAGTTTCAGAAAAAAGATCTGAATTTAAGAAGAAATGATGAGGGCTACAATAATAAGCAAGTGGGTAAATCTAAACATTGATTTAAAACCCAATAATAATAATGTATAATTTGTGGGATAAAATGAAATCAGAATAGCCAGAAACTAAGAAACCAATGGCATGTAAACTGGGAAGGGATTATCAGAGTTAAAGCATTCTAAAGCCCTTTTGTTTTTGGAGAGAAAGGTAATGATATTATTTTTTTAATTAAGTTAAAGTTTGAAAATAAAGGGATGGAAAAGGGCAAATACTCAAAGGAAAGCTGTTACAACTATATTAATATCAGATGAAATACAGCCTAAGGCAAAAAGCATTCCTAGAAATAAAGAGGGTCACTGTAAATTGACAAAACGGTCAATTTACCAGGAAAATGTGATTATTTTAAAAGTCTTTTGTAACCTGCTAACATAGCTTCAAAATGTATAAAATAAAAATGGACAGACCCACTTATAAATTGTTAAGAGAAATTTTTTGTTCCATTATAATAAATTATAAAAACCAATGAGAGAAATGGACAAAACACCAACCTACTGAATATGTTAACACACCACTCCTAGTAATCAATACATCAGGAAGATACCACCCAGCAAGGGTGTATCAGATTTAAACAACATAATTTAAAATCTGGGCCCAATAGGCATACATAAAATACTGCACCCCAAAACTGGAAAATATTCTTTCAAGAACACGTGGGGAATTTCCAAAAATTGACCACCAAGAAATTGACTCAAAAATGGACTCGGCCTGGCCAACATGGTGAAACTCCATCTCTATCAAAAATACAAAATTAGCCGGATGTGGTAGTGTGCCTGTAGTCCCAGCTACTTGGGAGGCTGAGGCAGGAGAGTTGCTTGAACCTGGGAGGTGGAGGTTGCAGTGAGCCGAGATCATGCCATTGCACTGCACCCTGGGCAACAAGAGTGAAACTCCGTCTCAAAAAAAAAAAAAAAAAAAGATTTATGGTATTGCACTAAACACAATGAAAAGTACAGAACTGCAAGAGGTCACTTTTTACTGCAATACTCAATTTACTGGAGAGATGAACTGCTCAGGTGGAGGTGATTAGGGGCACACTGGTTTTCCACAGATTCAATACTTGAACTCACCAATGTCAAAAAGAGGTGGCTACAGAATTATTCCAGTAGTGGAGTATGTACTTCAGTTTGTCAGTGTTTGAGTGCATCAATTTTGATAAATTTTAACTTTTATAGTAGGTTTGTGTATATTTTATGGTAGGAAATGATAAAACAGACTAGTACTTACATATATTTTGTGCATTCATGACGTATCTTTTTCTTACTTTTTTCACTCTTCTAGGCTACACAGTTCACCTGTGTTTTTTCAAATTGTGGAAAATCTCCAAAAATGTTTCCAGTATATTTATTGAAAAAAATCTGCATATATGTGGACCCATGCAGTTGAAACCCATGTTGTTCAAGGGTCAGCTGTGTGTCACTGATAGACTGACTCTTTTTTATTTTTATTTTTGAGGCATAGTCTCGCTCTGTCACCCAGGTTGAAGTGCAATGGTGTGATCTCGGCTCACTGCAACCTCCACCTCCCGGGTTCAAGTGATTCTCCTGCGTCAGCCTCCCGAGTAGCTGGGATTACAGACGTGTGCCCCCATGCCCGGCTGATTTTTTTGTATTTTTAGTAGAGAAAGGGTTTCACCATTTCTCTACTGGCCTGGCCAGGGTTGGCCAGGCTGGTCTTGAACTCTTGACCTCAGGTGATCCACCCGCCTCAGCCTCCCAAAGTGCTGGGATGAGCCACTGTGCCCGGCCCGATAGACCAACTTTTCTTTTTCTTTTCTTTCTTTTTTTTTTTGAGACAGAGTCTCACCCTGTTGCCCAGGCTGGAGTGCAATGGTGCGATCTCGGCTCATGGCTCACTGCAACCCCCGCCTTCTGGGTTCAAACGATTCTCCTGCCTCAGCCTCCCAAGTAGGTAGGATAACAGGCGCCCACCACCATGCCCAGCTAATTTTTGTATTTTTAGTGGAGACAGGGTTTCACCATGTTGGCCAGGCTGGTCTCAAACTCCTGACATTGTGATCCACCTGCCTCAGCCTCCCAAAGTGGTGGGATTACAGGCGTGAGCCACTGCGCCCGGCCTTAGACCAACTCTTAAACCATCACTTCCATTGATGGACTAGACACAACCTTTGGCTCCAGTTTAGACTGGCTGTTTTGGCTGCTTACAAACTGCTGTTCTTGAACGCTCTCTCACCATTATCCTGCTTAGAGGGTTCTTCCCTTTGTCACACACTCAGTCAATGGATACCTATCAAAATCTCCGAAATGGAAAATTCTCTCATGTTGCCTTCTGCCTTCTTGTTTTTTCTTAGCTCACAGGCGGGACTCTGGGCACAGACTTAGTCTACCCTAGGGCTTGGGAGCCATTTGTCCCACTCCACTCTTTCCTTTCAGGGCCCCCAGGTCGGGAGGTCCAGCAGGCTGCTTCCTGGCATTCACAGGGGGCAGTTGCACCCTCTGCTCTCTGAGAGGAATTACTCACAGTCTCCTGCTGCCCAACCTTCCAGAAAACCACCATATCCCATTTCCTCCCCAGGCGTGGGGCAAAACAACTCCAAGGCTTTCTGCTTTCAGCTACAGTTTATAAGCAGATTCAGTGAAGATACACAGAGTTAATCTCTGCCTGACAGTGAAGTGCATGCCTGCAATAATGCTGCAATGTCCACTGAAACAAAAGAAAACATTCCCACACTCTATGCGTGGTTATAGACCACATCTTCTGGGTCTGTAGAAGTGAGGTATGTGTTGGCGGTGGGCAGGGTGGGCGGTGGGTGGTGGTGGCCCTGATGAGGGACCACATATGTCCATAGCACAGATTCTTATTCCATTGCATTTTGATTTATTTGCTGGTTGCTTTTCACATTTTACAAACATTGTTTTGCAACAGTTTATTCCTTCTGCATTTACGGAGGGCCTGCTAACTCTGGGCTCTAGTGAGTTGAATATGGAAAAACGGAGTTCCTTGTTCTTGAGTTTACGAAGAGCTCAAGCTCACAGACTGAAAGGCTGGAGGAGATGGATATGGGGCAAAGCGGTCAGTAGTGAGAAATGCCCCCTAGAGGCTGGTGCAAACGGCTGTGGAAGCCCAAAGTAGCAAATGGTCAGCCTCAGATGGGCGTGGTTCGTGTGCCTGCATTGGCATAGACTCTGCAGAAGCTGTGACGTTGTGTGGAGTCCTGGAGGGTGACTAGCAGTTTTCTGGGTGGCAAATGAGGAGGACTTGCTGCATAAAAGGCAGAACTGAGGCAAAAGATGAAAACTTGATTTTCACAACCAATGTGTGTTTCAATGATTTCTTCCCAGAGCAGGGTCCAGCAACTACATCAGTGTTGATCAAGCTGGGGCCTACAGAAGTACTGTGTAGCTGAATTTTGCCTTTGTGTTCTGGACCGACGAGAAGGCCAACTGATCACCAACACAGTGATGTCATGTCAGCCCCATGTTTGCCTTAGTGTTCACAGTCAGGGGGAGTCCTTATTTAATTGCTCAAGGTGAAAAAGGAGGAACAAAGGCCGACTACAAGTAAGCAATGCATTTACACTGGGTGAAAACCAGAGGTGTCTGTGGCTCAACGAGGAAATAGTCATGAGAGAAACAGCCTTTCCTAAAGCACCATGGGTGTGCAGAGCTTACAGGAACAGGCAGCAAGTCGCTTAGTGCCACATTCTCTTCGGAAGATACGGATGAATCTCAGCAAAATCATATCATCCTTTGCGTTCAATTGATGCTGTCAACATGGACTTTTATGGTTTCCATTGTATCTGTTCCTATTATATATATTTCTTTTCATTTTGCTGCATACAAGTTATTGTAAAAGGCCAGCACTTTGGTTTATATTTATGCATATTCAAATGACATTATAATAAAATATAATAAAAGTAATGTAAATATATGTAAAGTATTGTAAAATACAATAAAAGTAATGTAAGACAATGCTGGGTGTCCATAAAAATTGTTTTTCCTTCAATGGATGCATGTATTCTTCAAGTTTGAGAAACCCTGATTATTGTATTTTCTTTTTAAAAATAATTATGTCTATATACCATAACACTAACATCCCATAACATTTTGCCCTTCCCTTATTTTTTCAATGTTTAAAACTCTGCTTTTCATTATCAAAAAAAGCAGGCTGGTCTATCCTCAGATCCACACTGTAAAATAAATAACATGACATTCCACTAAATTAGCCTCCATAAAATGTTGCAGTACAGTTTTTAAAAAGATGATGAAAAATGTGAAAACATCAATGACTTTTTATTAGAGAAATTTCCTTCACCTCTGAAAAAGACTGGAATTAATTTATGTAGCCCTGAAAATAGAAACGGAGGGCTGAACTGGCCAAGTTCTTTTTCAAATAGCAAAACTAAGACTCTCAAAGGTGAATTTTTCTCATAGTTCTCATGCTGACAAAAGTAACCTCGAAGATCCATCCCGCCCATTTGCATTTGGACAAATCACTCAGCTGTCAGGTGAATTGCTTGTGTGGGGTGTGTTTAAACACCAGCTCGCCCTGCGTCTCGAGCAGCTTCCACTTAGAAGTCATCCCAGCTTTTCAAAAGCAGATTGCCTCCCTTTGAAATTCCGTTATAGGAGAAATTCCACCTCTGCTTTTTATTATACTGTTGCATTAACTCTTATATTAGGATAAAAAGAAACACATTCTCTTCTTCAAACAATAGAAAAAGGAAATGTCACTCTCACCAGTCTTTTCTTTTTTGGGGGGGAGTTCTAATCCATTTATATCCTCAAAGGCATTTTCATTCTTTGGGGGAGATTTGAAGGCCAATTCTTATTAGCCCCTTGGAAACAGCTTAACAGTCTTCCTTTCCATGCCTTAAAAACCACCCATGTTCTTTCAGTTTTATCTTAATAAAGACACAGATGCCATTTAAGAAGCTTGAGATCCATGTGGACTGGGGCCAACGCTGTTGAGATGGTTCTGTGCAGAGTCATCTGGAAGGAGAGACTCTTGTGGCCCATGAGGACCTGCTTCGCCAATGCTGCAATAGTCTAACCTAGAACTACCAGATCTTTGGCTACAATGATTCCTCCTTCATTGTCAGTGAGCCCTGGGTAGTATTGTGGGCATGTGGGGAACACAGTGAAAATGCATCATCTGTATTGACTGGGGGTAAAAAGTTCTTACTAAGTCAATCCTGATGTTCTTGGAGTGAGGGCGGAAGCCTTCAGCATGGGGTCTTGATTATTGTTCCAAGAATAAGCAATAACTTTTTGAATTAGAAAACATGGTTTTGAATAGGAAGCTCAGAGTATGACTGAAAAGAATAGTGAGTGATTTAATATTGTTCTTAAGTCACTGTTTTACTGGCAATAACAAACTCTTTGCTTGCTTTTCAGGAGTGGCTTTCTATATATTTTATATCTTCTAACCATGCTTTGCATTGCCATTATAGTTTCTAGAAATATTTGTATTGAACATCCAGAGTGCAAGCTAATTATCAATGTATATTATCTAGGTATCAATGTATCTTATCTAGGTATCAATGTATATTATCAAGGTATCAATGTATCTTATCTAGGTATATTATTATAGATATTCTCTTATCTAGGTATATTATTTATCATAAAATATGTAAAATATCATAACTTATTTCTGATAAATTCATTTAGCATCATTGTAGCAAGGAGCATCAGTGTTCTAGGTCCATTCTCAGAATAGCCCCAGGACGGGATTCCTGCACCCGATTGAAATGTATTGATGAAAGTTGTGTTGTTGCATCAACTGAACTGTGGAAATTTACCAGCCAATAACTTTCATTTAATTCATAGATTACAAACCCATTTATCAGCTTTATTACAATGCCACAAGTCAGCTAGACTTCATTATTATATTTGTCTACTTTGCATATCATATAGCATAAAAGAGATGGTATGGATATAATCTGCAAAATATAACAGTTCCATACAATGGCAGCAACAAATATTTTGTCTTTTTATTTATTTCCATCTTCCCATTCTTCCCTTTTTTATTATTCAGTGAACAGTGGAGAGCATCTGTCCAACCAACTTGTTATGACTTGTCTCCTCTCTCACTTACGCTAATTATAACAAGGACAGGACTGGCACCAGACAAGTCATTTCTTGGCAAATCAGCCATATATTATAGTTAGGTTTTTGTTAGAGCAGTACTAGGTTAGGTCCAATTTATAAGACAGTATGTAAACAACATAACTTTGGGAACTGAAAATACAATATCTGAAATGAAGATTTCACTGGATGGGCTTAATAGCAGACTTGCATTGGCAGAATAAAGATTGGTGAACTTGAGGCTAGATAAATAGAAGAGATTCAATCTGAGGAGTAAAGAGAAAACTAGCAAACAATAGAGTTCAGTGACCTGTGGCATAATAAATCTATTAATAACCATTTCTAACATCATTCTTTTCTATTGACCACACTTAAATTGTCTTTCTTCCTTTCTTTCTTCTTTCCTTCCTTTCTTCCCCCCGTCTTCTCTTTCTTTCTTTCTTTTTTTTTCTCTTTTTAAAATTTTAATATTATTATACTTTAAGTTTTAGGGTACATGTGCACAACGTGCAGGTTTGTTACATATGTATACATGTGCCATGTTGGTGTGCTGCACCCATTAACTCGTCATTTAGCATTAGGTATATCTCCTAATGCTATCCCTCCCCCCCCCACCCCACAACAGTCCCTGGTGTGTGATGTTCCCCTTCCTGTGTCCATGTGTTCTCATTGTTCAATTCCCACCTATGAGTGAGAACATGTGGTGTTTGGTTTTTTATCCTTGCGATAGTTTGCTGAGAATGATGGTTTCCAGCTTCATCCATGTCCCTACAAAGGACATGATCTCATCATTTTTATGGCTGCATAGTATTCCATGGTGTATATGTGCCACATTTTCTTAATCCAGTCTATCATTGTTGGACATTTGGGTTGGTTCCAAGTCTTTGCTATTGTGAATAGTGCCGCAATGAACATTCGTGTGCATGTGTCTTTATAGCAGCATGATTTATAATCCTTTGGGTATATACCCAGTAATGGGATGGCTGGGTCAAATGGCATTTCTAGTTCTAGATCCCTGAGGAATCGCCACACTGACTTCCACAATGGTTGAACTAGTTTACAGTCCCACCAACAGTGTAAAAGTGTTCTTATTTCTCCACATCCTTTCTTTCTTTTTCTTTCTTCCTTCCTTCCTTCCTTTCTTTCTTTCTCTTTCTTTCTTTCTTTCTTTCTTTCTTTCTTTCTTTCTTTCTTTCTTTCTTCCTTCCTTCCTTCCTTCCTTCCTTCCTTCCTTCCTTCCTTCCTTTTCTCTCTCTCTCACTCTCTCTTTTTCTTTCTTTTTTTGAGATGGAGTCTTGCTGCTGTCACCCAGGCTGGAGTGCAGTGGCATGATCTTGGCTCACTGCAACCTTTGCCTCCCAGGTTCCAGCAATTCTCCTGCCTCAGCCTCCCGAGTAGCTGAGATTACAGGTGCCTGCCACCATGCCCAGCTAATTTTTGTATTTTTAGTAGGGGTGGAGTTTTACCATATTGGCCAGGCTGGTCTCAAACTCCTGGTCTCAAGTGATCCACCTGCCTTAACCTCTCAAAGTGCTGGGATTACAGGCATGAGCCACCGCACCCGGCCTTTCCTCTTTTTCCTACCTGCCTGAGAGCTTCATAATAAGGACTGGATTCCAGCTTCTCCTTGTAGCCTCAATACTAAGCTTAGCACATATTAAACACTCAACAAATACATAGGAAATAGACTCGTGGATATTGTTTGCAGAGTCACTTATAAGTGTGAAGCAATCCAAAATCCCCAATATAGGAAAATGGTTAAATAGATCATGTACATCTGGATGATGAAACAGATTACAGACGTTGAAAATTTTATTTTTGAATAATATTGAATGACATGAGAAAATTTTCCTGATGTGGTAATAAATAAAAATAGAAAAATATATAACTTTTTTATTATTTATTTTGAGATAGGGTCTCACTCTGTCACCAAGGCTAGAGTGCACTGGCATGAACATGGTTCACTGCAACCTCAAACTCCTCGGCCCAAGAAATCCTCCTGCCTTAGGCTTTCCGAGTAGCTGGGACCACAGGCATATGCCACTATGTCCGGATAATTTTTAAAAAAATTTTTTACAAAAAATTAGCCGGGCGTGGTAGCGGGCGCCTGTAGTCCCAGCTACTCAGGAGGCTGAGGCAGGAGAATGGCGTGAACCCGGGAGGCGGAGCTTGCGGTGAGCCAAGATCGCGCCACTGCACTCCAGCCTGGGCGACAGAGCGAGACTCCGTCTCAAAAAAAAAAAAAAAAAATGTTGTACATATGGGGTCTCACTATGTTGCCTGGGCTGGTCTCGAAGTCCTGGCCTCAAGTGATCCCAAAGTGCTGGGATTACAGGTGGATATGCAACTTTGTATAGAACATGGTCTTTCTTTTCTTTACAAATTGTGTCCTTTCATTCATTCATTCACTCAACAAATGTTTATTGATGCACATTATTGCCAAGTTTCACTGTTGAAGATTCTAGGGGGGTGTGTGTGTGTGTGTGTACACAAAACAAATCTCTGTCCTCATAGAGTTTATATTATAGACAGGGTAGATAAACAGAAAACAAAATAAGTAAGTTCCATATTTTATTAGGTGACATATACTGTGGGTAAAAACAAGAGGTATCAAGTTTTTTCAGGGGGTCCTTTCCATAGGATTACGAGGAGGACCATGCAGTCATTGGGCAAAGGCTTGAAGAGTGTGAGAGGGAGGCATTTCAGAAAGAATAGGAGGTGAAGGGCTCTGAGCCCAGAGTGATGCTGGGGGATTTGGGACCAGGAAGAAGGCCCATGTGGCTGCACCAAAGGGAATGAGTCCAGGAGTGGCAGGCGATGACCTCAGAGGGTCCTGGGGAACCAGCAGTTAGGACCTGGAAGGTGCTTGGAATGACCTTGGTTTTTACTTTTGCATCAGGTGGTTTTTAACAGAGAAGTGACATGATCAGACTCAAGTTTTGAAAGAATCACCCAGGTTGTGTTGAGAAAAGACTGGGGCCAAAGCTGTACATTGTGAGTGAGAGTGTGTGTGTGAGTGTGCATGTGTGTGTTTGCGTGTGAGTGTGCATGTGTGTGTTTGCATGTGAGTGTGAGTGTGTACATGGGATGAGTGTGAGAGTGTGTGTGTGCACATATGAGTGTGTGTGGGGGGTGGGTGTGTATGTGTATGTGTGTGTGAATGTGTATGTGTGCACCTGCCAACCACCATGTGACTCTGGGTAAGGCGTGAGGCAACTTCATAGAGGAGGCCTACATCTCCTAAACTGTGAAGTGAGTATTGTCGTTTATAGGGTTATTCTGAGCATAGCATGGGAAAAGGATTTGAGAAACCTTACCATCAGTTATAAAACAGTGTAAGTGTTTAAGGGGCCCCAGAGTATTAGTAACCTATGTGGTTGAAGGGAACTACATTGATACTTCTTGAAATAGTAAGAATTTTTCAGTTTTATTTTTTGACATTAAGACCAAGTTGTAGGAGAGAGGGCAGTGGGGATGTGGATGGAGAATCAAAGAGACCTTATCTTAGGATCCAAACCACCATTAAATATAGGTAATGATTCAGAGAACTTGTTGGGATCTACACTTTATTCTGCATTATAGCATTTCTTGTGCTTCCGCAACAGGCTGTGGGCTGCATGTGGATAAGAACTGGGTGTTCCTAGGTATTGTATATAGTAGGCACCCAATCTATTGTTTTGTCATAGCTCTGACCTTGTTGCCAAGGGGAACAGAATAACGAAAAAGTCTAACAACCCCTTATATGGTTCTGACAGTTTGTTACTTTCACACTGTTTTCTGGTCTACAGCAAATTGTATCTACTATCATTCCGTTGTATTAAGAATGGTAAATTATTCTTCCTCCTTTCCCTCTTTCCCTAATCAAACACTTAAGTCTGTAAACATCTTCATGAAGTTCCTTCTGTGAGTTTTAACTGGAGATTAAACCTGAAGAAGGGGATTAGAATGATCTCAGGAAGTCTTTCAGTGGAAGGTTGATTCAAACTCCGAACTTTCTGTCTGCTTCCCTTCATTGTGGGCCACCGTCGATAAAATAAGAAACATGTGCCCTAGTTAAATGTGAATGCCTCAGTGTAACAGCGAACCCCCTGCTGCTGGACAGCCCTAAACTGTTTAAGCCTGTGTGTCCCTTGATTTCATGGGAGACTCTGCGAGACACAATCCTGCTGATGGCCAAACCACAGCGACAGTCTCTCCAACAAGGTAGACGTTGGATTTATGGTCAGAACAGTGCTCTTGGGGGCCATTAAAGTGGCAAGGTACCAGTTTTGGCTCTTCACTTTTAAGTCAGTACAAATTATGGATGATCCCATCTATGATTTTGAGCAAGCTCCCTATTTGATTATGATTTCTAGGGGCAGGTGGATCCGAATGCCACAGAGTGGCCATATCAGGGGACAGCGTTTCCTCTGACTACCCTTCTGCGGTGGATCAGGTGGTCCTGGCCTGCAAACCTTGTCAGCACATCTTTTCTGAAAGTCCAGTTGCATGCTCAGATCTGAGTGTCCAAGTCTTGCCGCTAGAGAGTAGTGCTGAAGAGGACAGCTCCCGCGGGTCCCTTAGCAGATGGCAGTCAACACCAACAGAAGCTTGGTGCTCTCTCCCTCACAGGGTGCAGAGGGCGAGCAGCCAGCGTCAGAGAGAGGAAGAGCATGCTCAGTACCAGTTCTGCTTCCCAGGAGCTGAGATGCTGGCCCCGACCTTCCCCTGTGAAAATGACTCTCTAAAATCAACACTCTCTGCCTGGCACCTGCTTACATCACCTTACTCGGTGACATCCTCATCTCAGGCTCTGATCCCAGATCATGCACAGATGAATGTATAAAAATGGCTGCAAGTGTCAGAAGAATGACATCTGAAATACAAGCAGTGAGTGCATCAGTATTTCAGGATTGATCATGGTGCAGATACTTGTTCTTAAATGCCAGCCAAAGTCATGTAAATGAATGGAAATGTGGAAACTTAGCCATTTCAACAATGGAAAACAATTTAAAGCTTATTTCAAAATAATATCCCATGAAGCGCTGTACCAATAACTTGTATAAAATGAAAGCACAGAGCAACATATTTTATAAATTATTAAGAAATAATTATGTCATTAATTTGAGGGCTATGAAAAATATCTAGTATTTATCTTTGCCTTTTAAATGGCCTTTAGAAATTGAGATATAAAAAGTCTTTAGAATTAGAACACAAGATTAACAGTATTATATCAGGGTAAATGGTCTTGAGGTTTTCTTCTTGGTATTTCCATTAGTCTTAATGCCCAAATCTTCTAATATAAATTCTACTCATCCACCCAAAATGTGCTAAGACATCATTGAAAACTTTGAGCTGTGCAATTACAAGAGAAATTATTTGGCAATTAGTATATGGAGCCACTTAGAGTCATAATCAGTTCATTAAATGACTTTGATTTAAAAAGGAGAGAGAAAGAAAAAGAAAGCAAAGATTCAGAGGTTTGGGGGACCTCTTAAGAGCAATGAGATAAGAACTTATTTTAAGAAAAGCAATACTGTACATGAGTTAATTGGCTGTTGAGGTTGGTGAATAGAGAATAGTAGCTAGAGAAGCATGGAAGAACGTTTGGATAAGTTGAGGCAGTTTGTACTATAAGTCAATATTTTATTTCTTTTTTCTTTGAGACAGGGTCTCGCTTTGTTGCTCCAGGATGGACTGCAGTGGCATGATCATAGCTCAGTGCTTCCTTGAGCTCCTGAACTCAAGGGATCCTCCTGCCTCAGCCTCCCAAAGTGCTGGGATTACAGGCATGTGCCGCCACTATTTTTTTTATTTTTTATTTCTTTTATTTTGTAGAGATGGATTCTTGCTATGTTGCCCAGGCTGTTCTCCAACTCCTGGGCTCAAGCAATCTACCCTCCTCACCCTCCCAAAGTGCTGGGGTTACAGGCATGAGCCATTGCGCCCAGCCAAGTCATTCCACTTTCTAAGTTCCCAGCTGCCTGTACCTAATGATTTTTGTGAATAAATGGTTTTCAGAACAACAAAAATGGGAAGCGATATCTCTTTCTAGCTAGATATTAGCTAATCATTGTTTGTGGTCAGTGTGCATGGAGATTAAATTAGTGCTTTAAATCCTTTGTGCCAGTGCTGCTCAGACAGGGGCTCAGTTGACTTCTTAAGCCACCATGGAGATCCATTTAAACGAAGCCATTTATCTTTGCCCTGTTTGGTTAAATCTTATTCCGTTTCTCCTCCAAATCCCTTCATCATGCAGATCTGACCACCCGCCTCCCCTGGATAAAATGGGATTACATAAACTTTGATGAAATGAGATTCGGCTGCAGAACAGCAGCTGTCAGACCCCCGTCCTCTGTTGAGTGCTCTGAGCATCTCGTGGGCCCCACATCCCCGGCAGCAGATGGTGGAGATAAATCAGTGAGGTTTTTGAGAGGCACAATTCTGCCTTGGTGCATTTACTCCTCTTCATTTTCCTTTTCCTTTCCTCTCTTGCCCTCACTTCCATAAACTCACAGTGCAATATCTTTTCTTCATATTTGTATAGTTCTTTAATATTTGAAACATAATTTCACTGGTGCTTTTTGATTTGCACATCCTCATAGCAGTCTTATGATAGATAATAAAACTATTTTACAGAAGTTGAAAAGATTGAGAAATTCAAGTTCTCATTATATTCCCAAGTCAAGGTGTACTTTTGGGTTTTTTGTTTGCTTGTTTTTTGAGACAGTCTCACTCTGTCACCCAGGCTGCAGTGCAGTGGTGCGATCATAGCTCACTGCAACCTTGACCTCCCTGGCTCGAGGGATCCTCCTGCCTCAGCCTCCCAAGTAGCTGGGACTACAGGTGCTTGCTGCTATGCCCAGCTAATTCGAAAAAAAAATTTTTGCAGAGATGGGGGTCTCACTGTGTTGCCCAGGCTTGTCTCAAACTCCTGGGCTCAGGGTTTCCTCCCACTTCAGCCTCCCAAAGTGCTGGGATTACAGGTGAGAGCCATTGCAACCAGCCTACCAGGGCGTACTTTTAAATAAACTTCTGCCTGACTAGAAGTTGGTTTTACCTTCACTGTGCAGGGGACATACACACAGGGGCTTAGCATTTTTCTATTTCAGGGGATTTTCCTATTATATATTTGTGTAATGTAGTACTTGGCTTGTGGGCAAAGCTAACCAGGCATGGGTGTCTGAATGACCAGCTCAACTTCACAGTGCTCATGAGGATGCAGAGAGGGCAGAGCCAAGTGAAGGAGGGAGGGACACTCTCTGGGTGAGCTTGAGCAGGTTGTCCAAATGTCCTGAGCCTGCGTTTCTCATCATACCTGACTTCTCGGGATTGCTGTGGGGTTGATGATGATGGTCCTCACGCCCAGCCGTTGCTGGCATGTGGCGCACGCACTTGCCTGTTAGCCACTGCGGTGCTCCTTGCTCAGAGCGTCAGCTCCTGAGGGGCTCCTCTGTGGCCCACATGCCCATGAGATATGTCTATACAGCTTCGCCCTGTGCTGAGATGACACCAAGTACCACCGCTTAGAGAGTACCTTTGCGTGCACCTGGCTACAGAGCTCCCCCCCCAGTCTCCACGCCTTCTTAGCAGGAGTGAGAGGGCTCCAGGGTTCTGGGCACCCTAGCAAGAGCCCTGATCCCCATCCCTTGATGCTCACAGCCTCAGCACCACAACCTGACTTGGAGATGGTGTGGTCCAATTCTATTGCACCCTCAAAAAGCCCAGGGCCAGTGGACTCCAGGGCACACTCTCACCTTCACCTTCTGGAGCACTTGTCTGGCCCTGTGGTCTGAAGCGCTCCTTGCTGTCTTGCTTCCCCTTCCTGGTAGAGGTCCTGCAGCCCTCTCCGGTGGTGGCTGTTTTCTTTCCCTCACTCCCATACCCTGGGCCTGGACATATGGCAGGTGTCCTTCCTGCGGCTTCCAGATCATCGTCCTCCCCTCCCCCTTGCCCTTCCTGATTACCCTGCTCTCCCTCCAGCAGCTACCTTCCCTTCCATGATGATGCTTCCTCTCAATTCTTCAGTTTCAGTATCATGGTTGATGTGCCTGCTCGTGACCTGGGCTCTTCTGATCGCAGTCTCCCTTTTCTCAGTGATCCTGCCTCACCCCCATTAGCTGACCTGGTCATTCCCAGTGACAGTGGCCCCTGCAAGGTCTCTGTTGCAAACACCCCAAGTGTGGCCGCCCTCACCTACTCTTTCCCACTTACTCTCTGGTGCTATGACCCCAGCCTTGGGGTCTCACCTCCATTCCCCGGGGTCACCTGTTTGTGCTCCCTCCCTCCCCAGCCTCGATTCCACAGCCCCTCATCACCCCTGCCTTGATGGCCTCCCTTGCCTTTCAAAGCCACTGCCTCACCCCTCACCTGGTCCAGTCAGAGATGCACGTGTTGGAGAAACATGCATGACATGTGTCCGTCCCTCTCTGTGTGTCCTCCCTGCCCCAGTCAAGTGGGCCCTGAGGCTGCTCCTTCCCTCCTGTCCATCTGGGGTGACGGACGGGCCTGAAAGTGACCTCACGGGACCACTTCTGCCTTCTCAGACCTCCCCACGGCTCCCCACCCCCACCCTAGATCTTCTCCTCCCAGAAGCCCAGACACCATGTGGAAGCTCCATGGATTTGGGACAAGCCTCCCATGTCTAGCCTCTACAGCACAATAGGCAGAAAGGAGGAGGGGGCAGAGCTCAATGGGTCCCCAGCCAGGGCCACCGCCTCATCCCCACCCTTTGTCCCCTAACCCTTTGTCCTGACCACCTCCCCCTGCCCAGGGCCCCAGGCTTTGGGAATGAGGCACCGCTCCAGCACTCCTGCCTCTTTCCTGCCCTATTCACTTTCACCGTAGTTGGCCCCATCTTCTTGTCTAGTCCTCTGCCTATTTATCCCCTAGAATGTGAACCTAGCAGGGCAATGACTTTTGTCTAGTTTGTGCACTGCTGGTTCCTCAGGTTTGGGGTGGGCACCTGGCCCAGCATAGAAAGCAGTAAGTCCTTATGTGCTGAATGGACAGATGGATGCCATTAGTGACCTGGCTTCCTAGTTCCTAGGAAGATAGAAACAATCAGATGAGAATTGCCACATGCCCCATCACCTCTACTACCAAGGAACTGTGCCTGATTCTCTCCTCTGTGTTGAAATGGTTCTATCTTACTGCCTTCTTGGCTTATTTGCTATTCGTCTATGCTGTGTGATTTTTGGATGATTTTAGGGTTTATGGTAGACATGGTTTTACCACACTCCACCTTTAAGTGGAGTTACACCCTTCACATAGAGTGTAAGAACCTCACACCAGTAGACTTCCATTTCTCCCTCCATGACTTTGCACACTTGGCTTGCATTGTACTTCTACATATGCTATAAACTCACAGGACAGTGTGGTATTTCTAATTTAAAGGCATCAAAATAACCTAAGAAGTATCTATATGTACCCACCTGGTGACCATTTTCAGGGCTCTCATTCCTTGTTGCAGATCCATGTTTCCATCTGGTATTATTTTCCTTCCTACTGAAAGACTGCGCATAACAGGCTTTGGAGTACAGATCTCCTGGTGATAAATTCTTTCCCTTTTTATATGTCGACAGAAATCTTCATTTGACTTCTGTTTTTGAGAGATACTTTTCCTGGGAATGGAATTCTATGGTGATTGTCTTCACCCGTTCTTGTCTATGACATATGTACACATTGACTGCTCCTCTGTCTCACTGAGTTCTTGTCTATTACACAGGTGAACATTGATTGTGCCTCTGTTTCAGTGAGTTCTTGTCTATTACACAGGTACACATTGAATACTCCTCTGTTTCAGTGAGTTCTTGTTTATTACACAGGTGCACATTGATTGCTCCTCTGTTTCAGTGAGTTCTTGTCTATTACACAGGTACACATCGATTACTCCTCTGTTTCAGTGAGTTCTTGTCTATTACACAGGTACACATCGATTACTCTTCTGTTTCAGTGAGTTCTTGTCTATTACACAGGTACACAGTGATTACTCATCTGTTTCAGTGAGTTCTTGTCTATTACAAAGGTAGACAGTGATTGCTCCTCTGTTTCAGTGAGTTCTTGTCTATTACACAGGTACACAGTGATTACTCCTCTGTTTCAGTGAGTTCTTGTCTATTACACAGGTGCACATTGATTACTCCCCTATTTCAGTGAGTTGTTGTGTATTACACAGGTACACATTGAGTGCTGCTCTGTTTCAGTGAGTTGTTGTCTATTACACAGGTGCACATTGATTGCTCCTCTGTTTCAGTGAGTTCTTATCTATTACACAGGTACACGTTGATTGCTCCTCTGTTTCAGTGAGTTCTTGTCTGTTACACAGGTACACATTGATTACTCCTCTGTTGGAGTGAGTTCTTGTCTATTACACAGGTGCACATTGATTACTCCTCTGTTTCAGTGAGTTCTTGTCTGTTACACAGGTACACATTGATTGCGCCTCTGTTTCAGTGAGTTCTTGTCTATTACACAGGTACACATTGATTACTCGTCTGTTACAGTGAGTTCTCGTCTATTACACAGGTACACAGTGATTGCGCCTCTGTTTCAGTGAGTTCTTGTCTATTACACAGGTACACAGTGATTACTCCTCTGTTTCAGTGAGTTCTTGTCTATTACACAGGTACACAGTGATTGCTCCTCTGTTTCAGTGAGTTCTTGTCTGTTACACAGGTACACATTGATTGCTCCTCTGTTTCAGTGAGTTCTTGTCTATTACGTAGGTACACATTGATTGCGCCTCTGTTTCAGTGAGTTCTTGTCTATTACACAGGTACACAGTGATTACTCCTCTGTTTCAGTGAGTTCTTGTCTATTACACAGGTACACAGTGATTACTCCTCTGTTTCAGTGAGTTCTTGTCTATTACACAGGTACACAGTGATTACTCCTCTGTTTCAGTGAGTTCTTGTCTATTAGACAGGTACACATTGATTACTCCTCTGTTTCAGTGAGTTCTTGTGTGTTACACAGGTGCACATTGATTACTCCCGTATTTTAGTGAGTTCTTGTGTATTACATAAGTGTGTGTTGATTGCTCCTCTGTGTCAGTGAGTTCTTGTCTATTTCATAGGTGCACATTGATCACTCCTCTTGTCTATTACACAGTTGCATATTGATCACTCCTGTTGTCTATTACATAAGTGCACATTGATTACTCCCCTGTTTCAGTGAGTTCTTGTCTATTACTTAGGTGCTCATTGATTGCTCCTCTCTATGAGTGTTTCTGGCTTGCATTTTTCCTGATGAGAAGCATACTGGCATTCTTTTGTTTCCCCCTCTGCATCTCCTGTGTCTTCTCTCTGGCTGAGTTGAAGATTTCCTCTTTTCTCTAGTTTTAAGCAATTTTTAGTTTTCTTCATGTTCCTTATGCTTGCAACCCACGGAATTTCTTACATCTATGGGTTTGGAGTTTTCATCGAATTTGGAAAAAGTTTGGCCACGATTTCTTCTCACCTTTTTTCTATCTGCCTTTCTGAGTCCTCTTTCTGAGGGTCTCTAGTTACATGTTTATTAGGCTCCATGAGGGTTCCCCACAGCCCAGTGATGCCCTGTGTCTATTTTGAATCCTTTGTCTTTCTGTGTCTCATGCTGTATCTTCAGGTTTCCCAAATCTTCCTTTCCACAATGGCTAATCTGCTCTTCGTCCCATCCAGTGCAATCTTCATCTCAGACATTGTGGTTTTTACATCTAGAAGTTCAATTTTTATCCCTTCTATGTCCTCCATGTCTCTGCTTAGCATATTCAATCTTTCCTTTAGCTTCTTGAATATATGGAACACAGTTCTCATAGCCTCTCATGTCCTTGTCTAGTCATTACATAATTTTTCTTTCTTTCTTCGTTCTTTCTTTCTTTCTTTGCTTTCTTTCTCTTTCTTTCTCTCTTTCTTTCTTCTTTCTCTTTCCCTCCCTCCCTCTCTTTCTTTCTTTCTTCTTTCTTTCTCTCTCTCTTCCCTTCTCTTCCCTTTTCTTTCTTTCTTTCTCTCTCTCTCTCTCTTTCTTTCTTTCTTTCTTTCTCTTTCTTTCTTCCTTTCTTCTTTCTTTCTTTTTTTCTTTGAGACAGAGTCTCACTCCGTTGCCCAGGCTGGAGTGCAGTGGTGCAATCTCACTCACTGCAACTTCCACCTCCCAGGTTCAAGCGTTTCTCCTGACTCAGCCTCCCAAGTAGCTGGGATTGTAGGCACGCACCACCACACCGGCTAATTTTTGTATTTTAGTAGAGACAGGGTTTCACCATTTGGCCAGGCTGGTCTTGAACTCCTGACCTCAAGTGATCCACCTGCCTCGGCATCCCAAAGTGCTGGGATTACAGGCATGAGCCACCATGCCTGGCAGCCTGTGTTATTTCTAATCTGGTTTTGATTGGTTGATTTTTCTCCTTATTATGGGTCATGTTTTCCTGCTTCTTTACCTGCTTGGTCATTTTTGATTGGATGCCACCCATTGTACATTTCACCTTGTGTGTTTCTGTAAATGTTATTTTTTTATGACACATAGGTAAGTTATTTGGAAGCAGATTGCTCCATTTGGGTCTGATGTTTGAGCTTTGTGAGACGGGACCAGATCAATGTTTAGTTGGAGGCTAATTTTATCCCACTTTGGAGACATACCCCTTCTGAGGACTCCCTCTGATTCCCTGTGAACTTTGATTTTTCTTTTTCCCACTTTGGCTGCTGGTAATAGAAACTGTTTCCGGCTCTGTAGGAGCACCACATACTTTTGTTGTTGTTGTTGTTCTCCAAACTTTTCAGATCATAGTTTCTCTAAACCTGCCTTCTCATGCATATGCTGATTAGTGAAAGACTTAACCCATCTATGCCTGAGGTTGCAATGCTTTGAATTTTTGCAATCAGACCTTGGCGATGACCTTGAGGAGTAGGATATAAATAAGTCCCACATGTTTAGCATTCCAATAATGGAACACTAGGCATAAATGGGTTTTAAGGGGGACCCACTGTGGATCTCCAGGGCATGTGAGCTCTCTCTCTTCCAAAGCTCTCTCCTCCACAGAACCTGCCCCACACAGGTTAGCACCTTGGGCTTCTCAGGCTCTCAGCCCCATCTCCTCAATTCAGAGAGACCACTGGGCTCCTCCTGGAGCACGGCTTGTAAATTCTCTCCAGGCCATAACCTAAGACAATTATGTGGCTTGATTCATTGATTTCCCATCTCTCAGGTGTCCCTATCCTTTGTTGCCTGATGTTAAATGTTTTGAAAGTCATTTTTTTCACATATTTTGTCTGATATTTTATTTCATGCAAGAGAATAAATAAAGTCCCTCTTACTTCACCTTGGCTAGAAGCAGAAATCTGTCCTACTGTTTTAATTTCTATGGATTTGACCTTAGAACCCTTGGGATTACAGATAACAACTTGAAGGAAGTCCTGAGAAGCAAGCATCTCAAAATTATACACGGAATCAAGTTTAGAAAGTAATAACAGCACAGTGATTATGATATGTTTATTGTGATCAAGATAAATCACATTTTATAGTAAATAAACCTTAACATATAAAAACGGGCTATAAAATTAGTTTGGGGGTAAAGAAAATTGGAAACATGTCTTACTAAAATATTAGAATTAGAACTGGTTAGGAAGAATAATGTATAAATCAACATGCACTCCAGGTTTATAAATAATTACTTTTGGCTGGGCTATTAATATTTATAAAAATTAATTTGTTAGCAATTAAATCAAAATGGGTGACATAAAGACCTCACATCTTAAAAATGTTTGCATGAATTGCTTAATTATAATATTCCAGCAGAATGATGGTGTGATCGAGGTATAAATGAAGAATTAAGATGATGATGAAATGGGGCAGCTGCTATGGAAAACACCAGTGGCTCTTCAAAAAATTAAGCACACAATTACCAGATGGTCCAGCAACCCCACTTCTTGATTTATACCCAAAGGAACAAAAAGCAGGGACTCAAAGGGGTATTTGTACATCCTTGTTGGCAGCAGCATTCTTCATAATCGCCAAAAGGGGGAGGCAGCCCGAGAGTTCCCTGACAGATGACTGGATAAGCAACACGTGGTTCGTCCGCACTCTGGAATAGCATCAGCCTTAAGGGAAGGATTCCCTTTAATTCAGGACAGTTCTGCTCTGCAATAACCATTGGACTGTTTTGTTACGCTAAGTTTTTTTGTCATTGTAAAGCTGAAGCCCTACAAGTTTTCTCTATGAAATACTCTACTTTGTGCTTAAAAGAAAAAAGCAACAGCTGCCCAGGCTTATGTGTGCTCACGGCTCAGGAGCAACACCCATCTCTGGAAGAGAATGCTCAGGGGTTGCAGCTGATTCAGGCTTCATCTGAATCCGTAATGAGAAGGTGCTGCCAAGAAAAAGCTCACGGCACCAGCAGAAGTGTGAGGTCCGGAAGGGAAGGAGAGCGACAGCTCAGCGCGCTTCGTGTCCCTTCCTCTGGCCTCACACAGAGCCTGCGCTGAGTTCCAGGTCCTCACTGTGAAAAAGAAGCTGCCTGCAGGTGTGTCGGAGGGGAGTGAGTGCGAAAGCCTCGCTGGGCGGGGGAGGTTGCAACCGTGTGGAATGTTCTGCCTGGAAAACTGAGGGTGTTGGGGGATGAGGCAGGGGCTCTGTTTAAATAGCAGAAGGGTCACAGCAACAAACGGGCTCTCAACAGACAAACTATTTTTAAATCACAAAATAAACAGAGCGAGAGGGAGGAGATCTTCTCAGAGTAAAAATCCCTTCCACTCTCCCCCTCGGCATAGCTCCCAGGGGACTGGAGGAGCAGGTACTGGGGACAATAGTGGGTCCTGTCTCGGGATTAATTCCAAATCCAGAAATGCCCCTCTCCTGTGAAGCGTTCAGTGGGCAGAAAGCTGGGGTTGACACAAAGACAGCTGGGCACTGTTGCTGCCCTAAAGGTGCTCCTGTTCAGCGGAAGAACTCAGACATCTTTAGGCAGAGTCAGCAACATGTGAGAAGGGCTCAAGGAGGGAAGGACAGGGCGCTGTGATGCTCTGAGGAGGATGAGCCTCTGGTTGGGGTGTGTCGTGGGCTGGGGTGAAAGATGGATTTGTGGGTGCAGGCAAAGACCTGGCTGGAAGGACAGGAGTTGGGCGCTTGATGGGAAGGTGGAGATGGGAGGAGAATCGTGGGGGCAGGAAAGATAGGCTAGGACCCCCATTAGACCACAGAGGGCTTAAGGGATGAGATGCGCGCCCTGTGGGAATTTGGGTGGCCTGGCCCCAGCCTCAGACTCAATGAGAAAGCCGATGTGGGAGCCACACACCTCCCCTGAAAGAGGCGCCTCTCACAGGGTCCCCACAGGCACGGAGGCCCAAGACCTGTCCGTCAAGGGGACAGCCCCACCACCTGCACACCAGGCAGATCCGTAGGGTGGGAGTGTGTGTCATGGCGGCTCCGTCTCCGGCTGGCTCATGGGCACTGTTGGCTTGTGCAGGACCCTCGGGGCACATGCAATGGCCAGGGAGGACTAGCGGGTCTGGAAAGGAGGGGCAGCAGGTGACATCACTGACCCCGTCAGCTCAGGGGATGAAACTTCCCTCCAGGGAGCTCGCCCCTCCGGGACCACACTGTTCCTCCTGTCTCCTGGGGATGGGAGGGACCCCAGCCAGAAGGGTCAGCCACTTCTGCCACTTCTCCTGGCCCTTCTCGCACCCTGGGCAGCCCATGCTTGGCCCCAACCTCCCAGCCAGTGCAGGAGACCCGGGAGAGCAGCTCTGTCTTGGACACAGAGACCACTCTCTGCGGGCGGTGGGTCAGTCCTGTGGCCACTCTAAGAAAATGGCCGCGGCCTGGGTGGCCGACACAGAAACACATTGCCCTGCAGTTCTGGAGGCTGCAAGTCCAAGATCAAGCTATCTGCAGGGCGAGTCCTTCTAAGGCCATGAGGGAGAATCTGTTCAGGCCTCCCGAGCATCTGGGGCTCGCTGAGGCCTTTGGCTCCTTCATTGTCCTGTGGTTCCCACCTGCATGTCTCTCCATGGGGCCATCTTCTCACACAGACACCAGGCACAGGGGGCCAGGGCCCACCATCCTCCAGTGTGACCTCATCTCAACCAATGACATCTGCAAACCTCATTTCCAAATAAGGCCACATCCTGAGATACTGGGGTTAGGACTTCGACATACGAACTTGGCAGGGGACACAATTCAACACATGACAGGTGGCGTTTCCGGCCTGGGAACAAGTTGCTGAAGCTTTTTCATCTTTCCTGTCCTCCTGCCACAGAAACCTGTATCCATACCCTTCCTCCACCCTCGCTGCCCGGTCCACTGCCGCCATCCCGAGGGAGCCACCTGGCTCTCCCTGCAGAGCGGGTGGGGACACGGGCTGCAGGTAGCAGGCCAGGGTGGCCGTGAGGGGCATTCAGGTGTTCCTATCCTTCCCCCTCTGCCATCGACGCTGCATCAGCACCACTTTCCCTCTGTGGAAACCAGGCTGTTTTGTGATGTTTTTGCCTAAAGTTATCCTCCTGGCACGTAATCTCTTTATAGAAAGGCCAGCAAGCAGGAGATTTTCACATGCTTTTTAAAATAGACTTATTTGCTTCATGATTTCCACAAGCTGCCTATTAGCTCCTGAGAAAGTGAATATGACAAATGACCTCGCACCTCGTTCCAGGGAGGAGACTCATGCTCCTATCACCTGCTTGCACACAGTACCTGTCACTCAACCTCTGCTGGCCGAGGCCCTGCCTCCAAGCCTGCTATTTCCTCCAGTAATGCAGGCCCCATCACTTCATTAATGCTCATTACAGAATAAGAGGAATTTCACCTCTGACCTTCAGCTCCACCCACCATGGCTATCTTGCCAAATTCTAACTTCAGTCACAGAAACAGCTAACCACCGCCAAAGGGGAGTTCCCGCCCCAGACCCCTTTACACTTATGAATACTTCAAAAGATCATAAATGTTTTCAGAAGAAATCACAGCCAATCAAGAAGCCATTTGCAGAGCCCTTGGGTTAAAAGCTTCACACGCGAATGCCTAGAACAGCCATCCGCCCTCCAAACTCTGTCCCGGATGTGGTGGCCTGGCCAGATGCTGCAGGGGTTCCCTGCTGTATTAGTCCATTTTCATGCTGCTGATAAAGACATATCCAAGACTGGAAAGAAAAAGAGGTTTAATTGGACTTAGAGTTCCACATGGCTGGGGAGGCCTCAGAATCATGGTGGGAGGTGAAAGGCACTTCTTACATGGCAGTAGCAAGAGAAAATGAGGAAGAGGCAAAAGTGGAAACCCCAATAAACCCATCAGATCTTGTGAGACTTACTCACTATCACGAGAATTGCACAGGAAAGACCAGCCCTCATGATTCAATTACCTCCCCCTGGGTCCCTCCCACAACTCATGGGAATTCTGGGAGATACAATTTAAGTTGAGGTTTAATGGGGACACAGCCAAACCATATCACCTGCCTTCCTGAGGCCCTGACTCTGTGTCATGGATCTTTCATGCCTGGGCCCCTTGGAGTGTGTTTCCACAAGGTGTGGACTGCACACACTCCATTGGCTCTCAAGAAAGCTAGTGTTGCCCTGTTTCCTCAAGACAATTTGACCACTCAACAACCAAATCGGCCACAGCCCACCAAAGGCCCACAGGGACCTCTGCCATGGTCCCCTCTGGCCACCAGGGTCTGAGAAGCAGACATTGGATTCCCCATCTCAAGGTGCTGCATCTCCAGTAGGAGCTGGAAAGCCATGAGTTCCTGTTCCAGGGCTCAACAGAAGAGCAGGGAAAGTGACTGAGAGAGCAAAAGAGGACCAGGGCACGTCCTGGAAGACTTCCTGGAGGAGGCAATCCATGAGAAGGATTCCAATGGGCAGAAAAATATGGGAAGAGATTTGAACAAACATGAGCCAAATAGCAGGGTACCGGACATCTCCAGGCTGTTTCAAGAATTCATTCCTTTTGATCAGTAAGTCTTTGTTAGTGCTGAGGGCAGGCAGGGCACGATGTCAGTGCTGGGACAGAGGAAACAGAACAGCCCTAGCCTTGTGGAGTCCATGCCTTGTGAAAAGAGACTGTAGGCAGGTTAATAAGTAACCAGTCGGAATAAGTTGTGAGGCACCGAGGCCTTGGGACCTGGAACACTGGGGTGGGAGATCTTCCTGAGACAGGTGGTTGTGGGGCGGCGTCTGCAGGGTAACTCACAGCAGAGACCCCCAGGGTGGGAGGTGGCAGCGTGGCCCAGGGAGAGCCAGGCCCTGAGTCAGGGCTGGAGTCCAGAGAGAGGGGATGGAGTGAGCGGGAGCTGGGTTTTACGAACTCCCGTTGGAGGAAAAGAATGCGGCTATACTCACAGTGTGGTGGGACACCGGTGGAGGGTCTTGAACACAGGAGTGGTGCAATCCTGGTTGAGTTTTGGGGGTCACCCCCGTTGCAATGGGTGTGGAGCAAGCTCTGTAGCAGGACGATCAGCAGCAGTTTAGTTGCCCCCCAGAGGCCGGATTGGACAGGCTGGATGGGAGCAAGTGTGCTTGGTGTGGAGAGAAGCAGTGGGACTCGAGATATCTGGAGGGGAAATGGGCAGGACTGGGCACCGGCTGGAGGTAGGCATGAGAAAGAAGGATAACTCGGCTGCCTTCCCAGTTCCTGTTCTGAGCAGCTGGATGGCGTGTGGACCTGGAGTGGTGCAGTCACAGGCACATCGAGAGCGAGAGGCAATGCAAGTGGAAATGCCAAAGCAACAGAGGGATGCAGCAGGTGACAAGCTGGGCAACCCGGAGTTACCTGGGGCCTGTCGAGTAAGCCCTGAGGAAGGCGGCTGCTCATGAGAAGGGGAGTGGCCAGAGAGCAGGGCGGGGAGCCTGGGTGCGGTGGGGACAGACAGCGGGTAGGGGGGCCCGGATGCAGTGGGGAAGGGGAGATGTCGGCTGACTCAAGTCACTGTTAAAAGTCATGGAACACCTCTCAATACAAACGAGCCTTTCTCCAGGGTGCACACCTCTCTGCAGCCGCCCAGAGAGCCACACTGCAGCCTGCTTCTCCTCACCTGGAGGCTGGAGTCCGTTCCCAAATTTGCTCCCAATTCCTGTAAACCTGGGTAGGTTCAGGTGCTAAGAGGAAAAATCCCAGCATAGAAAGAGGAAGGACGTTTGTCAGAGAAGTCACTGAGCATGGAAAGAGGAAGGACGTTTGTCAGAGAAGTCACTGAGCATGGAAAGAGGAAGGACGTTTGTCAGAGAAGTCACTGAGCATGGAAAGAGGAAGGACGTTTGTCAGAGAAGTCACTCAGCATGGAAAGAGGAAGGATGTTTGTCAGACAAGTCACTCAGCATGGAAAGAGGAAGGACGTTTGTCAGAGAAGTCACTCAGCATGGAAAGGGGACGGATGTTTGTCAGAGAAGTCACTCAGCATGGAAAGGGGAAGGACGTTTGTCAGAGAAGTCACTCAGCATGGAAAGGGGAAGGACGTTTGTCAGAGAAGTCACTCAGCATGGAAAGAGGACGGACGTTTGTCAGAGAAGTCACTCAGCATGGAAAGAGGAAGGACGTTTGTCAGAGAAGTCACTCAGCATGGAAAGAGGAAGGACGTTTGTCAGAGAAGTCACTCAGCATGGAAAGAAGAAGGACGTTTGTCAGAGAAGTCACTGAGCATGGAAAGAGGAAGGACGTTTGTCAGAGAAGTCACTCAGCATGGAAAGAGGAAGGACGTTTGTCAGAGAAGTCACTCAGCATGGAAAGAGGAAGGACGTTTGTCAGAGAAGTCACTCAGCATGGAAAGGGGAAGGACGTTTGTCAGAGAAGTCACTCAGCATGGAAAGGGGAAGGACGTTTGTCAGAGAAGTCACTGAGCATGGAAAGAGGAAGGACGTTTGTCAGAGAAGTCACTCAGCATGGAAAGGGGAAGGACGTTTGTCAGAGAAGTCACTCAGCATGGAAAGAGGAAGGACGTTTGTCAGAGAAGTCACTGAGCATGGAAAGAGGAAGGACGTTTGTCAGAGAAGTCACTCAGCATGGAAAGAGGAAGGACGTTTGTCAGAGAAGTCACTCAGCATGGAAAGGGGAAGGACGTTTGTCAGAGAAGTCACTCAGCATGGAAAGGGGAAGGACGTTTGTCAGAGAAGTCACTCAGCATGGAAAGAGGAAGGACGTTTGTCAGAGAAGTCACTCAGCATGGAAAGAGGATGGACGTTTGTCAGAGAAGTCACTGAGCATGGAAAGGGGAAGGACGTTTGTCAGAGAAGTCACTGAGCATGGAAAGAGGAAGGACGTTGGTCAGAGAAGTCACTCAGCATGGAAGTGCCTTGAAGCTCCCCGAAGGCTGTGGAAAGCTCCTCCACGTCTTTGTTCTCCCATGAGGCTCATGGTCCCAGAGCGTGGTCTAATTCCTGAGGCCAGCAGGCCTGGGTTCTGTGCCTGTGTCTCTGGACTTCCAGCACTAAGTCGCGGGCAGGCTTGTGCGGGAACCCCTGAATATCCGGAGGCCCAGAGACCCAGAGGCCCAGAGACCCAGAAGCCCTGGACGTGAGGCCTGACTTCCTGCTTACCAGCTCCGAGGTGGTCTTGGGGTGTGGTCACCCCACAGTCTCTGAGGCAGACCCCCACTGTCCCTCTGAGGACAGGTCTCCAGGGCCCAGTTTCCCTTTGCCAGGCAAATGGGGCTGCCCAGCTCCAGAGCCTAGTCTGCCACTCCTGGCTGAAGGGTGGCCAGGGCCAGTTGAAGCCTGAACCCTCCTTTAGGTAGCATGGAACATTCCAGAGACATAATCTGTCTGCCCTTTTCTCTCTCAGACAGTGGGAGTGTTTCCTCTTTTTGCAGTTACGTGTCAGCAGATTGCTTTCTTTTAGGAAAGGGTTCATCTCACCGGTGACTTTGTGCAGAAGAGAGCAGGCGGGAACGGGAAAAGCGCACGTAAGATCCCGCCAGGCCCTCGAGGCCCCGCATGGCTGATGAAGAACATGCCTGTGTTTCCGGCCAAGGTGGTTTCCTGCCAGGACAAATGAGCCCGAGTCGCTCCACTTTCCCTGGGCCCACATAGCCGGCCCTTGGGGGACATTGAAGCAGTAGCCCCAGCCTCACCACGAGGCTGCCCAGGGAGGAAGACTGAGTCCTCCACTGTGCAGGGACCACATGGGGCAGCTCTGTTTGAGAACTGATGGGTGGTTTTGCTAAATGGAGCAGAGCGAGGAGCTCCGGAAGCTTCCATGTCAGGGGAGGGAGCTGCAGATTGGCACAAACCCATGGGAGAGGGCTCCTCAGAAGACAGAGCATGGCTGAGCTGGCAATTCTCCACCCTCATGGCTGTGCCTGGGACCCTCTATGCTTTCTGCACTCTGAGGAAACCTTCACATGCCTCAGATGGGTCCAGAGATATGCACCCACCACCCTGGCCCCATGCGCTGTTGCGTCTCACAGCAGAGAGCAGAGGAAGCACCTGTTCGGTCCAGGGGCCCCACATCTCCAGTTGGGAAGCTGGGGCAGGCTTTTCAGGGTACCCCACTGGGCCACCCAGGGGTCCAGGCTCAGCATAGTCATGGTTCTGGCATAGGACCCTGAAAAGAACTGAATTCTAGTTTTACATTGAGCCCAAGACCAGCTCAGGCCAAAGCCTCACTCATTTGCAAACACTGATGTGGCACCTGCCATGGTGCCATGAAGGGCCAGAGGTCAGGCAGGTGGGGAGATAATGCCCTTCCCCAAGAGGTATAATGCCCTTCCCAAAGGGGTATAAGTCCCACGGTTGTGGGGCCTGAATATCGGTCCTACCCTTTCCCAAGGAACTCAACAGCTGCACCCAGGGACAGCAGGGACACCAGGACTTAGGGTACAAGACACAGGCAGAGGCCCCTGAGCTTGGACGCTGGCCCCAGCTATGCAGCTGTGTGGCTCGAGTCAGCTCCCAAACCTCAGTCGCACATCTGAAAATGAAGACTAATTGCCCACTAAGGGTTGGGAGGACAAACTGGGTCTTTGAATTCCTGGAAATCTGGAGACTAGTCAGGAGGCCGCTGCAGGCAGAAATGTCCTATACAAGAAGAAAGAAGTGGAAATACACCTCATGTGCTGGAGGATGATGGAAACCGGTTGCAGGTGGTCCCGGCGACAGGTCTTTTGTGGCTGTGCGCCAAGCCAGGAGGAGCTGGTTCCATGATCTGGGTGGACAGACCTGGCAGCAGGTGCTGTTCAACTCTTCTATATCATTATTGATTTTCTGTCCATATGTTCTATCAATTATTGACGATATTGGAATCTCTGTTGACAATTATGGATTTGTCTAGTTCTTGTTGTGGTTCTGTCAGATTTCGCTTCGTGTATTTTGAAGCTCTATAATAAGATAAATGAACAGTTAGGATTGTTATGTCCTTTTGATGAATTGATCCCTTTATCATTATGAAATGATCATTCATTTCTTTATCCCTGGTGATATTCTTTGCTTTGAAGTCCACTTTGATGAGTAAACGCTCCAGATTTATGGTTGATTAGTCTTAGCATGGTGTATCTTTTTCCATCCTTTTACATTTAATATTTTTTTGTCTTTCTATATAAAGTGGGTTTCTTGTAAGCATCATAGACTTGCTTTTCATCAAAGCTGACATCTGCCTTTTAATTGAGGCATTTAGACAGTGTAGATTTCATATGATGATTGATATGGTTCAGCTTAAGCTTATCATCTATTTGTCTCATCTGTTTTTTGTTCCCCTTTTAGCCCTCTTTTAGATTAATTGAATAGTTTCTATGATTCCATTTTATCCACTCATATAGCTTATTAGCTATAATTCTTTCTTTTTTTTTTTTGAGACAGTCTCGCTCTGTCACCCAGGCTGGAGTCCAGTGGCGCAATCTCAGCTCACTGCAAGCTCCGCCTCCTGGGTTCACGCCATTCTCCTGCCTCAGCCTCCAGAGTAGCTGGGACTACAGGCACCCGCCACCACGCCCGGCTAATTTTTTGTATTTTTAGTAGAGACGGGGTTTCACCGTGTTAGCCAGGATGGTCTCAATCTCTTGACCTCATGATCCACCCACCTCGGCCTCCCAAAGTACTGTGATTACAGGTGTGAGCCACCACGCCCAGCCCTATAATTCTTTCTTTTGTTATTTCAGTGATCGCCTTAGGGTCTATATGCACCTCTAAGTTATGACGGTCTGTCTTGAAGTAATACACGACTTTAGGTATAGTATAAAAACCTTACAATAGTATACTTTCACATCTTCACTCCCAGCCTTGATGCTAAGGTTGCCATTCATTTTACTTATACATATGTTAGGAACCTCATGCTCTGTTATTATTTTTGTTAAATGGTCAATTTTATTTTAAAGAGATTCTGTATAATAAGAAAACTATCAATATATTTACTCACATAGTTACTGTTTCCGGTACTCTTCATTCCTCTGTGTAGATCCGAATTTCCGTTTGGTGTCATTTTTCTTCTGATGGGACTTTCTTGAACATTTCTTGTAGTGTGTCTGCTGGTGAAAAATGCTTTCAGCTTGAGTTCCTCTGAAAAAAGACTCTGTTTGACCTTTAGTTTCGGAAGGTAATGGAGACAGGCGTAGAGTTTTAGGCTCATGGCATTTTCGTTTTTGTAATTTAAATGTGTTACTCCACCATCTTCTTGCCCGTATTGTTTCTGATGAGAAATCTGCTCTCATCTTATCATCCGTCCCCTGCATGCAAAATGCCACTTTTCTCTGGTCACTTTTAAGATTGTCCTGTCCATCACTGGCTTTGAGCCGTTTGATTATGACCTGCCTTTGGTGTGGTTTTCTTCACGTAGTTTCCTCAAGATTAAGGCTCATTGAGCTTATTGGGTCTATCAGTTTATAGTTTTCATCAAATTTGGAAAATTTTTTGACCATTACTGCTTCAAATATATTTTCTATCCCACTTTCTCTCCTCTCCTTCAGGGACTTCAATTACACATATATTAGGCCACTTGAAGTTGTACCATATCTCACTGATACAATTTTCACTTAAAAAAACACCATAAAGGCACATGCATGCGTATGTTTGTTGCAGCACTATTCACAATAGCAAAGAGGTGGATCAACCTAAATACCCCACAATGGTAGACTGGATAAAGAAAACATACACCATAGAATACTATGCAGCCATAAAAAAGCATGAAATCATGTCCTTTGCAGCAACATTGATGGAGCTGGAGGCCATGATCCTAAGCAAATTCACGCAGGAACAGAAAACCAAATACCATGCTCTCACTTATAAGTGGCAGTGAAACAACGAGGACACATGAACACAAAGAGGAGAACAAGAGACAACAGGGCCTGCTTGAGGGTGGAGGGTGAGAGGAGAGAGAGGATCATGAAATTACCTATTGGGTACTATGCTCATTACCTGGGTGATGAAATAATCTGTACACCAAACCCCTGTGACACACAGTTTACCTACGTAACAAACTGCACACGCACCTTGAACCGAAAATAAAAGTTAAAAAGGGCCGGGTGCGGTGGCTCCCGCCTGTAATCCCAGCACTTTGGGAGGCCGAGGCGGGCGGATTGCGAGGTCAGGAGATCGAGACCATCCTGGCTAACACGGTGAAACCCCGTCTCTACTAAAAATACAAAAAAAAAAAAAAAATAGCTGGGAGTGGTGGCAGGTGCCTGTAGTCCCAGCTACTCGGGAGGCTGAGGCAGGAGAATGGCGTGAACCCAGGAGACAGAGTTTGCAGTAAGCGGAGGTCGCACCACTGCACTCCAGCCTGGGCTATAGTGAGACTCCGCCTCAAAAACAAAAACAAAAACAAAAAAAACAAAACTTAAAAAGAAGAAACTTGGCCCAACTTCTTCTCAAAAAGAAAAAATGACTTTTTTCCCCTCTATGTTTCATTTCGGAGAGCTTCTATTACCGTGTCTTCAAGTTCACTAATATTTTATTCTGTAACGTGTAACCTGCCATGAATCCATCCAGTGTGTTTTTCATTTCAGCCATTATAGTTTTCATCTTTAAAACTTTAATTTGTCCTTTTTATATCTTCCACATCTTTACTCCACTTTTAAAACATATGGAATACAGTTATGGTAACTTTTATTTCTTTGTCTGCTAATTCTAACATCTGCATCAGTTCTGGGTCTGTTTTGATTGATTTTTCTCCTTATTATAGGACATATTTTTCTGTTTCTTTATCTGCCTGGTAATCTTTGATTGGATGCCAGATATTGAGAATTTCATCTCGTTGGGTGCTGGGTGTTTTTGTATATCTGCACATATTCTTGAGGTTTGTTCTGGGATGCGACTGAGTTTCTTGATCCTCTTGGATCTTACTTTTGAAGTTTGTTAGGTGGAACCGGAACCTCGTTTACACTAAGGGTACTTATTCTCCAATACTCAGGCAAGTACTGATACGCCACCCGATGTCCTCTGAGATTTCCAGTTTGTCATGTGGGCACAGGTGCTATTTGCAGACCGATGTGAGTGCCAGGCATTATTTCCTTTCATCTTTAAGGTGATTCTTTGCTCGGTCTTGGGCAGTTTCCTCACACACACCCGCCAATCCTGAAGGTGAGCCTCTGCAGATCTCTGGATTCTCTCCTCTCTGGGACTCTGCCCTGCCAAGGGTAGTTGCACTGGTCTCCCCGAAATCTCTATCTTCCCAACTCAGAGAGTCTGCTGGGCTCTGCCTGAGTGGAGGAGATGCCTCCTTCTTGTTCTGTGGCCTGAAAACTCAAGGCAGTGCATTGGGCTACCATAGGGCTCAATGGTTTCCTTCCCATCCCACAGGGATCACTGTCCTTCACTGCCTCCTTCCAGTGTTCGGAAGACCGTTGTTTTTCATATTTGGTCTGCTTTTTGTGTGTTTTTGTTTCCTATGGAGGGTAAATTTGGTCTGTGACAAAGTCTTTGTGCTGTGGTTCTCTCCATCTGCGCTAGGTTGGCCTTCCTCATCTCAATGCCCCCATGCCTGACATGGCACCTGACATTCAGTCCATCTACACTAGGTCAGCCTTCCTTATCTCAACGCCTCCATGCCAGACATGGCACCTGACACTCAGTCCATCTGCACTAGGTCGGCCTTCCTCATCTCAACGCCCCCATGCCTGACATGGCACCTGACACTCAGTCCATCTGCACTAGGTCGGCCTTCCTCATCTCAACGCCCCCATGCCTGACATGGCACCTGACACTCAGTCCAACTGCACTAGGTCGGCCTTCCTCATCTCAACACCCCCATGCCTGACATGGCACCTTACACTCAGTCCATCTGCACTAGGTCAGCCTTCCTCATCTCAACACCCCCATGCCTGACATGGCACCTGACATTCAGTGGAAACTGCATGCGCGTAGATTACATGAACGGATGAGCAAATGAACTTAACTGGGAGTAACAAAGGGCGCTGAAGGCATTTGTCACCAGCTGAAGAAGTGTCACTGCTCTCTTCACACACATCTGTATATGTGTCTTGTTTCTCACGGTGATAGTTTTGAGGCCAAGGAACCTGTTGAATTAATTCATATCACATCCTTAAGGCTCAGTGACTTCGTTTTGCACAATGTAGGCTTTTAATAAATGTTTGCTTAATAAATAATTCATGGGTCGTTTAGACACGTGTCTGACAAACTTGGGTTGAAGTGTGAATGTAACAAATTTGTCTCTAATCCCAGCTGTGTGGAGTCTTTCTTCTCTGCTCTAGCACTGTGCTATCGACTACTGATAGCACCAGTCGGTAGCAGATCCCAGGACAAAATTATAGTTAAAAGATGCATGACCCATGGTGCCTTAACTTTCATATATGATGTCTTCATCTTTTCAAGGTGTTTAGATGACCATAGGAAGAAAAAGCGAGAGATAGAGGAAGTTAAAGAAGAAATGTTGGCTGCCATTGAAAACCAATCACAAATAAAGTTACAAAGTCAATTGGAAAGCAAGTGATTCTTCACAAATGCAAATCCTAGGACAGTGCCTGGCAGAGAGGAACTCCTCACTCCACCATTCTAATTCAATAATAGTCAGTTACTAAGGGCACAGCACTTTTAGGAGGAGCTCTCCCCTCTCCTACTTATGCAGAGGGGCCAAAGGATATATGACCAGGCTGTCAGCATGGGCTTCGAAGCGCTTGCATTGGGGATGCTAAAGGAAGCAGGTGCTGAGCATGAAGGAGATCAGAATCAATGAGTTACACAGGCGTGTATTCTCAACCAGAGGTGTGGCTGCACCATTAAGCCAGGGAAAGGTGGGCTGGGACACAGGACTCAAATAATCCCTCTGGCTGGACCAACGCAGAGGCCATGAAGACAGAGGAGTGGAATGTTGGGGAAAGGAGCTTTTCCATTTTTCTCTCCTTTCAGAGCCATTTTGCCTGTTTTCAAATCTAGTAACAGCATTGCTTCACCAGCGCAGTGTTGTAGATACAGCCTGTGGGTCACACCAGGATGCAATTACACTGCTGGCGGCACAGTGAGCCAAGAGGCTCTGGATGGAGCCTGGCCACCCAGCCTTCCCTCCTCAAAGTTTAGAAACTCGCCAACCCGACCCGCCTGCTGGAGGCATGGCTGCAAACCTGCAGGGTGCCACGTTTGATTTTTAAGCCTGGTGTGCTTCCTTGCCTAAATTACTTTGTGATGTATCATACTGAACCCTAAAATATTTTGTAGCCAGTTTTATTACGAAATGGATTCTATTTGGTGATTACAAAATATTCTGCTTTTAAGTAGTCTCAGTTCTTCAGCTGCTTCCACATGTGTGTTCAGCCTGTTGAAGAAGATGCGGGAGGCATTGAGCCTCCCAGAGAAAGACCCTGCAAGAGACTCCAGGGAAGAAAAACTCTCAAATTAAAGTTGTGAGCTCTGGCCCCCGCGTGCTGACAAAATCCATTGCATGCACCGCCCTCTTGTGGTCACGCAGCAGGTGACACACTTCAAAGGCAAGTTACACGGACTCTGCGCTTGGCCCCGGGGAACAGGTTCTCTGTTAGGAAAAGCGTTTCTGAACATTCCTTTATTCACATGTGCACGCACACAGCACTATAAGCAAGTGAGATCTGACATCAGGGCTATTCTCCCCTATCACAAGGAAATAACACAAATGTGGATTTTTTAAAAGCTCAGAACTGTGGGTGAAGATTCCAAAATCACAGGATGTCCAAACTGGAAAGGATCCTGACATGATCTTGATCAAATCCCCTCCATTTTTTTTTTTAAAGTGGTGGGGGGTTTGTGTGATCTTAGACAACTCACTGTATGTCCCAGAGACACATATTGACTTGCCTAAGATCACACAGCAAATCGCTGGTGTTGAGGTACAGGCCTCTGTCCCATGCCGGAAGTGGCTCTGGGACTCACCACTCCAGCTCTTCACTGGAGACGTCAGGAGACTGAGTCCAGCGAGGTCGAGAGGCCAGGGCCACGCAGGGAGCCCGAGAGCTGAGCTCTGGTGCTGGTCCCCTGGGCAGTGGGTCCCTTCTCCCATCTATGTCCTTCCCTGTTCTTGGGCAGGGACTGTCTCTTCCACCAGGACCTCTGTGCCCAGGACCGGACAAGAGGGGCTTGTGGCAAGTATGGACGGATGAAGGGGGCACCAACCAGGACTCAGGAAGAGCAGGGGCCAGAAGCAGGGCCTGGGCTAACTTATGGTTCAAATGGTAAATTTTATGTTATGTATATTTTACCACAGTGAAAAAGGAAACAGCAGTTTTAAACCCAAATTTAAAAAAAGGAAATAAAAAAAAAACTTAGGAACTTCTTTATGAGGCTACAGAGCAGCTACCACCAGCCCCATTTGACAAGAAAAATGCTATTCCCTTTTTTATTGTGGTGAAACATACATAACATAAAATTTGCCATTTTTATCATTTTAAGTGCACACTTCAGTGGCATTAAGCACATCTGCGCTGCTGTGCAACCGTCACCACTATTCAGCTCCAGAACTTTCCATCTTCCCAAATGAGACTCTGTCCCCCATGAAACACGAACTCCCTGTTTCCTCCCCCAGCCCTGGCACCCGCAATCCTACTTTCCGTCTCTATGATTTTGACCCCTTAGCTTCCTCATGTGAGTGGAATCGTGCAAGGTTCGTCTTTTTGTGGCTGGTTGTTTCACTCAGCAGAACATCCTTAGGTGCCGTCCATGTTCCCTTCCTTTCCAAGGCCGGGTGCTGTCCCACCCTACGGATAAATCACCTTTCGTTTCTCCATTCATTCATCAGTGGACACTGGGTTGCTTCCACAGTCCACGTGGTTTCACCGAAGCCTGGCAGTGGGAGCTGTCCCCTCTGGTGGACAGTGAACTCACTCTGGGGGAGGGGTCGAGTAACCATGGTCAGATGGCTCTTGCGGTGAGAGGTATGTGCCTGCTCTGAGCAAGGCACCCCGAAGGCTGAGGCCTCTCTGGAGGCTGGTAACTGTCACCCAGGCCACAGCATCTTGGGCAACCTGGATTCCTTCCTTTCCACCTGGGAAGCTTGGCTGACCTGGGGCCCAGCTCAGGCTGTAGCCAGGATCGGATGCTGTTTTAAATTTGGGATTGGATTCAGAAGGATCGGGAACCTGAAAGTCAACGTCCTTTCGGTTGATCTGAAAACACAAAACTCACTGGCTTTGCCAAAAAGGCAGTTCTCAAATTCGCAGCCAAAGAACGCATCGAACAGAAATAGCATTAGAGGGAGTGCGGGGATCCCTTCCATGTTACCGTGAAGTTCTCATACTGTTGAGCGAACGTGGGAGTCAGGGTGGAGAAAGCGTGGCCTGGCCGGCAGGGCACCGCACACTGTGCCGCTGTCTCCCCACTTCGTTTTCATTCTCTTTAAAAACCAAAACTGAAAAACCCTGCCCGTAACTACTTGCACTTATGTCCCAAACACCTCTGACTTCTCATCCGCATTCTCACTGAGGAACGTGATGCCAAGGAAGGGACTTTAAAAAATCTCTTAATTAATTATTGGTTATAATGAATGCCGAGGAGGGCACGTTTCCAAAACCCTCGTCTCCACGGTTTGCTTTCTGTTGTGTGTGCGTCCGTTGTAAACACAGCTTTCAGAATTTTCGCTGATGCTCAAGTGCTCTTTCCAGCAACAGCATTCATACACGCCAGGCCACTTCCCGCAAGTCATAATTACAACATAAAGCCAAATTAAATGTTCTAACGCTGTCGCTCCAACTCCTTCACATTTCCTTGCTCTTAGCAAACTTCCTTTTTTGAGTCCTGCAAAAGATTCGCTATTTTCCATTAAAGTAGACTCACTATTTCCTTCTAGAGTATTAAAAGTGCAAAGAGCCACAGGTAAAGCCTTCCTTTTCTCTGGTCTTACCGCATCCTTTGTCCAAACAAAGGCAGAAGTCCCCTGTCCCCCATGCAGTTGTATGTACGCAGAGAGCCCAGTCCCAGCTCCTAGGCGGTCAGACAGGCACCCCGAGTCACCACTGGCCTGCCAGCACCAGCAGCTCCAGGTCCCTGAAATCCAGCAGGCATAACCTAAGAGGTTACCTAGAGTTCAGTCAAGCTCCTCAAATAGCCACTAAGTGAAATGAGGAAAAGTTATGTAAAGTGAAGTAAAATCCTCAACAATGAAACACAAAGCTGTTATTCTCTTTTTATGAAACTCCAGTAAATTGTTTCAGAAAATGAAAGTGCCGGAAAAGAAATATTTCCATTGGGAACTAGAGATGCCCTGTGTTAAAATGGTCACACAGAAATCTGGACGACCAAGCTTTAAAGCTTTGGCTGTGTTTTAAGCTATAGCCTCGGTTCATTAGAATGGGATTTTTTTTTTTAACCAACAAACTTCTACTTTTTCTCTCTATGTGTTGTTCTGCTTAAGCCTCTGAAAACTAATTTATAAAATTGAAAATGTGTTCTTGTAGCAATTCCATACTTTCTAATAAACTTGATATAGACCCTTTTGTAGTTAATGGAATCCTTTTTTAAAATTATGTTTGAATTTTCATTTATTTGAGCTCTTAGAAAACTGTAGATTGCTAAATTGAAGTTTAAATGAATTTGTTCATTATAGCAGTTAAGAAGGCACCAAAGCCTCACCAGCAATTTCACAATTAATTAAAAATAAAAACTAATTTAAAATTATGCAGAAAAGGACACTACTTAAATCACACAGCTTTCTTTTTTTTGCTATAGCTGGGTGAGGTTTGAATATCCTAAACTCTTAAATGCAACTATTAAAATGATTAAACAGTGGGAGTAAAATATTGGCAAATGCAATATCAGCCTAGGTATAACTTCATTTTCATTATCTTGTGGTTTTTTTCTTTTAAAAATAATTTTAAATTAGTTTTTTTCCTTTTAAAAAGAAAAAACATCAAACCTGTGGCTTTATTGAAGGCTCTCTTTACACTTCATATTTTGGTGGAAATATTGCTAATTCCGAGTGTATCTTCTTGAAAAGCTTTCTGCAGAGGAAACGGGATGGTTCTAAATTCTGTCTTCTGATTTCTGACACAGCACGGTGAAATTTTTGATGAAACATCTATACCAGGCCTCCGGGCTTTCCTGAATTTGTCTAGATAAAGAAGAAGGACAAAAATCTTTTCCATCTGTAATTTTGTAAAGTTATAGAACATTTTTAAAACCTGCATTAAATTAGCAATGGAAAGAGTATTCTGTCTCCAAACATTTCTAGAATTGAGAATTTTTTTCTCTAATTCTAGTACATGCTTAACTTTACGCAACATTTTGCCCATATTTATGCATAGATATGCAAACACAATCATGGCAATGGAGAACACTTTTCTAAAAAGCATGGCCACAGTGCTACAATGAAGGTGCTTGGCCCATCAACTTGTTATATAATAAATACTTTTTAAAAAAAATCAGACTTAAAAATCCTAGTGGGCCTTGTGATAGAAAGTATATCATATAATTAGAAAACAAAATAACTGGAGTGGAAAGTTTCCTGAAACTAGCTTGATGCCGTATTCCACTTGACATTTACTGTTAAAGAAATTCAATGCACAAATTCAGCCACACCCAGACTCACCTTTGCATTTAAGTAGTCCAAGATGTTTGGAGGAGAACTGGTGTCCCAGTGTTCAGACATGGGTGAACCAGCTCTCCCTGCCCAGGCACACGAGCGTGATTCTATCCTGCAGTTTCCTGGATCTGTCATGTGGAAGCAGGCGACATCGTCTTTGATTTTATCATACGAGAGTGTTCCCACTGCATTTGTGCAGTGGCTACACCTGGCTGCTTCCACACCACACACTTCTGAAAACCCCACTGTGTTGTCTCTGTCTTGGAGGGAAAACAAGTTTGTGTGCTTTTTCTGGGTTCATTAGCAGAGCTGGTTGCCTGAGTTGGGTCCCAGCACTGCTCCTGCTGGTAAAGTTCTGCAGGTGTGTGGCTTGTCCTCTAGTTCAGCGGGAGAAACCGATTCTAAGGTTGCCGTATAATTAGCAGGGTCTCCTTTCCCTCCTTTAATCAGCTGCTAACACCTCCTGGCTGTTTAATATCACAGTCAGCCCAGTTATAAACACTAAAGGACATGCTCTTGAAATAATTAAAAAAAAAACTCTGCTCAGTAACAAACATAAAACCCGTCATTATTTAATACAGAGGAATGTTGTGTTATAACAAAATGGTGGTCTTATTCCTGATGCTTTATTCTGATTGTGGGATTTTTTTTTTTTTTTTGAGGAGGCAACTTCTCTGTATAAGGAAACATTGTATCTTTTGTTTACTTTCATCCATCTGATCTGAGACAAAATACACAACAATCTTTCACTCAAGAGCAATTAGTCCTATTCCTGTTTCAGAAAAGGGTTGAACATGTAGACTCAAAGAAGAGAGAATTCTCCCCAAAATGACTATCCATTAAGTCGTAAACATGACTTGGAGGTTAATTTCCTATAGCAAATAACCGTAATTTCCTTGAAATCTAGTTCTTTATGTAATTAAAGTTATTTATTTGAGGACTTAAATGTACTTTAACATTTTACATGCCCTTAGTATCTGTGTAAAATTCAATATTTGGAGCCTGGGGCTGCATTCCCCTGCATATATAATTGCACCGCTGCTCTAACTCACACTGATATTCTTGTGACGATAGATGAAAATGCTAATGTACCGAGGAAAGGGAACGGGAGACAATCTGCGAATACCAGGCCGAACCCCGTTTGCCCTGGACCCTTCCAGAGTCCCTCAGATGAGGGTCAAAGCCTGATTTCTAACAGCAAGGCAGAGAGAGGGTCTCAGAGCGTGTTTATTGATACAGAATGTTGGAGACGGACAGACAGGCCTTTGCCTATGATCAAGCGACTTTCTGTGCAAATCTTATGGAATGCGGCATTCCAGACTTTAAAGGGAAAGGGAGATCACCATGGCAACGGCACATGGGGGCTGGAGATGGGGGGGTTCCCTTGGGAGCTAAAAAGCCAGCAGAATTTTAAGCATTTGCAACTTAAAAAAGAAGAAGATGAAAACCGCACAACTCTGCCAAACACATCTACAGACATGGAATACGGTTAGAGGGTTCTTCAGAAAGATCCAAATAAACACAGCTCAGAGCCTGCACAATACGAGCTGGGAAAAAAATCGGCTAAAAAGTCCCCTGCAGGACCCGGTCTTCTCCATTGAAGAGGGAGACACTGTTGCCGCCAAAGGGCCAACAAGGGGGAGCGTTTGAGGAGGCCGGTGGCTGCCTAGCAAGGGTCCTGGGCCAGGGATTTCCCTGCCTGTCTGCTCTTGAAGCCCTGGGCCCTGGTCTCTCCCAGCTGGAAAACACGGTTTTGTAGATGTAGGACCCAGGCGCAGTGGGGCTGGCTCATCTCAGCCGCTCAGAACCACACAGACTCCAGCCCACCCGCAGTTGGCTCATGGCTTCCAACACCGCAGCAAGGCTGTGTGTAGAAACAGCTTAGTTATCACAGACATCTCTTAGAATTGCAGATAATAAGCCGAAGAGAACCAAGTGTAAAAGTGACTGTAAGCGAATGCAGTTTGTGGTTATAGTATCCGTAAGAGAAAAAAAAAGGACAGATTTATAAATGGGGCCAATTCAAACACTCTAGAAACTGCCTCCCCTGCCAGCTCTTTTATTTAAGAAAAAAAGGAGAGTGCTGAAAACGTGGGGCCAGCCCGTGCCCAGCTGGTCAAAGGCATCGGAGCGCCTGTGTCCCTGAAGGAGCTGGGCTTCAGCCCTGGCCTCTGCAGGGGTCTGAGGTGATGCCGGGGTAGGGGGGCAGGGTGGGGGACATCAATCAACACAAAATGCGGCAAATGCTTCCCTGGAAATGGCAACATAGCAGAGAGCCATGAGCACAGACGGGCCAGCTCCCGCAGCCGCCCTTCCGGTAGTGTCCATGCTCACGGGGCGGGAGGGCAGGCCGGGGATTATCTGGATCATGTAAGTCAGAACGTTGCTGTTCTGGGTGTGTGTGGTCAGGTCAGAGCAGACCTGATTTCTGGTGCAGTGGTGAGCCTGGTTTGTACAGGGACACACCCCAGACATGACCACCCTGCTGTATTTCACAGAATCTCTGCTAGGCAAAGCCTCCAGCTATTTAAAACAGAAATAGCCCCAGCAGGGATGATGAGCAGGGGATTTTGGTGTTCAGTGATTTCGCCTTTGCAGGAAGGCAGGGTGGTGGTGGTGGGGGGGGGCGGGGTAGGGGGCGGGGTGGGGTCCTGGTGACCCCAGCAGGATCTGGCCTGGTTCCAGGCATCACCAGGTACTGGGCTGTGGCCTTGGGTAATTCATTTTTCCTCTCAGAGTCTCTATTTTCTCCTTTGCAAAATGGGTCTAATAATATCTTTTCCACCTTTAGGGACAAGCACTCAAGAAGACAAAGGGAGGGTCAGTGGAAGGGAGGGGAAGAGGTGGGAGGTAAGGGGGCTTCAATAAGTGACCCTCTTTCCTTTTCTAATTGTAAAAGCAGCATATGATTGTCATAAAGGCACTAAAAAATGTAGAAATGCGTAAAGGAGATAATGGCCAGTAAAAGCCAGAGAGAGCCCTTGATAACCTCTCCCCTTCCTCCCTCTCCCTCTCTCACTTGCGAGGAGACCCATGACATAATTATTATTATTATTTTTTTGAGATGGAGTTTTGCTAGTCACCCAGGCTGGAGTGCAGTGGTGCCACCTCAGCTCACTGCAACCTCTGCTTCCCAGGTTCAAGCGATTCTCCTGTCTCAGCCTCCCAAGTAGCTGGGACTATAGGTGTGCATCACCATGCCTGCTTAATTTTTGTATTTTTAGTAGAAACAGGGTTTCACCATGTTGGCCAGACTGGTCTCGAACTCTTGACCTCAAGCGATCCACCCACCTTGTCCTCCCAAAGTGCTGGGATTAGACATACATTTTTGAAATTGTGATAAAATAGACATAACATAAAATATACCATTTTTAACCGTTCTAAGTATACCATTTAATGGCATTAAGAACATTCACATTGTCATGTAACCATCACCAGGATCCCTCTCCATAGCTCCTTTCATTTTGTAAAACTGAACTCTGTATCACTAAACACAAACGCCCAGTTCCCCTCTCCCAGCCCCCAGCACCCACCATTGTGGCACCCACCATTCTACCCTCCCTCTCTAAGAACTTGACCTCATATGAGTGGAATCATATAGTATTTGTTCTTTTTTTTTTTTTTTCTTTTTTTGAGATGGAGTCCCGCTGTTTTGCCCAGGGCTGGAGTGCAGTGGCACGATCTCGGCTCATTACAACTTCCACCTCCCAGGTTCAAGTGACTCTCTTGCCCCAGCCTTCCAAGTAGCTGGGATTACAGGCGCACCACCGCGTCCAGCTAATTTTTGTATTTTTAGTAGGGACGGGGTCTCACCGTGTTAGCCAGGCTGGCCTCAAACTCCTGACCTTGTGATTCACCCACCTCGGCCTCCCAAAGTGCTGGGATTACAGGTGTGAGCCACCGCGCCCAGCCAGTATTTGTTCTTTTGTGTATGGCTTATTTCACATAGCATAAATGCCTTCAGAATTCATCCACATTGCAGCAGGTACTAGGATTTCCTTCCTTTTTAAGGGTGAGTAATGCTCCACTCTGTGGATGGACCACATTTGGTTTAGCCATTCATCTGTTTGTGGACACTCGGGTTGCCTCCCCCTTTTGGCTATTGTGAATAATGTTGTTCCACATACGGTGTGCAAGTATCCATTTCAGCCTCTGCTTTGCATTATTTTGGGTATACGCCCAGCAGGGGAATTGCTGGATCATCTGGTAATTGTATGTTTAATTTTTTGAGGTACCGCCATACTGTTCTCCACAGCAGCTGCACCATTTCACGTTCCCATCAGAAATGCACAAGGCTTCCAATTTCTCCACATCCTTGCCAACACTTGTGATTTACATGTTTTTTTTGTTTTTGTTATATATATATATATATATAAAATAGTCATCCTGATGAATGTGAAGTGGTATCTCCTTGTGGTTTTGATTTACATTTCCCTAATGATTAGTGATGTTGAGCATCTTTTCGTCATCTTATTGGAATTTTTATTTCTTCTGGGAGGAATATCTATTCAACTCCTTTTTCTATTTTTAATTTTTTGTTGTTTCATAAACATCATTTTATAAGGGTTCTTCTCACTTCCTATATGAGAAACATCATTCCTCCTAGATAAATTAGAGTTTCCAGCCATGGTTTCCAGCCTGTCTTTCTGCCTCCCCTCCACGCCCTCCCTCCTGAAACGGGGACCATGTCACGGGTGAGAACGCAGACCCTCGTTCAGGCTCCACTCTTAGCCACTGTGAATTCCTGGGCAAACGGCCTTCCCTATACAACAGTTTTCTCACATGTAGCATGGAGATTGAGTAATGCTTACTGCATACATGGTGTGGATTAAACAAATTAATTTATGTGAAATCCTTAGCACCTGCAGGGAGCCCAGAATTCCATGAAAGAGTGGGCTCTGCTGTTACCAGTGGTGTTGTTATTTCTCATTCCACGCAGGGGGTCTCATCTGGGTTCTGGTGGAAGGATATGGCAGAATCCCCGGGAGGAGGGGGGCTCCTGGATATGCTAACAGATGAAAGCCTCTCCATGCAAGCAAATGGCTGGGAGGAGCCGATGGTTCCTTGTGCCTGGGCATTGCCCATCCTCCTGTCAACTCCTCTCACATCTATCTTTAGGTGGACAATGTTGTCATCTCCATTTGTGGCTGAGAAAATGGAAACCTTAGAAAGATCCAGTAACTATCCAAAGCCACTGACAGGATGCGACCTGAGGCCATCTGCCACGTGCTGCCACCCTAACCAGCCCCACAGGGAGAGCTGGCCGTGGCCTTCAATGACACTATGCCACGTGCTGCCACCCTAACCAGCCCCACAGGGAGAGCCGGCCATGGCCTTCAATGACGCTATGCCACGTGCTGCCACCCTAACCAGCCCCACAGGGAGAGCCGGCCATGGCCTTCAATGACGCTATGCCATGTGCTGCCACCCTAACCAACCCCACAGGGACAGCCGGCCGTGGCCTTCAATGACGCTATGCCATCAGAGCTGCCACCCTAACCAGCCCCACAGGGAGAGCCGGCTGTGGCCTTCAATGACGCTATGCCACGTGCTGCCACCCTAACCAACCCCACAGGGACAGCCGGCCGTGGCCTTCAATGACGCTATGCCATCAGAGCTGCCACCCTAACCAGCCCCACAGGGAGAGCCGGCTGTGGCCTTCAATGACGCTATGCCACGTGCTGCCACCCTAACCAGCCCCACAGGGAGAGCTGGCCGTGGCCTTCAATGATGCTATGCCACATGCTGCCACCCTAACCAACCCCACAGGGAGAGCTGGCCGTGGCCTTCAATGACGCTATGCCACGTGCTGCCACCCTAACCAGCCCCACAGGGAGAGCTGGCCGTGGCCTTCAATGACGCTATGCCACGTGCTGCCACCCTAACCAGCCCCACAGGGAGAGCCGGCCATGGCCTTCAATGACGCTATGCCACGTGCTGCCACCCTAACCAGCCCCACAGGGAGAGCCGGCCGTGGCCTTCAATGACGCTATGCCATGTGCTGCCACCCTAACCAACCCCACAGGGACAGCCGGCCGTGGCCTTCAATGACGCTATGCCACGTGCTGCCACCCTAACCAGCCCCACAGGGAGAGCTGGCCGTGGCCTTCAATGATGCTATGCCACATGCTGCCACCCTAACCAACCCCACAGGGAGAGCTGGCCGTGGCCTTCAATGACGCTATGCCACGTGCTGCCACCCTAACCAGCCCCACAGAGAGAGCTGGCCGTGGCCTTCAATGACGCTATGCCACGTGCTGCCACCCTAACCAGCCCCACAGGGAGAGCTGGCCGTGGCCTTCAATGATGCTATGCCACGTGCTGCCACCCTAACCAGCCCCACAGGGAGAGCTGGCCTTGGCTTTCAATTATGCCATGCCACGTGCCAGAATTTGCCAGAATTTACATCTTGACCGTGGTGGTGGTCACACAACTGTGGACATTTGTCAAAAGTAAAAAGGATGAATGTTACTGAATGCAAACCGTGCCTTAATGAAACACCCTGAATTGCATAAACATTTTTTTCCTTTTAGTTCAAAGGCATTTTCATGATATTTGTTGCACGGTTCGTTTGGTAATAAAGTCAAGAGGCAGCTGGAGGCTGATTTTGTCCAAGGCTCAGTTTGTAGGCTTTGAAATATCAGTGTTTCTTGGTCAGCATCACCTTTCCTGGAAAGAGGTGAGTCTGTGGGAGATCCCATGTGTAGACGGCAGATGCCAGGCTGGGCTCTCCAGGGTCAAATGAGCTAAGTCTGCAAGTCTAATGCAGGCGAGCACCTGCCGGGGAGCTGGGAGGCAGCGTCTTCCTGCTCACCTCCATTCTGAGAACTGTCATCAAGCTCCTCAGCCTCCGGGCTCTTTGAGCTTAAAAACACTACTCTTTTATGAGAATCGCAAAATTATCATAGGGTTCTGGCTCAGTTTAAAACTTAACCTGAGAGGTCTCTGGTGCTGCAGTTTTGTTCTGGAGGTGTTAGTACCCCTGCTTTATGGGGAGGATGTTTGCAGAGAGGAAACACGTGAGTGATCATACATGTATGTTGACGAGAGAAAAAAGCAAGGTGGCAATGACCTTTGTTGGGGCCCTGCCATCCTGGCCGGGATGCCGCAGTAGGACACCCCCTGCCCAGCACTGCCTGTGTGGCAGGAGGACAGCTGGTCACTGTGCCCACTGACATCACAGAGCCTGCAGGTCCCCTTCATGTCCGTGCCTGCCTCTCTGTCCCTGGACCACCCCTGCCCTGCCCACTCCCTGCTCCACATCAGCTTCTCACTAAGTCCTGGTTCCCTCCCATCCTCCTGTAACCTTTCCCTTCTGTGCCCTTCCCTCTGACAATAACTCCCACTGCGCACTGCTGCTCCGGAAAAGGGCTTCATTCGGCTCAACCTGGGTGGGCACCACAAGGACGCGGGGCTGTGCAATGCACGCTGGCAGGCGACAGAACACTTGGGTGGCTTTTGAAGTCAATTTTGTTGAATTAGTGTTGCCGGTATTAAGCACACAGGCGCACGCACATGCACCTTCTTCCTGACATTCTCACATTTTGAGCAAATTCAGTGTAAATGAGACGGGAAGGTAACTGGGAGAATCTCTGTCCACAAGAACTACTTTTAAGGCCAGATCTCATTTTCAGTGAACGACTCTCTGTGTCTTTACTTGATTGTAAGGTTTAGATACATTAGAAATTTAGGTGAGGAAGGTGACAGAATCATGTTATGTCTTGATTGTGTGGTGGTTACACGACAGTATACATTTATCAAGACTGAAAAGGATAAATTTTACTGAATGGAAATCACGCCTTAATAAAAAATGGAAAAACAATAGGTTGCAAGATGAAGAATTCAATAGATTAAACAGGTGTTTGAACTACATGACACCAACAGTCCATTGGCTAATGTTTGTCATTTAATTAGCTGATTCAACGGGCTGTTTGGTAAAGAACCGATATCCAATTCTAAATTTGGCCAGGTTGGGGGAGGACACTCTGTCTTTTTGTCTTTCCAGCTCTCTTCCTTTCTAAGAAGCACTCTCCCTCCTTCTGGAGATCTGATTTCCCCCCATAACTTGATAAAGTTCAGAAAGCTAAGATTATCCCTCATTTCGAAGTGTGTTCAGATGGGCTTTTCCATCCCCCATCCCGGATAGAGCAAGAACGAAGGCTGGGGTCCACAGGAGGAGGACGGGGTGGGCAGGGTCAGATGAGCAGCCGCAGAGGGAAGCGGTCCAGAGGGAGCTCACGGAGCCCACCTGGGCCATTCTGAGGTTAAAAGATGCCTGGACAAGAAGGGCAAGGACCGTGTTGCCCCATTTTCCAGCAGATGCCAGGTGTGAGGTCGCTTCATTGTCGGCTTGTTCTCTCTGGAGCTAGGGTTGTTCTCACAGTCCTTCTGGACAGTGAAGGAGGCCAGGGGTGTAATGAAGAGGGGACACTGCAGCGAGGAAGAACCTGAAGCAACCATGGCACCAAAGAAGGTGGCCTGAGAAACACAAATGGTGGTCAGAGCGTGCTTCCCTCGGAAGAGAGCAGGTGTGATGCAGGAAGAGGATGGAGTCCTTCCATCTCGCCCGCTACCCATCTGTTTACTCCTAACTCTGGGTCTGCACCCACCAGGGGAATATGGAGCCTAGAGAAGGGAGGGCTGGGAAGGACCTTGGCATGGCAGCTGTTGGCTGCAGTAAGAAGAGACCACAGTGAAGCCACACGTTCTGTAGTCTGCCCTAGGAACTGTAAAGGCTGAGTTCACAATGCTGAAAGTTGAATTCATGGTGAAAATAATCAAGCTTTTAAAACATCATCTCGAAATGCAGATATAAAGAATAAAAAATAAGAAAATGATGGGAGAGATAATGATAGACAGAGAAGACAGAATAAAGATCCAACTTATGAAAAATAATAATTTCTAGAAAAAGAAAAAAAAAGCAAATCAAAGTTATAATAGAAGAAAACTTTCCTGAGTGATGTGAAAATATCATTAAGCCCTCTGTATTCCAGGGTTTCCAATCTGCAGATTCAATCAACTGAGGATAAAAAATACTGGGAAAAACAATTAAATATAGTAATATGAAAATTAAAAATAATATAAATAAAATCAATACAATATAACAACTATTTATAGGGCATTTACACTGTATTAGGAATTATAAATAATCTAGAGGTGATTTAAAGCAAACAGGAGGATGTGTGTAGGTTATGTGTAAATACTATGCCGTTTTATATCAGGGACTTGAGCATCCTTAAATTTTGGTCTGTTTGGGGGTCCTGGAATAAGTCTCCATTGGATACTGAGGGATGTTTGTACCTGAGTATCCAAGTCAATAGGATTCTTCAACATTACCCAAGTAGTTCACATTCTAGTGAACATTTGGAAGCACAATAGGAGGAAGGGAGGGATGCAAGGAAGGAAAAGAGGAGACAACAGAAGAGTGAACAGGAAACAAAATTTATTACACCATGTTTTTAGATAAGACTAAATATTACAAACATACAAATTCCTTAATTCAAATTAAAATTCCTACAGGATTTTAACTTCACAAAATAAGGAAGGATAAGAGAAGATAAAGAGGAGTGGACAGGAAACACAATTTCCTACAGCATGTTTCTAGATAAGAAGACTAAATATTACAAACATATAAATTACTTAATTCAAATTAAAATTCGTATAGGATTTCTCTAACTTCACAAAAATAAGTGCATTTGGAAGTCATGTGAAAATGGCTTCAACAAATAAGGAAAGGAAAAGAAAGATAAGAAAGGAAAGAATGGGAAGTGAAGATAAGGAAGAGATGGAGGAGGCCTAGCCCAAATGGATGTTACAGCACTTTTGAATCCACAAAAATTAAGTAGATTTATAGTCATTACAAAGGATCCAACAGTCATGAGATTTGTCCAGTCTTCTCCAAACACTTAAAACTGCTGATCTAAATTTATTTATTTTGAGATGGTCTTGTTCTGTCACACAGGCTGGAGTGCAGTGGTGCCATCATAACTCACTGCAGCCTCCAATTCTGGGCTAAAGTGATTCTCTCAGCTTAGCAGCCTGAGTAGCTGGGTCTACAGGTGCATGCCACCACACCCAGATAATTATTTTTTTTTTTTTTTGTAGAAATGGAGTCTTGCTGTGTTGTCCGGGCTTGTTTCAAACTCCTGGCTTCAAAGGATCCTTCTGTCTTGGCTTCCCAAAGTGCTGGGATTACAGGTGTGAGCCACTGCACCTGTTCTTTAAATTTAAAAATTGAGCCAAGACAAAAAAGCAAGAAAGGGAAACCAGTTCCCAGAAATCAAGAGGAAGCTCTCAGTTGGAGCAGTGAACAGGAGTCTCAGTGGTGTGCTCCAAAGAGGGTGTGCAGGTGGGCTGGAGTTCTCACAGTAGGAGGGGTTCAAATGACCATGAGAAGAAAGAATCCGGAATTTCTCTTCTTGTTTGAATCTAGGAGAGGAGAGTTTGGAAGTTTCCAAGCGTGAGCAGGGAGGGAGCAGAAAGATCTGTGTTTTGGCCACAGGTCATAGCCTGGAAGAAGAAATCCTTTAAAAGGCTGTGAAGTGAGAAGAAGCTCAGCCTGTGCTGTGTGCAGGTGTGAGGCCCAAAGTCACACTTCTATGCTCAGAGTGTGGAGACAGAAGGCTGAAAACCATGCTCACGGATGAGAAGTAGCTACAGCTGAGCCCAGTGTCAACTAAAATAGACCAAAGGGTCCATTGCCCCAGAATGGGAATATTTGTACCCCAGGAACTAAAGTTAATAGAATAATCTGAATGAAACTGTAAACTAGACACACTTTAAATATTCAAAGAGCTAAAGGAAGGGAAAGAGTCCATTCCTGCAGCTGTAACAAAATTCCATGTACTGGGTAATTTATAAACAATGGGAATTTATTTCTCCCAGTTCTGGAGGCTGAGAAGTCCAAGATCAAGGGCCAGTAAACTTGGTGTCTGGTGAGGGCTGCTCTCTGCTTCCAAGATGGCGCCTTGTTGCTGCTGTGCCCTGTGGAGAGGACAGACGCCGTGTTCTCTCTCACTTGACGAGGGGACCAAAGGCTGTGTCCTCACATGCCAGCAGAGTGGAAGCTGGAGGCAGTTCTCTGAAGTCTATTTTATAAGGACATTAATTCCGTTCATGAGACTGGGGTCCTCTGGGCCTAATCACCTCCCACGGGCCCCAACTCTTCATAGCAACCCCTTGAGAGTCAAGCTCCAACACAAGAATTTTGGGGGGATACATACATTCAAACTACAAAAATCCTTAAAGCAAGAATAGGCAATTATGAAATAAGAATCAGCAAACGTGAAACATAATTAAGAAGGAATCCTAGGTTTATAAAAGAACCTAGGTAAAAAGAAACCTCCGAGAGTCGACGTGATGTCGCTGAAGTGGGAAGCCCAGTCATGGACCGCATGTACGACCGTGGTCCCGGAAGAGGATAATGGAGCTGAAAACTCCTATCGCCTGGTGATTTCGATGGCACCGCACATTCCTCACGTGTTTGTGGTATAAACAAACCTACTGCGTGCCAGTCGTCTAAAAGTCTAGCACATAGAATTATGTACATCCCGTAATACTTGATAATGATAACAAATGATGATGTTGCTGGTTTATGTAGTTACTGTATCATACTTTGAGTCGTTGTTTTAGAGTATATTCCTTCCATTTGTTAAAAAATAGAAAAATAGTTACCTGTAAAACAGCCTCAGTGGGTCCTGCAGTAGGTATCCAGAGGAAGACATTGTCATATAGGAGGTGACAGCTCCACGCGTCACCAGTGGGACAAGAGGTGGAGGTGGAAGACAGTAGTATGGGTGACCCCGACCCTGTGTAAGCCTAGGCTAATGTGTCGTAGCTTGATTTTTAGCACAAAAATTTAAAAAGTGAAAAATTAAAGTAAAAATTTTTTAAGCAGAAGGAAGCTTATAGAATAAGAATATAAAGAAAGAAAATATTTTTGTAGAGCTGTACAACGTGTTTGTGTTTTAAGCTAAGTGTTATTACAGAAGAGTCAAAAAGGTTAAAAAGTAAGAGTTTATAAAGTTAAAAAGTTACAGCCAGTTCAGGTTAATTTATTATTGAAGAAAAAAATATTTTTATAAATGTAGTTGAGCCTAAGTGTGCAGTGTCTATAAAGACTCCAGCAGTGTAGACCTTCACATTCACCACCCCTCACTCACAGACTCACCCAGAGCAACTCCCAGTCCTGCCAGCTCCACTCACAGTACATGCCCTAGACAACAGATGCATTCTTTTTCATATTTTACACTGTGTTTTTTGTTTTGTTTTGTTTTGTTTTAGATGGAGTCTTGCTCTGTCGCCCAGCTGGAGTGCAGTGGCACGATCTTGGCTCACTGCAACCTCTGCCTCCCAAGTTCAAGCGATTCTCCTGTATCCTCAGCCTCCCGAGTAGCTGGGACCACAGGCGCGCGTCACTACACCTGGCTAATTTTTGTATTTTTAGTAGAGATGGGGTTTCACCATATTGACCAGGCTGGTCTCAAACTCCTGACCTCGTGATCCACGCTCCTTGGCCTCCCAAAGTGTTGGGATTACAGGCGTGAGCCACTGCGCCTGGCCAACAGTGTTTTTGCTATGCCTTTTCTATGTTTAGATACACAAATACTTCCCATTGTGTTACACTTGCCTACAGTATTCCGTGCAGTCACATGCTGTCTAGGTTTGTAGCCTGGGCAAGAGGCTAAACCACATAGCCTAGGGGTGTAGGAGGCCACACCATCCAGGTCTGTGTAAGCACGCGCTCTGATGTTCACACAATGACAAAATCATCTGACGATGCATTTCTCAGAACATATTCCCATCATTAAGTGACGCATGACTGCAGAAAACTGGGGGAAGAAACCTGAAAACTCGTCAGCCTGCAGCACAGTGAGATAAAGAAATGGAAACACATATGAGAAATTAAGAGACAGAGAGAACAAGATGAGGTGCTTAAATAGGCACCTCATAGAAGTTCTAGAAAGAGAACAGTGAGACTCTGGAATAGTCAATATTTGTAGAGGTAATGCCTGAAGTTTTTCCAGAATTGAAGGACATACATGGTGTGGTTTTAAAATATCCTCAAGTCCTAGACAGGATAACTAGAAACCAATTCCTGTGAAGACAGCGTAACAAACTGCAAAACACAAGGATAAGGAGAAAAATGTGAAAGCTACCCGGGAAGACAGGATAACTAGAAACCAATTCCTGTGAAGACAGCATAACAAACTGCAAAACACAAGGATAAGGAGAAAAATGTGAAAGCTACCCGGGATTAAAAATCACCAAAAACAACAGATACAAGATGAAGGGTATACAGTGAGATGGTGGTACCCACCTCATCAGTAAGGCCGAATGTCGGCGTGCAGGGAAATTATATCCACAATCCTTACATTGTTCTGATCCAAGGACAGACAGACTTCACAGAGCAGGAGAGATAACCTGGAAAGAGAGAAACGAAGTGAATATTCGACAAAAAATGGATCACAAACCAGGACGACTTGGAGGATTAGACAGTAAGTGGTGTTCATATAATTGGTTGGCTATTTAGAAAAACACATTATCTACTGTATACAACCCCAAATATTAAGATTAAAGAGTTAATTTTAAAATAATCATAGTGCACAGCTTTGCACAGTGGTAATATCATAGCCCATGAGGTTTATCTGAGGCGCGATTATTGCTAATTAAAAGCTTCCCCACAATAATAATAGTGTAAAATGTGGGATGAGTAAATTAGAAATGTGCCTAACATTACTGATGGTCAGAGAAACGCAGATCAAAGCAGTGTTCTCATAAGCAGAGGTTTTTAAAAATGTGAATGCCCAGTGCTGGGAGTCAGGTGGGGAGGGGCTGGGTAGCCTCCTAGATCCTTGGCAAGAGTGAGGCTACAAAGTGCTAGAGTGCTTTTGGAAAGCAATTTGGAAATTTATGTGTTAAAAATGATCCAATGTCCATTACCTTTGACCCAGTAATGCCGTGATGAATCATCGACTTTGAGGGAATAATAAAGAACGGAGACAATGATTTATGCCTGAAGGTGTTCCTCACCACCTCATTTATAATAATGAAATCTAAGAGTAACTACAATGTCCATCATCTGAGAGATGTCTTCAAATAAATAATGGAAAGCTAAGTGATGAAATATTATACTGTCAGTATAAACTGTTTGAGAGTTTTTAATAACAGGAGAAAATGTACATGGGATAATGTGAAGTAAAAAAAAAAGCAGGTTATGTTACTGAATATAAAAAATAACTGCAAGGCTCTTTTTAAACAAGCGTGACGCTGCCACAATATTGCCACAGTTACCTTTGAGTGGTAAATTGTGGAAGACTTCTGTTGTCCTCCTCTTTTCTTCCATATAGATGACTGCTTTATGAGCACAGCACAGTCGGGAAGGACTGTTTACGAAATTTGAAATACCTGCTGGAAGGAGCATCCTTTGACCTGCAGTTTGCATGGTGCTTTAGAGAAAGGCAGCACACGTTGCCCTGGGATCCTGTGCCGCTGGGTGCGGGAATGGTGTCTGGGGAGAGAGACGCCACCTGGAGCAGCTCTGAGCAAGGGACTTTGATGACAGGTTTTGTCCTAGGACCAGCCAGTTGCTGAGAAGGTTCCAGAAAGTACATGCCCTCATCCCTTAGCTTTGTGTCCTTGAGCCAAGCCGCCTGTCACCTTCTCTCCTTTCCACGGAGAACTCAGTCTCAGCTCAGGGGACTGCTACGATTGCACCAGTGCTGCCAAGAAGGAGGCCAATTAGTACAAAGTAAATTTTTCTCCCCCAGGGAAAATGGACGGAGGCCACCAGAGCACTTCTCTGATGGCAGAAAACACGAGTTTCCTGTGTCCTGGGCCAACCAGCCACAACCAGAGATGAAAGAGACCAGAGAACGTCCCACAGCCTCCTGGGCCAGAGAGGACCGGGCAAGTAGACCTCAGCATTTATTTATGGAGCTAATTTTGTGTGTATTGCTCCTATTTCCGTCTGTAGATAAAAAGCAGAGATAATCAGCTTGGCTCAGAACATGGATACTCTGGGAGCCCCACCCGCGGACCACTTTAAAGCAGAAGGATCCCACAGGGAACGGTTCTGAATTGGGGCCGAGGAATTCCACTCCACCACAAGCTACACAAACCCCCTCTTCCCGCTGTGTCTTCCTCCAGCCGATTTGTGGAGGGGATATTTATAGGATTTCCACCATTTATGGAAGGCATTTTTGAAAGGAAAAATCAGGCGGGGGCTTTTTCCTAGTAAAAGCTTATGGTCGTCATCATTTGCTCTCATTAGCCCCAAATCCTCTTCGCTGCAGTGTCAAAGCCCTCCTCCATTCTTTGCTTCACCACATTTTTATTCACTAACTCCTTCCCTAAGTTCCGCCGTCCCAGAGGCAATTTGTAATTAATAATGAAAACCCCACCTCCCAAGCTGTACTGGAGAGGGGAGCATCTCACTAGCACGCATCTCTCCAGCAAATAGTGTTTCTTGGGCAGTGTTCTTAAGACTTCATCAAGTGTATCCCTACACAGAACAGACAGGCTGCCAGGTCACATCTGGGGACAATTGGGGGTTTGGAAATGTATCATATTTTTTCTCATGAAGTTTTCTCACCTGTCTTTGGAGCTGCCATCATTAACATTAGGGCAAAAATTAAAATAAAAAATAATACATGGTAAAACCAGTGGAGTAGTAGCTGATAAAACAAGCACAGTAACTAAAAAGAAAGTAATTTTGAGCTGATTGAAGAGAGAATAGTTTATTCCCCCTCCCAGAAATAACTGCTACCTCTTCAAACCTGACATTAAAATACCAGAGAGAAACAGATTACCTACTATGTTTTGAAATTTAAAGTTAACTTTATTATTTTAAGAATTTTAGAACAGTGTTTTTTCTTCTCATAACAATCAGATATCAGCTTCCTCTAAAAGTTTTTGAAAGTCTCCTCACACTAATTGTACTGCCTTTTTCAATTAAAAATACTTCAAGGAATGTGAAATGATTAGTCAATTCAAACATTCTCTATTCAGTGCTACGATGAAGGCTTTAAGTATTGACGAAAACATGCCCCATGTAGGACAACCAAATCATCTTTCAGGCGTTGGATCAGGACCAATAACTTGAGAAATAAATATGTTGATTCTTCCACAAATCTTAAAGTCTGATCTGTGTTATCTTTGTTGCAATTATAAAAATAAAATAAAAAGTGCTTCAAATATATACTAGCCTTGCTATTTGAAACAGACGAGAAAAAACAGGGCTTCAAATATATGGTATTCTTGCTATTTGAAACGGAAATCTGAAAGAATGAAGAAGGATGGCAAACAAGTAAAGATTTAATTTCGGTTTTCAGAGACAAATCTGTTATTCTAGGTGATTAAAAAAGGCAACCAGGCCTTGTATTGGTGCATTTTCATCCCCAAGTCAAATAAACCACGTCTGCAAGGCAGGTCTTCTGTCTTTCACTCTTGTCCAATTTACCTTCCAAAATGCAGGTGGGTGTCTAGGACACTCTCTGTAGTACCTGTGACTCTGAGCAGCTGATGACCCTTTTGTGGTGGCGATTGTTATCAACAGAATCTTATCTAAGAAAAGCTGAAGGAACTAGAAGAAACTGCTATTTGAAAATTTGGCTGCAGACCTTTTGTAACAGGGAGTCCTCTCCATGGAACACAGTCCACCTCAGGTTCTCCATTTGTCTAGTGGAGGAGGAAGAACTATCTGGAAGCACCTGCTACCTGTCCTGGAGTCACAGGTGCTCCGGGGGGCATGGCCATGTCTAAGCCCGCCCCTGTAGATGTGAGATCCTGCGTCCCTCGGAGCTCAGCGTTGACTCTTTGAACAGACACACACCCAGAGATCTGTGACCCATGGGCATCCCTGAAGTGCCCTGGCATGGTCAGGGGAGCCGCTGAGAAGTCAGCAGAGTGGCGGGACGGGGTGGCTCTTGGGATCAACCGCATCTGACATCTTAACCTGCCCAGGGCGGCAGCCGTTCTGAAGCCGGGCACATGGGCACCAACATGACAGAAAGACCACCCCTGAAACTCCAATTTTCTTTTCTTTATTCCTTTCTTTTTCTTTCCTTCTTTTTTTTTTTTTTTTGGAGATGGAGTTTTGCTGTCTCCTAGGCTGGAGTGCAGTGGCTTGATCTCGGCTCACTGCAACCTCCATCTCCCGGGTTCAAGCAATTCTCCTGCCTCAGCCTCCCTAGTAGCTGGGATTACAGGCAGGCACCACCATGCCTGGCTAATTTTTTTTTTTGTATTTTTAGTGGAGACGGGGTTTTGCCGTGTTGCTGAGATGCCAGTTTTTACAGGTTTCAACACGATGGCCGTTCTGGAGTTATCACTTTGGTGGCATGTACAACACCTCCATCCCACTGCCACGCACCCATAAAAATTCCACAAAATCACTCTAAGTCCACTGCACTGAGATTACTGATGGAGGAGCAAGTGCCTGCTGTGTAAGGTGAGGGGTGATGCCCACTGGGGTGGGTGCCCACATGAATCTCTTGGCCAAGGTATAGAGTTGACCGCCACTCAGAAGTCAAGTGAATGAGCAGAGGTCAGCGAGGCTGCCAATCAGCCAGAGAGTTTGGGCCATTCCCCTGAGATTTTATACGTAAATTAATGCTCCAGAGTTCACTGACACCAATGAATTTGGGGTGTGGGGGGGTTTGGTTGCACACGGAGATACTGTTGGGAGTGGTAGGGGTGGTCATTCCCTGGCTCCTCTCTTCTTCCCACCCTCCAAACTCCAGCCGCTGACTGGAGTGGACAGAGTGGCTCCCCAAGTTCTCACAACAGGCAGAGGCAGTGCAGGAACCGGGCTCAGGGCAAAGGAGAGTGACTGGGGTGCCTCACCCTGACTTCCTCTTGATCGCTTGGAACAACTTAGCTGAGTCTTTCTTCCACAGTCCCCTTCTTTCCTACATCCTGGGGGTCCTACCTGACACCGAAGGTACTAAGCTCCGGTCACTACTCCAGAGAGCAAGGGAGGAATGTGCATTCTATTGTCGGTGGTTGTAAATAGAGAAAAGATGGTTTATCTATGGTGTTAGCCCCAGTAGCTTGCCATAGGCCACGGCTCATGGCAGGGTGGGGATGATGTGACCTTTTCCGTCATCATGTCACGGCCTGGGTCACAAATGCAGATGGGGAGGCATCCGTGTGGAATGTGTCATTAGTGTCATGGCCTGCTTCTTACAGGGAGAGCTTCCAGCTCAGGCAGAGCAACGAGACCATGCCTCACAGCAAATGCAAACTGCTCATTTTCATAATGGAAGCTGTTACTGTGTCATTGGAAACCTTTTAGTGACATGTGATATACATACACAAGAGTCTACATATAAATGTGTACAAACTAAACACATCCAGGAAGCCAGGCACCAGAATTACCGGCACCAGATAAGTCAGTCCCAGAGGGACTCCTTCCAAAACCAATCACAATTCTAACTTGAAATAACATAGATTAGTGTTGCCATAGATTTGTGTTTGTACTTTATGTAAATTGAATTTTGTCGCATATAGACTTTTGTGGCTGGCTTCATTAGCTAAACATGGTGTTTGTGGGATTTGTCGCAGGTAGGGGTGGAGCACTCTTTTTCGCGGCTGCACAGTGCTCTCTTTGTGGTTATAGCACAGTTTATATGCTGGTGGATATCTGAGTAATTTGGGGATATTACTAATCATGTTCATATAACTGAACTTTTTTGCCATTTAAAAATAAATAAGTATAAATTGCAAATTTTGATTCCCTGTGCAAGAACTGATGGACAAAATGTTTCCACTGAGTTGACATCACTGAAGGTGTTATTTTATTGATGCAAAATGATGACCTATACTTAGTATAATAATCAATTGACTTGGATCATATCTTTATTTTTAATGCCTCTGTGTGTGTGTGTGTGTGTGTGTGTGTGTGTGTGTGTATCTGTGACTTACTGCAACATGTATTTGTTATCTCACAGTTACCATGGGTCAGGAGTCTGGGTCCTCTTGGCTAGCTGCATGCTCATCTGGAGTTTGAAGTCCTGTTCTAAGCTCATTCAAGTTCTTAGGAGAATTTAGTTCCTTGCAGTTCTATAACTGCAGCCCTCAACTCCTAGAGTCCGCCCTTCACTGTGGCAGTTTTGAACCTTGTAAGGTGGCTGCTTCTTCAGCATCAGTAGGAGAATGTCTCTAACCCCTGGTCCATCTTTATGGGGCTCCTCTGATTAGCTGGTACCCACCCAGGATGATTTGCTTTTGACAGGTCCTGCCCACTCTCAGGTGAAGGAGATCGTACAGCTTGAATCCTAGAAGTTGGTACTCAAGAGAGCCACACTGGAATTCTCCTGACCACATCTCTCTATCTCAGGGCAGTCTCTCCAGCAAACCAGTTTCAGACTGACTTTACTCCTGCTTGGTGACTCATGGCTGCAAAGCAGCATGTCCCATGTTTTATTCTTTCCACTCTCTTTCCTTCCTGATGGGCCAAGAGTCTTCTATTTTCTTTCTGTTTAGCAAACTTCCCTGAGGCTTTCTTTTAGGGTAGGCTTGACGGCAAGACATTCTCTTAATTTTCCTTTATTTGAGCACATCTTTATTTTTCTTTCTTTCCTAAAGGATACTTTTGCCAGATATGGAATTCAAGGTTGACAGCTTTTATTTCAGCACTTGGAAAATGTTGTGCCACTTCCTTCTGGCTCCCATAGTTTCTGTTGAGATACCTGCTGTCATTCAAACTGCTTCTCCCCCTGGGGGAAGGTATTGTTTTGCTGTCACCAATTTCAAGATTTTACTTTGTGTTTGGTTTCCTGGAATTTGATTATGCTGTGTTTTGGCATGAGATTCTTTGAGTCCATCCTGTTTAGGATTTGCTCAGCATCTCAAATCTGTAAGTTGATGTCTTTTGCCAAACTTGGGAAATTTTCAGCCATTATTTATTTGAATACTTTTTCAGGATCTTCCTCTTTATTCTCTCCTTCTAAGACTTAGAGGACATGAGAATTAGATCTTTTGTTATAGTCCCACAAGTCCCCAAGGCTCTGTTTCTTTTTTTAGTCTATTTTCTCTCTATTGTCCAGATTGGTTAATTTCTGTTGTTCTCTCAAGTTCATCCATTCTTTCTTCTGTACTCTCCATTGAGTTTTTAATTTGAGTATTTCAGTTGTATTTTTAAAGCATTAATTGATCAGATCATATCCTTATTTTAAATAGACTACACGTGCCTTTTAAACTGCTGTATTCCTTGTCATATCCTTCTAGCCCCTATCACAAACTCTACCTAATTCAGAAACACTTTTGGTGAACACCGTGTACTTTTAAAGCTATGAAATCAGGGCTGGGCATGGTGGCTAAGGCCTGTAGTCCCAACACTTTGGGAGCCCAAGGTGGGTGGGCAGATCCCTTGAGGCCAGGAGTTCAAGACAAACCTGGCCAACATGGTGAAACCCCATCTCTACCAAAAATATAAAAATTAGCCAAACGTGGTGATGCACACCTGCAATCCCAGCTACTCAGGAGGCTGAGCAGGAGAATCACTAAAACCTGGGAGGTGCAGGTTGCAGTGAGCTGAGATCCCACCACTGCACCCCAGCCTGGGTGACAGAGCAAGATTCTGCATCAAAAAAAAAAAAAAAAAAAAGAAAGAAAAAAAGAAAAAAAAAAAGGCTATGAAATCAGCCTCCAGGAATAATGTCAGTTCAGAACAGGTAGGTTCTGCTCTGAACAGATGAGTCCCCAGTGTTCAAAGAGCTTACCCAATTTGTGACTGTCTTCCTGTGGCAGGGCTTGGTGCCTGCATGGTGATCACATCAGACATGAGTCCTTCTTCCCTATTTCTAAGATTATTCCTAATTTAAAAATCCTAAAAGTACTTCCTGGAGTCCTGGGAAAACCTCCTTTTGGGACCTGGGTGCCTCCTCCCAAATAAATCATGTGTTATGAGACAAGCCTTTTTTAGTTGCCACACTCTGCTACATTAGTTGAAGCCTGAGGGTCTTAAAGATAAAAATGGCCAATTCATCTTGATTTTAATGCAAGGAACTTGAATTCAGGCTCAGTCACCTAAGTTTGAAATGCAAGAGTGTGACTGAACTTTAGCTGTGTGTCGTTAAAGGGTCTGTGTGTCATTTGTGTCTGGGACCAATCCAGAAGGCCCAATTGCTCTGACTAGGACACCACACCCCAACTTTTGGGACCCTAAGTCTGGCATACCTGTCGTCTGCTCTCTGGGACAGCTGAGGAGATGTCTGGACTAAGCCCCACTGATGGTGGATGTGCTGGTCCTTTCCATCCAGGTCACCAGCGCAGGTGGTCAGAAAAGTCCTCCCAACCTTGCTTCTGTTAGAAAGCCCTGGCCATCACTCGTGATGGCAACAGGTTGCCACCCCACCTCTTCTGTCTTCCCGCTCCTCCCTCTCCCCTAGTGGGTCTTTAGAGACTAGAAGGTGACACAGGGCTTTCTTTGTCTTGGTCATCTGTGTTCTCTGTGTCAGGGCCTATATTAATTTTCCTAGCTGCCATGACTAAGTGCCACAAACTTGGTGGCTTCCCACAAAAGAAGGTTATTCTCTCACAGTTCTGGAGGCTGGAAATCAAGAATCCAGGTGTTGACGGGGTTATGCGTCCTCTGAAGGCCCTGGGGGAGAATCCATCCTTGCCTCTTCCTTCTTCTGGTGGCTGAAGGCGTTCCTGGTCTTGCTGGGTGCATATCTCCACCTCATTTTCATACGGCCTTCTCTTCTCTCTGGGTCTCTCCTCTTCTGTCCCTTGCAAGGACACTTGACATTGGATTTAGGGCCTCTCGGAATAATCGAGGATGGTCTCATCTTGAGATCTTTTACTTAATTACATCTGCAAAGACCCTTTTTCCAAATATGATAATTCATAGGTTCTGGGCATTAAGACGTGGACGTGTCTTTTGTGGGGGCCACCATTCAATGCGTGAAGGGCCCGGTTGTTCAGAAGGGCAGGAGCCTGCTTCAATTCCACCTTTGGAACCAAAGGTCAGTTCTTAGTAAGCTCCTCTAGGACTTCCCCCTCATCTCTGGAATTTCATGCTCATGGTTTAGCTCGTTCCAGTCCCATCTCAGAACAATCCTGAAGATCCATGTGCAGAAACAATGGCCCAGTTCATTCTGACACCACCCCCATGTAGCAGGAAGTTTTGACCTATCCACAACTGATTTGAAACACTCCAGTGATAAAGACATTGTTTTCTTTCAAGCCATCTGGAAGTCAGAGCAAGGAAGTTCTCCAGTTAACTTTGCCACATCTGGGTGCTAGTGATTCATGGAGAAGCAGCCTCGTTCTGGTTTTCATTTCAAGTGATGTTTACAAGGAATTTAAGCAGTCGCCTCTTGAAGGGTCTTTCAATCTATGGCCACTGCTTCTTGCAGAGCCCACTTCTCCATCTAAAAGCAGAATAACGTTTTCCACAACCCTATTTTAGGAAACGTTGGAAGGATTAACAAAATCCTATTTGCAAATCAATTTCAGATCTAGTGGTCTGCAAGTATAAGATGTTGTTATTTTATTTGCTAATTAAAACCATCTCCTTAAAATTTTGCTTTCCTCCCTCATTTGAATAACAAAGAGAAACAGAGATAGAACCACTTCTGTTGAATCTTCTCAATTATTTTTGAATACGGGGTGGAGAGAAAACAGGAGACATCATGAACATGACGCACAGACACTGAGGAAACCATCGATGTGCTGCTGGCAGATGGTCAAAGCCCAGCGAGCAAATGTGTTTCTATTTCTGCTCTCAATTAAGTCTCAGCTCTCAAACCTCAAGTTCAGAGTTGGACCTGGTGTTCACTTTTTCTCCTTCATGACAAAATTGAATCAGTGTGATCCTGGTCTACATTTATTTGTTAATATACCTTCTTCCTTCTCGTCATCCTCAGCTTCAACTTTCTTTCTTTTTTTTTTTTTTTTTTTTTTTTTTTGAGACGGAGTCTCGCTCTGTCGCCCAGGCTAGAGTGCAGTGGCGGGATCTCGGCTCACTGCAAGCTCCGCCTCCCGGGTTCACGCCATTCTCCTGCCTCAGCCTCCCAAGTAGCTGGGACTACAGGCGCCCACCACTACGCCCGGCTAATTTTTTGTATTTTTAGTAGAGACGGGGTTTCACCGTTTTAGCCGGGATGGTCTCGATCTCCTGACCTCGTGATCCACCCGCCTCGGCCTCCCAAAGTGCTGGGATTACAGGCGTGAACCACCGCGCCCGGCCTAGCTTCAACTTTCAACTCAGAAAATGCTGATTACATTAGAACATCCAGGGTCAAAGAGAAAGGGAAACAGATGGACACATAGTGGGTTAATATTAAGTGATTATGAGGATTACTCCAAATTCTTAAATGGTCTTGACAATACAATTTTTAAAACATTTTAAATTCAAACAGTGCAATTTGTGACTCCGTATTGCCAAACAAGCCAATGAATATATTTCTTCTACTTCTTGTTTCTGCCCTTTGGCCTTTTAGACCTCAGTGTTGTCTTCTGACATGATCTTAGCCACATCCATCTGAGGGAAGACAGAAAATCCCACAGATCTGACAGTGATTGCAATTTCTCTGATCTGACAGACACATATTATACATCTCCTGCATGAGAAATCCCCTTTCCAGAGGCCAGGGACAGCCCTGGTTGGAGGATTCTGGTTCATAGCTCCTTTGTTGATTTGTTTGCGTGTGAAACTCTGAATAAGAAACCTCCAGAAGGAGACAGTTCTCTGGAGTTGCAGTGGTGGGCTTTGGATGAGGTTTCCCAGTTCTTCAGGTTCTTTGCATTTTAGAAAGGGCAAGTGGGGTAAGTGGGGAGAGTCTGGCGGTGTCTGGAGATCAGGGGGCCCGGGCAGCGCAAGTCTGTCTGCCCCGCTGATCTCACCCCTCCAAGGGCAGCAGGAAGCCACCTTGCCCACTTGCATCCTGTCCACGAGTGATACGGGTGGGGCTGATCCCACCTAGGTGTCCATGGTCCACCTTGGTTCCAGCAAGCCTGGCTTACGTCATGCATCCCTCTCTGACTCCTTCCTCTTTCAGCCTCACAGCCAGTTTGTCACCAGGTCCCTCTGAGGACAGGAAACATCAGTGCCGTTTCTTGCGTTGCAAGGAGCCAGCTGTGCTGGACCCATTACTGTCACCTTCCCACGAAGCCCTCAAGACACCGCTGCATGGTCACATGGTGACTGTCATATCCACATTGTAAAGATGAGAAACCTGGAGCTCACAGGCCATTTGTGCTGGTGGCTGGGCAGGGGCCAGGTTTGGAGCCAGCCTTCCTGCTGCTTTCCCCTTCCCCACTCACCCTTTCCTCTCCTGCCCCTGCCTCCTGCTCCCATCCAGACTCTGATGCTCTCTATCTTCCCAGGCTATTGTGGCACCTTCCAGGCTGATGGCCCTATTTCCAGCGTCACCTACCCTAAATCCTCCATCATTGCCAAAAGCAATTTTCCCTTGAAATCTTTAAACCATCAACCTCCAAAGCCTTGGCCAGGCCTTCCTCTCCCTCTATTCTGACCCCTTCCTCCTGCTGTTCTCCTCCTTCCAGCTCCCTTTCTATAGAGGGAGATCACTCTCCTCCTCACTCCTAGGACAACTCCCCTGCTCCTTCCGTCATGTGCCTGTCCCACTCTGGGAAACCACAGCCTGCCCCTGTTCCCAAGGACTTTGCAGTGCCTTCCCCTGCCCACACCCTGCCCACTTGGAAGCCAGGTATGACCACCTTCCACGGAGTCTTCCCTGAGCGCTTTGGACACAGGGAGCTCCCTGCATCCCTTGTCTGTATCTCCAGGGCCCTGGAGGCCTCCACAGTGGTGCTCTGTCTTTTGTCTCCAACCGGACAGAGCACTCGCTGAGGTCAGGACATGCATCCTCCTCCTCAGTTTCCCTACAGTGACTTTTTGGCTCTTTTTTGATGAATTAAACCCTTCTGTCACAACTCTACCATCAAAGCCCTTAGCAGCTTCACCCAGCCCTGCTTTCCTTCCTGGGACCTCTCTGATGTTCAGGAACCCACGGGCTGGCTCCCAGGCTCTCATCTCTCTTTCTAACTTGCCCAGTGATTCTCAACTGTGCTTCCAGAGCCATCTGTATTTTCTGGGTTCCACTGAGCAGGAGGAGGGGCTGAAGCTGATGGGGGTCTGAGCCTCTACCTTCCACAACCCACCCACAGCCAGAGCAGGAAGCCTTGTCCACTCTGTAGACTAAGCAGCTGGTACCTTTATGGGTAGACTTCCTGGTTCAAATCCCGGCTCTGCCTCTTCCTCTCTACGTGGTCCTTGGGTGACCTATGCAGCCACTCTGCTGCCTCCTTTTCCTCATCTGTGAACTGGAGAGGATATCAGCCCTCCCTTAAAGGTTGCTGTGAGGATGGGAGGTATCAGAGCATGCACTGAAGCTTCGCTGGGTGAACGAACCGGTGGAGGGTGGCCTCGGCTTCTTCCGTTGCTCCAACCCATGGAGCTCCAATGTCTTGGAGATTACAGCATGCCTTTGGTAAGAGTTTTCAGCCAGCTGCAGGCCAAGCCAGTGCCATTTCCTCCTCTATGGGGCTCTGGTGGCAAGTCCACCACCCTGTGGGAATCTCTCAACCTCTCCCACTAGGGCATTTAGCGGTTGGAGAAGACTTATGACAGCAGAGTGAGTGATGACTGAGTGCTCACTGTGTTTCCAGGGCTGTGTGGAGCCAGCCATGGGCAGCCCTCACATGCCTGGGCTGTTCCGGAGCCCACGCTCTCCATCTCTGACAATGCTAAGGGTCATTGACACAGTGCTGGAGTGGGAGTGCTTTCCTCCTGGTGGATCTCTCTGGCCTCTGCTCAGCCCTTCTGAACCACCATCATCTCCAAGTAGACATAGGCTTCCAGCCAAGAAGGCAAACCAGAGTGCTCCCACATGCCCTGGACACCAGGGCTGGCTGAGAACCTGATGACAGGAAGCTGGGATAAAGCTGGAAATATAAACGTGCAATGGGGTGAACAAAAGTACTACCCAACAGTGGATCTTTTTTTTTTTTTTTTTTGGAATTTAAAGAACAAGATTCAGACTTTGGGTAAAACTCATTGCTGACGTAAGCCAAGCACAGTGAGAAGGGTGATTTGATCCCACTTGGGACTTAACTGACAAATTGCATTGTTGAAGCAGTGATTTGTCAGAGAACAGCTCCAAGGGCTTGGAGTGTGGATACCAACTCAAGCAGAGGCTGCATGGAACAATCCCTCCCATTCAGGGGGAGCGAATCTAGGACCTCTGGGTTTAATCCTGTCTCTTTCGTTTGCTTATTTGTTTGTTTCTTTGATGTATTATTCTATTTTCTCAGAGATTTTCTTGATTTTTATCTCCCAAATATTCTGTTGAAAACTTTTTTTTAGCAATCACATGTTGTTGTTTCATAAAAAAGAAATTGTCCAAGGGCTTACTTTTATTTTCTGTTCCCTTTTCATATCATCTTATTCTTGTTTCAAAGATGAACTTGTCTTCTCACTGAAGATAAACATTATTTACTAGGATATTTTTGTTCCTAAATTATTTCCATTTCTTTTCTAGTCTATTCTGAACAGTTCACCCTCAGGCTGGCATTTGGTGCCCTTTTTTTTCTTCTCTACCCCTTGCCTTGATCATCTTCCAGGTTAAGAAAAAAAATTTACATTTAAAATCTGGGTCTCTGTAATTTTTGTATTCCAAATATAACTTAACCTAGAAAAAAATTTACTGGTTTATATCATAGTTAACTGACTTACTTCCATTATACATGTAGGCAATCTAGGCTTCAACAGTAAACTGAATTGGGTTATAGAAGGTAGGTATTTAAATGGCTAATTTGGGATTGATTATACTGACTACAATTCATGCTGTGACATGGTCCTGTTCATTTTAACAAGAATTTCATGGAACAGACATTACCAAAGTGTACCCATGTCCCAGCTGCCCTTGATTCACAGTGAGCCCACCTTGGTCCCTCTGGTCAGATCTGCTTGGGGTCAGCGTTTCTCCCACAGAGCTTGGGAAATGCTGTGACACTGGGCACCCTGTCCTTACACTGCAGCAAGTCTACCATGTTCAAGGCATGAGAACTCTGGGTAACATGACTTGCCAGGAGAAACTGTGACCCCCAGAAAGCAGCAGAGGACAGAAACTCTGCTGATTATATATATAAAAAATATGTCATGCTTCTGAGTGTGGTTTGGGGAAGGGATGGCATGAAGAGATACTAGGCAGCATGCCCATCTTGGAGTCCCAACACTCTTACTTCCAGGAATCCAGTATTCCTACCAACCAAAACATCGTGTTAGTAACCAAGGCTCCCACAAAAAGCAGGCTCATCAAGAGCTTTAAAAAGGAAGGCAGGAAGTGACAGGAGCTCTGCTTCCATCCTCATCTGCTACCCACCTCTCTCACTCGCTCTTCAAAGCAGACTTTGAAGAGAACTTTTTAAAAAACCATCTTTATTTGCCCAAAATGGAAAGAGTGATCTCATTAGACCCAGGGCTGTGATTTCACTTTAGGTTCAGTGGGAAGGATCAGCGAGCTCCTTGGTAACAAAGCCCATGAAACACACACATGTTCACTATGGCAAGTGGACGTTGGCAGGACCTCTGTCATTCAACGCTACATAAACACTCGGTTCCACACTGCAGACTTCTAAAAAAGAATGTACATTTGACTCCATTTCAAGTTGAAGAGAGTTTAATGAGCATCCACGTGTGGTGAGCGTGTTGACCTCTTCTTGGGGTGTGAAAATATGTATGCGTAGCACATGTGTGCACGTGCGTGTGACGGCGTCCCCCTTCATGGAGCAGCCAGTCTTGCTGCGGAGACAAGATCACCTCACATCTGATCATCAGCAGTAATCCCAATGACCTTAATAAAAACAGCAGTTCCCATTTATTGGGCACTTACTGTGTACCGCGTTCTGAGCAAGGAGCATTCCAGGGCTCGCACGGTGACTGGCACAGAGGACACTCAGTCAATAAATGTTAGTTTCTGTTACATCAGATTTTGCTGTGTTCAGTGTTCCTGGAAGGAGACAGCTCTGATTTGACCAGTGACTGAAACAGCCTAAAATATCGAGGCAGGCTCCGCACTGTCCTCTCGGACAGGTCTCATCACCATGGACATTTCAACTCACCAGGGTGGAAACAGCCTAGGATCACTCCAAAGCCAACCTCTGCATCCTGCTCTGTTCCTGCAAGATTCCCACTCCAGCCCGCATCTGCCAGTCTGTCTGATGATACCTTTGCAGCTTTACAGGTAGCACGCAGCCTCTACACCGTGATAAAGAACACACTGACCACATGCACTTTCCTCTTCCTGGAGGCCTGCAGGGTGTGAAATTCACTGTCAGTCACAGAGACCCTTCAGATCTGGGCAAGACCAGTCTCTCTGGAACCGAGGCCCTGAGTGAGGCAGGTTTTTACACCCAGTTGGTTTCCATTATTATTCTAATTGAATTGCCAGCTTCTCTTGAAGTTAGCAAGGTTTGTTCCTTCATGCTTCTTAATTTTACACATCGGATAGCAGCTCTGAATGTCAAAGCTAGAACAATTCAACGTGATTTTTAAATGAACAATAAGCCAGTTAGATTCCTCTGTGGCAAGCATGTCACAGCTTCTTTAACCCCAGGTCCTAAAAGATCCTGCTAATGGTTTTCTACATTATTACACTAATGTGCCTGGGGGCTGGTCTACTGGGAAACGGATCTGTAATAAATATGTCAACAGCAGTGAAGGACAAGAAGCTGGGTCCTCTGCCCCCAGGCCCAGTGGGGCTGTGGCACAACACAGCTCCAGGGCACCCTGTGCCAGCCCTGTTGCATCTTTCTGGGGTGGGTTTTGATGGAGAAAGAAGAATTATTGATCTTAATGAGGCTTCCCTGCACATTCGTCAAAACTGTTGTCGCATTTGGTCAGAGGCCTCACATGGGGCCCTGGTTAGGGCGAACTTTAGAAGGAAAATTAAGCAATTAAGCAAATCCAATTGCCTGGAGGCACAAGGGCTCCACAGACCACACTTCAGCCGGAAAGCAAGAGCACTAATGGGGCTGTGAAGCCTGAAGCTGTGACACCATCACTTTGGACTCACCCTGGGTGATGGGTCCAGAGGGAGCAGTGTCAGTTTCCTGGTACTGCTGTCACAAATCACCTCGAGCTTAGTGGCTTAAAACAACACAAATCTATGATCTTCTGGTTCTCGAGGAGGAAGTCTGAAATGAGTCTTATGGAGCCAAGGGGGTATCTGCAGGAATGTGCTCTTCTGGAGGCAAACCCGTTGCCTTGCCCCTTTCAGCTTCTGGAGGTTTTCTATCTGTCTTCCTTGATGTGATCACATTGTGACACTCAACCTCTGCTTCTGTCCTATTTCCAGTCTCTCTGATCCTGATCCTCCTGCCTCTGAATTATAAGGACCTTTGTGATGACATTGGGCCCATCCAGATAACTGAAGACAATTTCACTGTCTCAGGACTCTTAAGCTGGAAGTCTCAGCCAGAGCAATCAGGCAGGAGAAGGAAATAAGAGTCATCCAAACAGGAAATGAAGTCAAGCTATATCTCTTCACCAACGATGTGACTCTATACCTAGAAAACCCTCATGACTCCACCAAAAGGCTCCTGGAACTGACAAACAACTTCAGTAAAGTTCCAGGATACAAAATCAATGTTCGAAAGTTAGTAGCATTTCTATACACCAATAATGTTCAAGCTGAGAGCCAGTTCAAGAAGGCAATCCCATTACAATGTCACACACACACGAATACCTAGGAATACATCTGACCAAAAAGGTGAAACATTTCTACGAGGAGAACTAAAAAACACTGCTGAAAGAAATCATAGATAGCACAAACAAATGGAAAAACTTTCCATGCTCATGGATTGGAAGAATCAGTATCATTAAAATGGCCATATTACCCAAAGAAATCTGCAGATTCAATGCTATTCCTATCAAACCACCAACAGCATTTTTCACCGAATTAGAAAAAAAATTCTAAAATTCATACAGAACCAAAAAAGAGCCTGAATAGCCAAAACAATTCTAAGCAAAAAGAACAAAGCTGGAGGCATCACATTACCCAACTTCAAACTATGCTGTAAGGCTATAATAACCAAAACAGCATTGTACTGGTGCAAAAACAGACACTTGGACAAATGGAACGGAATAGAGAACGCACAAGTAAAGCCATACTTCTACAACCATCTGATCTTTGACAAAGTTAAAAAAAAAATAAGCAATAGGGAAAGGACTCTCTATTCAATAAATGGTGCTGGGATTACTGACTAGCCATATGCAGATGAATGAAACTGGACTTCTACCTTTCGCCATACACACAAATTAACACAAGAATTAAAGATTTAATTATAAGACCCCAAACTATATGCATCCTAGAAGAAAACCTAGGAAACACCATTCTGAACATCATCCTTGGGAAAGAATTTATGACTAAGTCCTTAAAAGCAATTACAACACAAATTGACAAGTGGGACCTGTTCAAACTAAGGAGCGTCTGCATAGCAAAAGAAACTATCAACAGAGTAAACAGAACAGCCTACAGAATAGGAGAAAATACTCTCAAACTATACATTTTACAAAGGTCTAATATCCCGAATCTAGTAGGAACTTAAATAATTGGACAAGCCAAAAACAACCCCATTAAAAATTGAGCAAAAGATACGAGCAGACACTTCTCAAAAGAGGACATACTAGCAACCAACAGACATATGAAAAAATGCTCAACATCACTAATCAACAGAGAAATGCAAATCAAAACCACAGTGAGATACCATCTCACACCTGTCAGAATGGTTATTATTAAAAAGTCAAAAACTAACAGATGCAGGTGAAGCTGTAGAGAAAAGGGAATGCTTATACACTGTAGGTGAGAATGTGAATTAGTTCAGCCACTGTGGAAAGCAGTTTGGAGATTTCTCAAAGAACTTGAAACATAACCATCATTTGACCCAGCAATCCTATTACTGGGTATATACCTGAAGGAAAATAAACTATTCTACCAAAAAGATGCATGCACACATATGTTCATTGCAGCACTATTCACAATAGCAAAGACATGAAGTCAACCTAGATGTCCATCACAGTGGACTGGATAAAGAAAATGTGGTACCTATACACTGTGGAATACTATACAGCCATAAAAAAGAATGAGATCATGTCCTTGACAGCAACATGCATGTAGCTGTCAGCCATCATCCTAAGTGAATAATTGGAAGACAGGAGGGTCTGTATCAGTGAAATTGGAACACAAGACCAAATACCACATATTCTCACTTATAAGTGGGAGTTAAACATTGGGGCTCATGGACATAAAGATGGCAACAATAGACACTAGGGGCTACTGGCGGAGGGAGGGAGAGAGGAAGGAGAACAGGGGTTGAAAAACTAACTTTTGGGTACTAAGCTCAGTACCTGGGTGATGGGATCTTTAGTACCCCAAACCTCAGCATCAAGCAACATACCCATATAACAAACCTGCACGTGTATCCCCTGAATCTAAAATAAAAGTTCAAATGATTTTTTTCATGAAAAAAGTAAAAAAATAAATAAATAAATAACAAAAAAACTCTTAATCACATCTGGAAAGTCCCTTTTGTTATGGAGGGTCACATATTTACAGGCTCTGGGGATTAGAATGTGGGCATCTTGGGGGCCATTATTCTGCCTCCATAGGAACATCGTCCTGAATCAGAAGACAGAAGTGCTCCTTGTGGGAGAGGAATTGCAGGAAGTGAAGCTCTGTGTTAGTCACAGGGCTCTCCCTGGGCTCTCTTGGGGAGAGGGGACAGGGACATGAAAAGCACAGCCTGTGAAACTCAAGGCAGTGTCTGCGAGAATGAGCATGAGAACGATCTCTAACGCCTACATCAGACTTCACTCTTGTGCACTCTTTGTCTTAGTCATTAGGGCCAGCTCACTGGATGTGTGCCGTTTTTCATCCCAATTTATAAAAAAACAAATGAGGTCATGAAACGTTGAGTTACTCACCCAAGATCACAACTCTACATATCTGTCAAGGTGGTGAGGTCTGCAGACAAATCAAGGACAGAATGCCCATCTTTCCCTTTTAAGGTGAATTCAAATATTTTAGAATCTCAGAGAAGCCCCTTCCAAAGAAAGGTGGCATTTTTCATGATCACTTTCCCACATGAAAGACCTCACTGAAGGAGCCAGAGGGTTGAAACCCTCAGATGCCGAAGGAGCCCTTCTTCCTGCGATGCAAAGATCTTTAAGCCACGATTCATGATGCCAACAATCTGTTGCTGACTCTTCTAAGTGTAAATCAACTTGACAATGCACATTCTCTGCCTCATGTGCTCTTCAGACCCAGCCTCTTCACAGGACGCTGCTTCGTGATGTAAGCTCTGGACAATGTGAGCTGTGGAGTGTGATTAATGAGCCACGTGTCAGCAGGAGGATCAGAGATTGTGTGTGTGTGTGCCTTCGTGTGTTGGTGTGTCCTCCCTGAAGTTCAGGGCTCTGGGAGTCCCTTCCCTACCGAGAAAAAGGAGGGGGAAGCACAAACTCCATTGTAAAAAGGATAAAACGTCAAAGGAGAAGTTACTTAGCATGAAATATTTTCACAACCCAAAACGATAAGGAATGTTAGGATGAAGAGAAAAAGGAGTCAAGGACAAGCATGAGCTTCAGGGTGGTGGGCAGTGGTCCCTCCTCCCTCCTCACTTGGGAGGACGTGAACATGCCCTTGGCTCCTGGGTCTGTGCAGAGCTGCCCTTCATCATCAATACCCTTGTCCCCAAACAAGTAGGAACTTCCAGGTAAATCTACAAGTGTGTGGGCCAGCTGTCCTATTCGATGCAGACTCCCGATCTAAATGCTCTGCCTCTCTGGGCTTGGGTTCCATTGTTCACACCGCTAAGCCTGCCCACACCCAGGTCCAGAAGCATCCTGGCCACATACCCAGTGCCAGGGAAGGGCCCTGGAGACTGGAGGAGCTGAGCAGGAGGCTCCCCAGGGCTGCTTCCAAGGGCAGAGTCATGCTAAGGAAAGTGAGGGTCAGTGCTCAGGGACCCGAGCTATCATTGCTCCAGGGGTGAGTCTGGGGCAGAAGAACACAGAAATAGTTCAGGAGGCAAAGCACTGTGCATCAAGGAGCTCTGACAATGCTGGGCAGCTGAGCCCCTAGGGGTAGGGTACCTGTTTATTTTCTAAAAAATGATACTTGAGAGTGAAAGGGGGGTGTGATTCATACCACCTATGAGGGGCTATCCCCATATGGGTGCTGCGGATGGAAGGGAAGGACCCAGGACCCCACTCGGGACTTCTGCCAAATCCCTGCGTGTCACCTACTGCACAGGCCGGGACACCGCTCTGTCCACATGGGTACTGGAGGATGGATGGCGCACTGATAGGATGCACTTTATGGTATCAGATCTTAAGTGGGGAAGAGCTCACACTTGGAAAACCCCAGAAGTCCCACCTTTGTGAATTTACAAATTAGTTCCCTTCAAGACTTAGAAGACTAGAAAAATTATTCTGAGAAAAAGACTCATTGGCTGCAAGTGGGAGTGATAACTGCAAATGTCATGAGTGATCTACAAGACAACCTAATTGCTTCTACTGACCAGAGTCCTGACCTGGTGAGGCAACCATGCCACAGGCTTTCCAAGTGAGGGAGTTCTATTTCTGCTTGGGCTGTAGAACGCTGCCAGAGAACACTGTTCCTACTCTAACCACCAGAAGACGCCACATAGTCTGTAAGATCATAAGTTTTCTTGAGAGCTGAGGGTACAAGGCAAACAGGTGAACTGAACCACAAAGAGTGACAAGCCCACTGAGGAGAGTTGGGACATATGGATTATTTTATGTTTGGCAAAGTGTAAGAAAAGTTAACACAAAAACAAGCAAAAAAGAAATAGTTGAAATCTAATCGTTTATTAAATGCTGAGTATGGATATATTGGGTTGAATGGTGGCCACCCAAAAAGGCATGTCCATGTCCTAACCCATAGTAGTTGTCATTTTATTTGGTAAAAGGGTCTTTGCAGATGTAATTAGGGATCTTGAAATGAGAACATCATCCTGGAGTACTCAAGTGGGTCCTAAATCTTCTGTCAAGTGCTCTTATAAGACATAAAGAGGAGAAGAAAGTCACAGAGGAAAAGGTGACATGAAGACAGGCAGGGATTGGAGTCATGTGGCCACAAGCCAAGGAAGCTGGCAAACCTAGAAGAGGCAAGGAATGAATTCCACACTAGAGCCTCTGTAGTAATAGGGCACTGCTGACACTTTGTTTCTAGACTTCTGCCTTCCAAAACTGTATGAGAATTAAGTTCTGTTGTTTTAAGCCACTAAGTCTGTGGTAATTTACAGCCCCCTTAACAAACCAATACAATGGGCTGGCGTGACAGTGTGGAATTGATGTAGGAGGCAGGACTCTGTATCAGATGAGATTGAAGGCTGGCTGAAAGGGGTAAGAGGCACCAAAAGCACCTGTCCATAAGACATGCCCACCAGCACCATGACAGTCTACCATGGCCATGGCAATGCCTGGAGGATACTGCCCCTTTCCATGGCAAGGACCTGGAAGTTACCACACTTTTCTAGAAATGTCTGAATAATCTTCCCCTTAATTTGTATGTAATTAAAAGTGGCTATAAATGTGACTACAGAACGGCCCTAAGATGCTACTCTGGGCACACTCCCTATGGGGTAGCCCCACTCCACGAGGAGCAGGACCTCTGCTGCTGCTCTATTTTGTGGCTTCAATAAAAGTTGCTGTCCAACACCACCAGCTTGCTCTTGAATTCTTTCCTAGGTGAAGCCAAGAACCCTCCCAGGCTAAGCCCCAATCTTGGTGCTTGCTTGCCCTGCATCAGAATCCCTGGTAATTCTAGACACAAGAGAGCCCGCACTCACTCACTGACTTTTTTCTATGGACCTTTACCAAGTACTTTTGTGAAAGATCACAAAGAGGGAAGGAGACCTGAGAGAGTCTGTATCACTAGACATGAAAGCCTGCCTACATCATGGACCCATGTCCAACATGTAGCAAAAGCCATGCTGGGAAGGGACAGCTCCCAGAAATCAGGCAAAGATGCTCTGTCTTTCACGAAGGGGAGGAAGCAAAAGCCATCTTCTTTACAGGAGGGGCTGGAACCTGACTCAGGCACAGTAAACTGCCCTGATACAAAGCGGAAGTCTACTACTTGTTGCTGAAGGAGGATTAGGAAACTCTCTTCTACCCAAGACCCTCCCAGACACTAACAAACAAGAATTTGGTTGTCATGGGGGAAAGTTAGGGATGCTGCCACAACCCCACCTTTGAGGCCCAGATGCACACCTATGACTGAGGCTGGAGCAAGAGAATTGAGAAATCTCTCCTGACCCTATCCTAAGGCTTGCACCAAGTAACAAGCATAGCAGGCTGTGACTGGAAGAGACTGTAAGTGGAGAAAGCCCTTCTCTGTGGTGCAGATGTACAGGGCACATTGAGAGCTGAAGGTATAGCAGAAATATAGAGGGAAACCCTATAGCATTCCAGACCCAAGTAATCACAGGGAAGCAGCAGACCTCCAAAGAAGAAATTTGAAGTCTACCCACTAAAGGTAACTCTAAGAACAGAAATTATACACCCAACTCAACTACTGAACAGATTGCCTCAACTCCTGTACAAAACACCTATCATCAGAAGACACATGCTCATTTCTAGGCATAAGTACTATTTAGATTAGTCTCTACTTTTATTTTATGTAGAATTTTCCACATTCAATAAAAAATTATGTAATACACAAAAAGGTATAAAAGATGACCCATTGTTAAGAGACAAAGCTATCAGCAAAATCAGACCCTGAGATGATCAAGATGTTGGAAATATCAGACAGGGATTGAAAATTACTGTAATTAATATAATAGAAGATCCAGGATAAGATAGAAAACACGTATGAACACATGAGAAATTTCAGCAAAGAAGTAAATACTATAAAATAATCAAATGGCCGGGCATGGTGGCTCACACCTATAACCCCAGCACTTTGGGAGGCCAAGGCGGGTGGATCACAAGGTCAAGAGATGGAGACCATCCTGGCCAACATGGTGAAACCCTGTCTCAACTAAAAATACAAAAATTAGCTGGGCATGGTGGCATGCTCCTGTAATCCCAGCTACTTGGGAGTCTGAGGCAGGAGAATCACTTAAACCCAGGAGGTGGAGGTTGCACTGAGCTGAGATCATGCCACTGCACTCCAGCCTGGCGACACAGTGAGATTCTGTCTAAAAAAAAAAAAAAAAAAAAGGGGGGGGGGTGGAGTCAAATGAAAATGATAGAGATTAAAAATTATTAAAAATGTATACCATAGCAGTGAAGAATTCCTTTGAGAAGCTTATCAGAAATGTGTAGAGACATTAGAGGAAAAAATGTTATTGAAGTTAACCAGTAGAAATCATCCAAGCTGAAACAAAGAAGAAAAAAGAGCAGAAAAAGAATAACAAAACAGAGCACTCAAGAGCTGTGAGGCAACATCAAACAGTCTACATATATGTCATTGTAGTCCCAAGAAGAGAAGAGAAAGAGAGCAAGATAGTGGGGCAGGAATAAGATTTGTGTGACAGTAGTTAATAATTTACTAAAATTAAGGAAAAATAGCCCAAGAAATCCCTGAAGATCAAAGAAGTTCAGATATATCACACCAAGATATATTTTAGGACAAATAGAAACAAAAGATAAAGATAAGATCTCTTTAAAAAAAACTGAAGAAAAATACACATCACACGCAGAAGATCAAAGATAAAAGCTAGGGAAGATTTCTTATTAGAAATGTTGTAAGCCAACAGACGATGGAGTGGCATCTTTGAAGTACTGAAAGAAAATGTTGCTGTGTACCCAGAATTCCATATAATGTGAAAATATTTTTCAGAAGTGAAAGCAAAACAGACTTTTTAAGATTAACAAATAAGGTGTGTGTTTCCTGCACACCTGCACAACAAAAAATATTAAGGAAAGTTCTTCAGGCAGAAAATGTATGATATCAATGATACCAAATGCCTATCTGGGTCTGTACAAACAAATGAGGAATGCTGGAACTCATAAAAATGAGTAATCATAAAAGATATTGTTTACTTACATTTTAATCTTTTTCAGAGATGATTGTCTAAACTAAAAGTGCAACAATGGTAAAATTCATAACATATGAAGAATCAAAATGCATGACAACAAAAGCACAAAGAATGAGCAGGAAATGGAAGTACACTATTGTGAGGTTCACATACTACATGTGAAAAGGTATAACAGTATTTGAAGATAGGTTGTGATAACTTAAAGATGCATATTGTAAACTCTAAGGCAACAACAGAGGGAGAAGGAAAGAGAGAACACTGTAGAAATAAACCAATTATAAGGTAAAATTGAATACACAACAATATTTAATTAATCCAAAGGAAGACAAGAAAATTGGAAAAAAGGAACAGAGCGCAGAATGAATAAATGATAAACAAGTGGGCCCAGCGCGGTGGCTCACGCTTGTAATCCCAACACTTTGGGAGGCCGAGGCAGGTGGATCACCTGAGGTGGAGAGTTTAAGATCAGCCTGACCAACATGGAGAAACCCCATCTCTACTAAAAATACAAAATTAGCCAGGCATGGTGGCGCATGCCTGTAGTCCCAGCTACTCGGGGGGCTGAGGCAGGAGAATCACTTGAACCTGGGGAGACGGAGGTTGCAGGTGAGCCGAGATCATGCCATTGCACTCCAGCCTGGGCAACGAGAGCGAAACTCAGTCTCAAAAAAAAAAAAAAAAAAAAGAGGCAAACAAGTTATAGATTTAAATTCAACCCTATAAGCAATTACATGCAGAGGCTCCAATTAAAAGGCAGAGATTGTAAAACTGGAAAGAAAACAAGACTCACTGTATGAGTAAAAAAAAACACAAAATACTTTAAGTGTAAAGACTTAAAAAGGTGAAAAGAGAAAAGATAGAAAAATAAATACCATGTAGAGACCAATTAAAAGAAAGCTGAAGTGGCTATAATAATATCAGAAAAACTAAAATTCAGCATAAGAAATATTACAAAGACAAAGAAAGACCTTATAAACCACTTGGTCAATTCATCAAGAAGATATTGCAATCCTAATTGTGTTTGTCCCTACTCCTGAGCTTCCAAATGCGTAAAGCAAAAGCTGAGAGAACTAAAATGATAAATGGACACATCCATAATGATAGTTGGAGAGTCCCATACTCTTCTCTCGGTAATTGACAGAAAAAGTATACAAAATAATCAGGAGGGCAGTAGAAGATTAGAAAACCAGTACCAACCAACTTGACTTAACTGACATTTCTCAGAACACTCCACCATCTTCAGAATACACATCCTTTTCAGGTGTACACAGAATATTCACTAAGATAGAACATGTTCTGAGCCATGAAACAAATCACAACATTAAAAGGACTGAAATCACACAAAGTGTATTTTCTGACCACAATTTAATCAATTCAGGAATGAACAACAGAATGATATCTGGAAACGCCACCAATAGTTGGCCGGTAAGTAGCAAATAATTCTTAGGTGGAAGAAGAAATACAAAATAAATTATAAAATGATTTGAATTATGAAATAAAAGTAAAACATATCAAAATTTGTAGGATGCAGGTAAAGTCGTGCTTAGATGGAAATTCATATCATTAACTGCTTATATTACAAAAGGTAAAAGGTCTGAAACCACTAAGCTTCCACTCTAATAAACCACAAAAGGAGGAGAAAATTAAACCTACAGTAGACAGAAGGAAGCAAATGATAAAGAGCAGAAGTAAAAAAAAATAGAATCATAAAAACAATAAAATATCAATAACCCCTTATCCAGAATGAATAAGAAAAAAGTGAGAAAATACAAAGTACCAATGTTAGAAATAAAGCAGATACTAAAAAAATTAAAGGGATAATAAGAAAATGTTATGAACAACCTTATGACAATAAATTGGATAACTTAGATGAAACAGAACAATTCCTTTAAAAACACAAACTACCAAAATTCACTCATGAAGAAATAAACCACTTGAATAAATCTACATCTTTTAGAGAAATTGAATTTATAGCGATTTGAATGTATTTGGATTCTACAAGGAAAAGCACAGGCCCAGATGGCTTCACAGATACATATTGCCAAACATTTAAAGAAGAAATAATACCAATCACATGCAAGTTTTTCCAGAAAGTAGAAGTGGAAGAAACACTTCCCAAATCAATTTATGAGGCCAGGATTACCCCGATACCCAAATCAAGAAAAGGCATTACAAGAAAAAAAAAATGAACCGACCAAAAAACTAAATTAGACACAAAACCCTTAACAAAATATTAGCAAATGAAATCCAGTAATATATGAAAGTGATAATATGTCATGTTCAAGTAGGGTCTATCCTATGGATGCAAGGTTGGTTCAACATTTGAAAATCAGTGAACATAACTTGCCATATCAACAGGCTAAAAGTGAAAAAAAATGATATGATCAACTTAATTGATGCAGAAAGAATATTTGGCAAAATGCAAAACCAATTCATTATTTAAAAACAACTCTCAGAAAACTAAAAATAGGGGGGAACTTCTTCAACCTGATAAGGAGCATGTATGAAAAGCCTACATCTCACATCATACTTCTTGGCAAAGACTGAATGCTTTCCTGCTGTGATTGGGGAAAAGGTGAGGATTTCTGTTCTCACTGCATTTTTCAATATTGTACTGGAGGCCTATCCACTGAAATAAGTCAAGAAAAAGTAACGGAAGGCACATAGATAAGGAAGAATAAAAACTCTTTATTCATAGGCAACATGATTATCTATGTAGAAAATCCCAAGAATTTACACAGAAGCTCGTAGAACAGTAAATGAGTTTAGCATGGTCACAGGGTACAAAGTCAGTATACAAAGACCAGTTTAATGTCTGTATACTGTCAATGAACAGCTGAAAAAGAAAACATTAAAAGTGCTGTTTAGCGTTGCACCAAACCAAAATACAAACAAACAAATAAAAATAATTGCCTAGGTATAAATCTAATAATACATGTTCAGGATCTGTTACAGTTTTGAAGACTCAATATTATTAAGATCTCAGTTCTCCCCAAGATGATCTGTAGATTTAAGGCAATACCAACCAAGATGCCAGCAGGTATTTTTGGTAGAAATTCAGATTCTAACATTTATATGGAAATGCAAACAACTTAGAATGGACAAAATAATTTTTAAAAAGAAGTACAAAGTTGGAGGATTCCCACTACTTTAAGACTTGCTATAAAACTACAGAAATCTAGACAGTGTTTTATTAATGTAAGAACAGATATATAGTAATGGAAAAGTACAGATAGCTCAGAAATAGTCTCACATGTATATGGTCAATGGATTTTTGAAAAATTTGCAGGAAAATTCAATTGGGAAAGAATATTAATTTCAATAAGTGGTGCTAGAATAATTGAACATTAATATGTAATAGAAATCAACCTCAACTATTAATCTTACACTGTAAACAAAAATTAGCCAGAAATAAATCACATAAATAAAAGAGCTAAAGCAATGAACGTTCTAAAAGAAAATACAGAAAAGGTCTTTTTGATATCTGAGTTAGGCAAAGATTTCTTAGATATGATACAAAAATACAAACCATGAAAGAAAAGGTGATAAATTGGACTCTATCAACATTGAAAACTTCAACTGTTTGAAAGACTGTTAAGAAAATGAAATTAAGATGAAAACTGCGAGAGAAAATACTTTCAAATATACATTAAATAAAGAAATTTAGAATTTATATTAAATTTTTACTTATAATTTATAAAAATTTAGAATTGTATTTAGAATTTACGTAAAATTCTTATTTAGAATTTTAGAATTGTATTTAGAATTTATATAAAATTCTTACCCATTTAATTGTATTTAGAATTTATATAAAATTCTTACCCATTTAATAAGAAGATAAGTGACCAAATTAAAAATGGGCAAAATATTTGAACAGACGTTTCACCAAAGATGACAGACAAATGGCCACTAAGTATATTAAAAGATGGTCAACAAATCTTGAGATTCTTGTAATGCCGAAGAAAAAGACGTGCTCAAAAATGATAGGACATTTGGGAGAGACACAGGTACCAACGTGAAAGTGATCCCAATGGTCAAAGCTGAGGCAGTTAGAGCAACAGCATAAATGGTAGTATTGGATTATACTCCACAGTGTAAAATAAATATCGATTAGTCAATAGTGATATAAATAGCAAATAAATAAATAAATGGGGAAGGGAACTGCTCTTCCTTACAATAGAATTCTAATTAGTAAATGGAGAAGAAATAATGCAAATAGAAAATCACTATTTGGCAAGCACCACAATAAAAGCTGTTGTGGGCAAGAATCACAAATAGATGTTAAAATTATTGAGTAAAAATAGGATGAAAAACAGGATAGTCTCCTGGTCTCAAAGTCCCTTCCCACAAGATTCTTACTAATTTGGAATTAGTAATTTCCACACTAAAGGAAAAGGGGTCACTTTATAATAGAGAAAACTAGCATTCACCTAACCCAGTTATCAAAGTTGCATCAGCAGTAATAATACATTCCACATACATTATATCGCTTCTGTGGTATTCTTACCCAAAATGCATAACCTCAATATGTTCATGAAAGAACATCAGATGAACTCAATTTGAGGGTCATTCTTTAAAATCACTGGCCAGGACTTGTCAAAAGTGCAGAAGTTATGAAAGACAAAGAAAGACTGAGGATCTGTTACAGATTAGAGGAAATTTGACAGTTAAATTCAATGTGGCATCCAGATTAAATCCTGGACCAGAAAAAAAAAGTGTAAAAACAGGAAAATTTGATGAAGTCTATAGATTAGTTCATAGTATTATATCCATGTTAGTTTCCTGGTTTCCACCACTGTACTATGGCTTTGTGAGATTATGGGAGACTGAATGAAGGGCGTATGAGAACTCTCTGAACTATTTTTGCAACTATTATGTGAATCTAAAATTATTTCAGAATCAAAATGACATTTGGTAGAAAAAAAGCCAACATCATTAGTCATTAGAGAAATACAAATTAAAATCACCAAGAGATAACTGTGCACCTACTAGAATGGCTAGAATTAGTAAGACTGATGCTAGCAAGTACTAACGAAGATGCAGAGAAACTGAAGCTGTTTCCTGTCTTTATTGTGGTAAAAAAGATGCGTCTGTCACATTTATGATGTTGCACAACCACTACCACTATATATGAATAGTTCCAGAGTCTTTTCATCAGCACAAATGAAAACCCTGTACCCACTAATACTCACTCCCTATTCCCCTCTGTTTTAACATATACCCAGGATTTGTTTTAATTGGGGGAAATAAGACATGCAGGTATGGAAATGACTGTCATGAAGGGAGGAGTTTTATACTGACAGGTCCGTGGAAACAGGAGGTGCAGTACACCTGGCAGGGTCTTATGGCGAAGCACCAGGATTGATCAGGAGGCAGAAGAGGTGAGAGGAAAGCGTGTGAGAGATCCTTGATCGTGGTTTTCACGGCAGAGGTAGGGCAGGGTGAGCAAGCTGAGCACGTTTAGGATTGAATAGCTGAAACAATTTCAGCAGGCTCTGGGCTATAGTGGTCCCTAGTTGTCAGTATCTGGCTCTGGGGTGATTTAGGGAAGGGTGGGTAGTGTTATGATCTGCAGGAGGCTGATACAATCAGGTGGATGGGGATATTGGTTGGTTTGCAAATCAAGACATGCTCTCAGACAAGTTGTTTGCTATCTCCAGGAATTAGTGAACCCTGGGAGGGGGAGTCCCTCCCTGGGTCTGCAAGGACCCAAGATGTCAAAGCACCGTAAAATACAGAAAATAAAAAACATGATTAACACATGCCCTCCTCCCAACCCCTGGCAACGACTCCTCTGCTGTCTGTCTTTTGGTTTGCCTATTGTGGGCATTTCATAGAAATGGAACCGTATAATATGTCACCCTTTGTTTTTGGCTACTTTCACTTAATGTACTGTTTTCAAGGTCTGTCCATGTTGCAGCATGTGACAGTACTTCATCCCTTTACATGGCATGGCTGAGTAATATTCCATGGTATGGCTGGACCACATCTTGTTACCCATTCATCCATGCATGGGCATGCAGGTGGTGTCTACATCTCAGCAATGGTGAATGATGCTGCTATAAATGTTCATGTACACATTTTTGTTCAAACAGCTGTTTTAATTCTTTTGGTTACATACCCAAAAGTATTAATAGGATTGCTGGCTCATATGGTCATTCTGTATTTCACTTATTGAGGAACTGCCAAATGGTTATTCACAGTAGATTTGCCGTTTTACATTCCTACCAACAGTGGAGGAAGATTCCCATTTCTCCACATCCTTGCCAAAATGTGTCATTTTCCAGTTTTTCTTTTTATGTATTATAGCCATCGGCAGCTGAACTTGTCTACATTGCTGGTGGGAATGCAAAATGGTCTGGCCATTCTGGAAAATAGTTTGGCAGTTTCCTCTAAAGGTAAGTGTACACCCTCACAGGACCCAGCAACCAAGCTCCTAGAAAGATGTGAGATTAAATTGTCTGCAAGAGACCCGAGAGAGGTGAAACACATGTGTACAAAGGCAGCTTGACTAAAAATCATCCTAAACTAGAAACAACCTAAATGATCATCAGCCAATGAATGCATGAGCAATTGTAGTATATACAGACCATAGAATTCTCAGTCACAGAAAGCAGCAGGCTCAAATATGTGCAACGGCATGGATGACCCTCCAGGGCATGAGTCTGAGGGTGAGAAGGTGGACGCGAAAGGCTGTTTTCTGTCTGATTTCATTTTTATGGCAGTCTTTACAAAGCAAAACAGAAACAACTGAGATCAGTGGTTGCCAGTGGCTGGGGAGGGGGAGGCAACTGAGTGCAGAGGGGTTCAAGAGGACTCACTGGAGTGATGAAAATGTTCTTATAGAGATAGTTCCACATATGAATTTTAAACTTGAAATGGATGGATTGTACTGTATGCAAACTATACCTTTTTAAAAATGTTTTTTTTAAAGCTTGCATGCTTTAGATGGATCTGCTTTTCTGCTTTGTATGTGGAGCATGAAAACCAGCTTGCAGGTGGAGGAGATCACGGTGTCTCGAGACACACAAAAGTTGCAGGAGGATGTGCACATGTGGGAAACTGAGTCAGTTTCTCAATGTCAGCAGCAAGGACTCACAAGGCTGTTTGTTTTGTTTTTTTACTAGATGTTGACAGTGCCTTCTCCTTCACCTTCTCTCTCTCTTTCTCCTTGTCCTTCCTTTTTAACGACTTGACCATTTTCCTTAATTTGAGCATAAAGAACATATCTTGTTACTTGAAGATTTCCACAACTTGCAGTTATTGATTATATACCAAAATATTACATGTGAAATCTTCCTGGAAGAAAATACAATATTCCAGAGTCCTTACACAAATAATTTTTAGAGAATGAAAAATTAGTGTCAATATTTTCCTCCTATTACATTTCAAACCTCTTTACTTCTGTGTGTGCATCTGCCAGCCGACCTGAGAGCGCTTCTGCTGAGCTGCTCAGCCGGGAGTCAGTGGAAATCCATGGATTTCAAATGGATGAAGATCACAGGTGACACACCCATCATGTGTGGCCCAGAGAAACAAAGGCCACACTCTCATCCTTTGATACCGGTTCATGAATTTCTCCTCAGGGGGAAAAGTAAGTATCTGTCAAATAATGCAATAAAGTCGTTTCACTTTACTCGAGTTCAGCATCTCTTCCGCGGGTAGGCGTGAGGGCCTTTTTGAAGGAGGAAGGAAAAATCCATCAGGAGTAGAAGAGGAAAAAGAAACTGGAGGAGGAAGCCTGGAGGGAAAGCCTGGAGCAGGCAGGCTTCGGCATCTTGGCACAGAGGGAGGGGAAGCGGCGGCACTCCTGGCCGCCATCTATCCATCTTCCCTGGCAGGAGATGAAGAAATAAAGAAGGGAAATGGAGTCAAGGGAAATCATTAAAAACATTTTAGAAACTGTACAGCCTAGAGAAGTAACATATCACTTCATATCCCTACCTACCTACCTACACACACACACACACACACACACACACACACACTCACTCTCTCTCTCTCTCTCTTTTCTGAACAAGGACACTCCATGTTTCTTTCCTGGTCACTTGGGAGAGGCCTGTAGCCCACTCCAACTCCCCCAGAAAAAAGAAATTTACCATACACCCAGAAGTATTCCCCCCAGAAGCCTGCTTTGATATGTTTTTATATTCCAGATATAATCAGTTTTAACACATGAGTTTAATTCCAAGTTTATTGCTTCATACATGTTAGGTCAAACCTGAGTGTTTATTTAGATAAGTGTTCAGAACTTTTTAAAGTCAAATTTTCAACTCATGAGTTTAAAGTTTTCTGAAGAACATTTTGAAACATAAACATAGTTTTAATTTAAGATCTGCTAAGGCTCAAAAGTGTCATGCGGAAGGGAGGCCATAATTTCTAATTATAAAGTATTGGGGGCGATAAATTCACATGACCTTTGCAGGAAAGTTTATGACCACGCCACCACAGGGCAGGGGCTTTATAAGGGGCCGGGGCATGTGTGGCCACCAAAGGCCCCTGCATGTTATTTAGACAGTGTGAAGAAAATCACACTCCCCGCATCCCCAGGCCTGCTCTTCCGACAGCGCCACTGAGCCACAGAGTGTGATGCGTAGCTTCAGTCCCAAACAGGGATTTCCATTTCTGAAAATAGAACCGGGACACTATCATGCTGAGGGAACCCTAGGGATCATTCACCCCAACCTGTTATCCACAGAGGGGAAACTGAGGCCCACAGTGGCGAAGGAATAACCAAGGTCATCTTCTAACCAATGACAGAAAACGGAATACAGACTTCCCCTGGCCCAGTTCTTTTTCTGATCTTCCCCATAGCCTCGTGCTGTGGCTAGGTTTTGCTCTTTTTGTTCTTCTCCTTCTCCTTCTCCTTCTCCTTCTCCCTCTCCCTGTCCCTCTTCTTCTCCCTCCCCCTCCCTCCTCCTCCTCCTCTTCTTCCCCTTCCACTTCCCCTTCCCCTTCCCCTTCTCCTTCTCCCTCTCCCTCTCCTTCTCCTTCCCCTTCCTCCTCCTCCTCCTCCTCCTCTTCTTCCCCTTCCCCTTCCCCTTCTCCTTCTCCTTCTTTTTTCTTGACAAGGTCTTGTTCTGTCACCCAGGCTGGAGGCAGTGGCGTGATCACGGCTCACTGCAGCCTCGACTTCCTGGGCTCAAGTGATCCTTTTGCCTCAACATCCTAAGTAACTGGAACTACAGGCACACACCACAACACCTGGCCAACTTTTGTATATTTTTTGCAGAGATGGGGTCTTATTATGTCACCAGGCTGGTCTTGTACCCTGGGCTCAAGTGATCACCCACCTCAGTCTCCCAAAGTGCTGGGATTACAGGCATGAGCCACTGCAGCTGGCATTTCTTTTCTTATATGATAAAAAATAAGTGTTTCAATTGCCTGCCTTCCCACTCTCAATTAGCATCTACATGCAGCAAGAGATGGTGGGTCCTAGTGAGCTCCCACGTTAGCCCAAGCCAGTCTCTAAACACTTCACAGTCATGGGAAGAGATGCCAAATTCTGCAGCTCCCACCTCTTGACTCCCCGCTCTCAACTCCCCCTCCGCTGCCTCCTGTCCCATCTGCTGCCTCCTGTCCCCTCCCCACCCACCGCTGTTCCTTGTCTGGCTGGGCACTGGGCTGGCTTCCGTCTTCCAGCTGGATCACTTTTTTCTTTAGAACTCTGGTTCGTTTCCAGTTGCTTCCAGAAGGAAATCCAAACTCCTAACTGGTCCCACAAGACCCTTGGGAGCCTGGTCCCCACCTTCCTCTACGGTGCTGCCAGCACCCCTAGTGGACAAGCCTTGCTTATCTGCCCAGCACCTCTTTCCACTCTCAGGGCACCAACCTGCCCTTCTTATCCCACCCCATCACAGGAGCCCCAGCTGCAGTCAGGCCAGGAGAGCCCCATGCCTAGTGTCTCTGCCAAGCAAGAGAGGAAGGCTGTTTAATGAGCACTGCTGTCCTGGGAAGATGTGACCCTGGAGTATCCCACCTCCTATCATGCACAGGAAGAAGCAAGGCCCACACACAGAGGGAGGCAGAGCTAAAGCATAGAGAGAAAGGAGAGGGATATAGCATCATTGAAACTCCTGGATCCAGCTAAGCCTGAAGCCAGCCCAAGCCTGAACTTCCCAAGTAGTGAGCCAATACATTTCTGGTAGGCAGGTTCAGGTTGAATGTCTGTTACCTACAACCAAGAGAGTGCTAACCACTGAGACCCTGAGGTCTGAGCCACAGGGTGCTCTCCATTTCAGGGACATGAATGCCTCTTGCATGCCTTTGGGTCTTGTCACAGCATCATCTCTTCGCCTGAATGAGTTTTTCTCCCTCCTATGCCTGGTAGATGTTACTTGCTGTATTAGTCAGGGTTCTCTAGAGGGATAGGACTATAGGAAAGATGTATTTATGAAAAGGAGTTCATGAAGGATAATTGGCTCGCATGATCACAAGCTGATGTCCCACAATAGGCCGTCTGCAAAGCCTCAAAAGCAGGGAAGCCGACACTGCAGCCTTCAGTCTGTGGCTGAAGGTCTGAGAGCCCCCAGCAAAACCACTGGTGTAGGCCCAAGAGTCCAAAAGCTGAAGAACTTGAGTCTGATGTTCAAGGTCAAGAAGCCCCCAGCACAGGAGAAAGACGAAGGCAGGAGACTCAGCCAGTCCAGTCCTTCCACGTTCTTCTGCTTGCTTTATTCTAGCCTTGTTGGCAGCTGATTAGATGGTCCCCTCCCAGACTGAGGGTGGGTCTGCCTCTCTTAGTCCACTGACTCAAATGTTAATCTTTGGGAACACCCTCACAGACACACCCAGGAACAATACTTTGCACCCTTAAATCCAATCAAGTTGAAAATAGTCACCATCACACTTGCCCCTTACTGAGGTCTTTCCAGGCACCCCCTAATCCTGCAGATCATTCTCTTCTCAGTCTTCTCAGTGTGGATTCGAAACCCCATTACATCCCTCAGCATACTGTCATAAAGTATCTGTTGGCTGGGCAAGGTGGCTCAGGCCTGTAATCTCAGCACTTTGGGAGGCTGAGGCAGGTGGATCACCTGAGGTCAGGAGTTCGAGACCAGCCTGGCCAAGACGGTGAAACCCCGTCTCTACTAAAAATACAAAAATTAGCCAGGTGTGGTGGCTTGTGACTGTAATCCCAGCTACTCAAGAGGCTGAGGCAGGAGAATCACTTGAACCTGGGAGGCGGAAGTTGCAGTGAGCTGAGATCACGCCATTGCATAGCAGCTGGGGCGACAGAGCGAGACTACATCTATCTCAAAAAAAAAAAAAGTATCTGTCTATTGGCTCCTACTCCACTTCTTAGAACAATATGAAGCACAGTAAATAATGGCTAATTAGAAGGTACTGTAGTAATAATTTGCTGTGTTTGATTAATTTCTACCCATAGTTGTACAATAAATCGCTTTTTTTTTTTTTTTTTTGAGATGAGGCCTTGCTCTTGTCCCCCACGCTGGAGTGCAATGGCGTGATCTCAGCTCACTGAACCCTCCGCCTCCCAGGTTCAAGTGATTTCCTGCCTCAGCCTCTCGAGTAGCTGGGATTATGGGTGCCCACCACCATGCCTGGCTAATTTTTGTATTTTTAGTAGAGACGGGATTTCACCATATTGGCCAGGCTAGTTTAGAACTCCAGACCTCAGGTGATCCGCCCACCTCGGCCTCCCAAAGTGCTGGGATTACAGGCGTGAGCCACCGCGCCCAGCCACATGTATTTTTAATTAGGGTGTATCCCCAGTGTATGGTGAGGAGAGATGCCACCATGATTCCTATGATCCCTCCACACTGCTTTCATTTGAAAGTGCTATGTCTGAAGAAGTTAAATGAATAGGGAGCTGAGCAGGGCAGGAAAGTGAGGGCATAGGATGTGAATGACAAATTTGAAGATTAAAAATCAGGGCAGGACAGTGAGAATTGGATGTGGTTTGGCTGTGTGCCCACCCAAATCTCATCTAGAACTGTAGCTCCCATAATTCCCATGTGTGGTGGGAAGGACCTGGTGGGAGGTAATAATCATGGGGGCAAGCCTGGAAGGAGCTGGAACGTCACTCTGAAAAATCTGAGCCCAAAAGGAGAACCTGGCAGTGCTGACAGATGAGAGGGTTTGTACTGAAAAGAGGGTAACTGTGTGAAAATCTGCATTCTGAATGATGAGATCCCCTGCCTAGGTCCCTTTCCCTCCTAAGTCTCCCAAGACTTAGGGAAAGAACCCAAGCTTCTGCCCCAGAGCAGGAGGTGGAAGAATTCCTCCCTGGAGAGAGGGTCAGCCACAAAGAAAAATAGCAATGACTGGGCGGTCTTCCCCCAAGTGTGACTGAGTCCCCAGCTGATCATCCCAAAGTAAGCCTACCAGTGACAATGGTCCCTCTTCTCACATATACACGTATACATGCACACACACACACACATGCACACACACAAATGCACACACACACATGCATACAGAGCTGCCAATCAACTCTTTAATGCCAAAGCCCTGAATCTGGGCTTGGTCTTGTGACTTAGCCCATGGAACATTGGTACATGTGTCAGGAGCAAAATCTTGGAAAGCATTTGCCTTGGGGCTTGTGCTCTTCAGACTGTGGTTGGAGTCCTGAGACCACAGCAAGAACAAACTCAAGCCAGCCTGCTAGAGAAGCCATGTGCAGGAGCACCAAGGGGTGAGAGCTGGTGCCTACTACCACCAGATCTGTGAAAGAGGCCATCAGGCTTAAGCCATGAGATGACCACAGGCACATGAGTGACACCAGGCAGGACTGCCAAAACAAACAAACAAACAAACAAACCAAAAACCACCTGGCTGAGCACAATCTGAACTGCTGGCCTACAAAACTGTAAGCAAATACAATGATTGGTATTTGAAGGCACTGCATTAGAGGGTGGTTTGTTATGTGATAATAGATATAAGATAGATTGGAAGGGTGTAAGAACATCAGCCACATGGCTATCTGGGGAGCAGGAAGTTTCAGGTAGGCTTTTGTGTGGGGACATGCACTATGCAGGGAGGAACTGCCAGCAGCCCAGAGTGACAGGGGTGGAGTGAGCCAGAGACATAGAACCTGGAATTAGAGAGGTCATGGGGCAGGATCTTTGTCAGATTGGGTGGGCCTTACAGATGCTGGCAAAGACAGTCATTTATACAAAGTGAAATGAGCCCTTGGAGGGAGCGGAGCAGAGGAGGGGTGAGATCTGACTGCATCCTGATGACACCATTGAGCCTGTCTGCTAGCCCTGGATTTTTCTGGAACTGGCTGCCCTAGCCAGGGGCTAGATGACTTGCAACTTCTCAAGTGGTGCTGGGTCCTGCCTCCAGGAGGCATACCTCTCTTTCTATGATGTTACTTAGCATGGACCAGCAGTGCCTGAATCCATTCTTATATAACAGAGATGTTATAATTCTACCGTCTGTCCTTCATTTGTTATCTGGAACACTTCTATAGAGTGAAATATTTTCTCATCAACTCATACATTACATTGAGGTATAATTCAGTAAGAAAGGCTAGTTACATGCCTGATTCTTTCCCTTTACTTACCAATTTTTGGGACAGTGAGTCCATTTCCTAGCAACAGCCAAAAATGACCAATAAGTTTTGTATTCGAGTAACATTGAGACTTAAGGATTTTTACCATCTGTGATATGTTTCTGTCTATTGCAGTTACTTTTCTCATTCATGCTCATTTGCCCTGAAGTGGGGAAACACTTTTCAGTTCCTTCCTGGTCCTTTTGACATGAACATGGTAGTTATTTATGGCTTCCTTGTCTTCTGGTATAGTAAGATGCTCCAGGCTTATCTTGTTTTGCCCTAGATCTAGGTCAACCATTTCTTCAAGGAGAGACCAAAATCTGCACACTAGCGGTGCTCATTGCAGTGGGCGGCTCGTTGTTCTAGTTCTTTTCAGTGGTCAGGGTCAGGAAATACAGACCCAAGCCCATAGCTGATGTTTCCAACAAATTTAGAATTACATGGTTTCACTTAACTTCTTCTTTTTTTTTTTTTTTTGAGATGGAGTCTCTCTCTGTCGTCCAGGCTGGAGTGCAGTGGCGAGATCTCAGCTCACTGCAAGCTCCACCTCCCGGTTTCACACCATTCTCCTGCCTCAACCTCCTGATTAGCTGGGACTACAGGTGCCCACCACCACGCCCAGCGAATTTTTTGTATTTGTACTAGAGATGGGGTTTCACTGTTTTAGTCAGGATGGTCTCAATCTCCTGACCTTGTGATCTGCCTGCCTCAGCCTCCCAAAGTGCTGGGATTACAGGCGGGAGCCCACCGCACCCGGCAACTTCTTTTGTTTTACATTCGTACCTCTTTTCTTTGAGGTTGGAGATCTTGATCCCCAAAGACATGAACATAATTATTCATTTGGCTTAGCTCACAATATAGTTTTGGAATAACAATAGCAATTTTATTACTAGAAACATGAATGCTGAAAGGTTTAAGCCTTTTTTTGCAGTTCTTTTTGCCTTTAGAATGTATTTCACTAGGGACGTAAGGCAATTATAGTGTTTTAAAGCTATCTTAAATTATTTCTGTCTGCATGGTTGAGCCACCAATATCATACACATTTGATAAGGTACATTTGTGTGATTTTGCTTTTGATTTTTTAGGGATTCTATTTTTTTATTTTACTTGATTTTATATATATAATTATATGAACATTTACATGATTCCAAAGTCAAATCTACAAAACAAGATTTATTTGGAGGGAATTGGCTCCCATCCCAGCCCCCTACACCCTATTCTTTCTGATTCTATTTATGTCTTGTTTGATCTTTCCATTTTCATTTTTTAATTGAAATTTGGTATATTTTCCAGGTTTAAAAAAGTCATATGAGTTTGATGCAAGAACAACTTTGATTAGATCTCAAAGGCATTTAAAAATGTGTGCCAGCTGGGCGTAGTGGCTCACACCTGTAATCCCAGCACCTTGGGGGGCCGAGGCAAATGGATTACTTGAGGTCAGGAGTTTGAGACCAGTCTGGCCAACATGGTGAAACCCCATCTCTACTAAAGATACAAAAATTAGCTGGGCATGGTGGTGAGCATGTGTGATCCTAGCTACTCAGGAGGCTGAGGCAGGAGAATTGCTTGAACCCAGGAGGCAAAGGTTGCAGTGAGCTGAGATTATGCCACTGCGCTCTAGCCTGGGTGACAGAGTGAGACTCTGCCTCAAAAAATAAATAAATAAAATAAAATAATAAAATAAATAAAAATAAAAACATGTGCCAAAGGCCAGTGTTAGCTCCACTTTACAAGCAGATGTGAATGATGTCAAGAAGTCAAAGCCAAAGGATAGGGGGAGCCCAAGCGTCCACCTTCTAAACCACAGCCCAGAAGTGTGGGTGTCGCACCAGGATTCCATTATGGAGAACAAGGCCCACATTGCTTAAGCAGGAAACGACTTATTAGAGGCTATGATAGAATTGTTTGTGGAGCTGAATGAGCAGGCTCTAGGTAGAGCTGTCAAGGCTGGCTTCTGAGCCATACTGCAGAGCTGGAGTTGCTGACTCATCACATCCAGAAACTGGTGAATCCAGAACCACCTGGAATCAAGGAGCCGCTCCTGCTGCAGCCAGCTTCCGAGCTGCAGCGCTCCTGCTATACGTCTCTCCAGGAACCGGATGTGCAGACCACACCTCTGGACATCTGGTGCCTGGACACCATGCTGCCAAGAAAACCAAACACCTCCACCCTGGGCTGACCAGTGACGTGCAGGCATCTGCCCATTTCCCTACATATCCCTAGAAGTGCACCTCACCGATCAGGGCTGCCAGATACTGAAAAAGGTCATTTTCATTTTCCCATCTGCTGCAATTCAAGAAGAAAGAAGAGAGGCTGGATGGAAAGGAGGATGAGGACCCAAAACACGGAGGAACAATACCACCAGGAGATGACGCTGTTCAACACTGCTGGGTTAGCGACGTCAGACACTCGAGGGCAGGGCCATTACACTGCAGCTGTGCCTTGGGCCCCCTACCCCCAGGGATTTCTCAAGGGGATTATTTTTTATCTTTTTTTTAATGTTGATCGGAATCTATAACATTTATATTTTTTCTTGACAGGTTGGTTGGACATATTTTTGGGGTATTTTGACACCTGTACATGATGTGTAACGATCAAATCAGGGTAATTGGGATGTCCATCATCTTCAACATTTGTCCTTCTTTCTGTTGGAAACATCATACAACTTATTTTCTAGCTATTTTGAAATATGCAATAAATTATTTTTAACTGTAATTTCCCTACAGCACTGCAGAATACTATAACTTATTTCTTCTATATGACTATATTTTGGTACCCCTTGGCCAACTTGTCTTTGTCCCCCTCTCTCCCTTCCCCTTCCTGACCTCTGGGAACTACGATCCTACTCTCTATCTCCATGAGATATGATTTTTTAGCTCCCACATGTGAGTGAAAACACAAGATATTTGTCTTTCTGTGTCTGGCTTATTTCACTTAACACAATGACCTCCAGTTCCATTCATGGTGCTGAAAGTGACAGGAGTTCATTCTTTTCATGTCTGAATAATATTCCATTATATATATATATATCTGATATATATATATATATCTTATATATATATATATCATATATATATATATATATATCAGATTTTTGTATGCATTCATCTATGATGGACACTTAAGTTGATCCAATATCTTGATCATCATGAAGAGTGGTATGATAAACACGGGTGCACAGATATCTCTTCCATATAGTGATCTTTCTTTTCTTTCCTTCTTTCTCTTTTTTTTTCTTTCTTCTTTTTTTTGAAACAGAGACTCGCTCTGTTGCCCAGGCTGGAGTTCAGTGGCTCGATCTCGGCTCACTGCAACCTCTGCCTCCCGGGTTCAAGAGATTCTCCTGCCTCAGCCTCCCAAGTAGCTGGGACTACAGGTGTGCATCACCATGCCCGGCTAATTTTTGTATTTTTAGTAGAAACAGGGTTTCACCAAATTGGCCAAGCTGGTCTTGAACTCCTGACCTCAGGTGATCTGCCCGCCTCAGCCTCCCAAAATGCAGGGATTACAGTTGTGAGCCACTGCATCAATGACTTCAAGATTAATTCACATTGCAGCAGTTACCAGGATTTCCTTCCTCGTGCCTCAGCCAGCAGAGTAGCTGGGATTACAGCCACACACCACCATGCCCAGCTAATTATTTGTATTTTTGGTAGAAATGAGGTTTTGCCACGTTGGCCAGGCTGGTCTTGAACTCTTGACCTCAAGTGATCTGCCCACCTTGGCCTCCCAAAGTAGCAGTTGGGATTTTTAAAGGAGAATCCTGCCTGTACAGGATGTGTGCCCTGGGCTTTAGGTTCTGGCTCTTTGTAAGTAGGATTCCATCCTGCTGGTGTCATTGCTGAAGTTAGGCAGAAGATTGGCTCTTGGACTTGACATCCAGAAAGTGTTCTGATGCCCATCACCAAGAATACATTGCACTTTACAACTAGATTCGAGAAGCATCTTCAACCCTGGTTTTTAGAACTGAAAAATGCTTTTACAGTGACCCCCAACCCTCACCGCTGCTCTATCACACTGGGGAATGTGCTGGATGATTGAAATCTTGGGGGGTGGCAGGTGGTTGCAGGTAGGCATAAAGTATTGCCAGAATAAAGCCAACAATACATGGCACAAGGATAGCTTTTTCCCAGACAGCATATTTCTAGCATTCAGCAACATGATGCTGAAGACCCCTAGAATCTACACAGAAATGCCAAAACTTTGTCAGATAATTCTCAAGAGTCCATCTCTGAAAACTTGTGGTTTCTTAAAATAATGGGTCATGTTCACTGTCATCTCAGTCTACGAGAGAATAATTCAAAATGAAGGCACCAAGACTAGTTTGATGGAAAAGTGTCAGTGGAGCGCTGTGTTAGTGTAAGACTGCTACTGCGCCAATGCTATTTGCTTTGCAAATAAGGAAGTGCTGTTTGGGAGATGCTGTTACCAACCCCCGGATCAATGTCATTGATTCATTAATCTGTTGGATTGATTCTGTCACACAAATATGGGCTGCTCTGTCATCTGCTCTCAGTTCACTAAATTCAAGTGGAGGTAACAACCCACCATGTCACTGGGAATGGAAACTAGACCTTTAACGATATCTTGGTTTTTGTCTCTTGCTCCAACAAGAACTTCATAGAGTTAAACTACAAAAGGATCTGCTGAAGAGCTCAGGTGGGTTCACCCGTGCAGGCATTTTGACAAAAGGTAGCGACAACAGCATTCAAATGTATAAATTCATTGCTTTATTTAGCTCCTGAGAGTTTACTAAATTTTTTTCACATCTGAGCAAGTACACAGTTTCTTATCCTAAGAAAGCCCAGGGGCTGTATAATTGCGTCGTATTCTTTTTTCTTTCTTTTCTTTCTTTTTTTTTTTTTTTGACACAGTCTTGCTCTATCGTCCAGGCTGGAGTGCAGTGGCATGATCTTGGCTCACTGCAACCTCCGCCTCCTGGGTTCAAGCGATTATCCTGCCTCAGCCTCCCGAGTAGCTGAAATTACAGGCATGCACCACCACACCCAGCTAATTTTTGTATTTTTAGTACAAATGGGCTTTCACTATGTTGGCCAGGCTGGTCTCGACCTCCCAACCTCAGGTGATCCACCTGCCTTGGCCTCCCAAAGAGTTGGGGGATTACAGGCGCGAGCCACCGTGCCTGGCTGCTATTCTTGAAGACTATCCCCAGGTGACAATCCCTGCAGTGTCATTCTACTGCAGCAAGATTAAAGCCAATCTAATAGCTGGCAAATTTGCTGTGAAAACATATCACCTTCTGTTACTTGCTGCCCTAAGGAAAATGTGCAATAGAAGAATCTTTCAGAACACCAGTTCATTTTTTTTTAAAAAACACAAAGTCACATGAAACAAAGCACACTTTTTTACATATATGAAAGGAAGCATTCACAGGATTTTCCATACTCAGTAATGAATAAGTACCCCAAGAACTGTATTTACTTCTGTGAATCTTTGTTGCGTGATATTTTACTGAAGTCCAAGTGAGCCTGGGTGGTCCTGCAAAGAGTATTCACACAGAGATATATTGTATTACTTATGCTATTAATAAATTGGCTTTATTAGCCTTATCACTGACTTAATTTTTGAAAGAAAAACTCAAACTAAATCAATAACCTGAGTATTATTTCCCAAATTGATGACATTTTCATTTGGGTTTTAATTCAGCAAATTCCCCTCCTCAAAAGAGGGGAATGCTGTCACTTCCCCAGCCAACATACAGGTGACATTGGAAACGCTGCTAAATGCCACTGTGCCTTAGCTTCTCCTATGTATGCAAGGGGTCACTGCCCAGGTAATGACTCTGAGGGGCTGGCAATACAGCATAAGAAAGTCACTCCAAATTCTGTTAAGCAAGGTTTTCCGCAGGCAGCCGTCAGTATCACAGCCTCCAGTACTATAATCATTGTTAAAGCATTTTAAAATAGACAAGACACGCCATGAAGAAAGTGCATCCAGACGGTTGAACTGGGCTGCTGGTTATGATAGCTCCAGGGCGCCCCGGGGGGTCGCAGGTGAAATCCTCCAGGTCCATCTCCCCAGGCAGAGGTGAGCCTGCAATCCAGCTTGCGCTGCCCTTCCAGGGCGTCCCCGGGGCCTCTGGTCTTCAGGGCTGGGCTGAGCCCTGGGCTGCTCAGGACCAAAGCTGAGCTGTTTTTCTTTCAAACTAAACTATGAACTCTCTCTGCTGGAGAAAGAGACAGAAAGGACAGAGAAAGAGACACGCCGACAGAGCCAGAGTGACACAGGGGCACGCAGACAGGGAGACGAGGATGGCGAAGCAGGCTACCAGGCAGGTCCTCTCCTCAGTAAAAGCCCTCCGCATCTGGGAAAGGGAAGATGTCCCTGGATCTGGGTCCTTGGACCCACACAGGGTTGGTAAAAGGGCAGCAAATCGCTACTGTCACTGCTCTGAGCAAAGAAACCAGGGAAAGGCCAGTTCGGGAAAAACAGGCCCTTTCCATCTGACGTGAAGCCCCAGGAAGGGCTGCAGCCCAGCACCGGCAGGACGGCTGGGGACCTGGCTTCTCTCTCTCTCTCTCTCTCGTTCCTTAAATTTTTATTTGAGAATTTTAAAGAAAGGGACCTGGAAAGCTATTTTGTTGGGCTAGAGGGGCCGTGGGCCTTCCCAGCGCGGAGGAAGGAGGGCGGTCAGGCCGGGTGGGGCTGGGTGCGGTGGCTCTGCAGAACCTTTAGGCACCGAACTGAAGCCGCGGGTCCGGTGCGCGGACACTGCGCAGGGCGCTGCTACCGACTCACATGCATGCGAGGGCCCGCTCCTAGGCGTTCTGCCTTCCTGGACGGATTGTTGGTAAAACGTCCCCTAGAACGGCCGGAGCCAGGGCCCTCGGACAGGGGCGCGAAGGGCCCGCTCTTTGCCGTCCTCGGGTTTCCCAACGCGGTGGTCGTGGCCCGCGGGCCCCACCTCGCGGCCCGCCTGGCCGGCCGGAGGAGCAGCGGAGGCCGAGCACTCCCCGGTCTCGGGTTCAACTTCAATAAAAGGGCCCAGCCCGCCCTTGATCACGCGGCTTGCCTGACAGCCCGGCTCAGGCCCGGGCCTAATTGAGCCCGGGTCACCTGGGAATAGGTTCAAAGGCATCAAAGCCGTAAAAACCACCTCCAGGCCCAGAGCCAGAGCGGCCTGGCGAACAAAGAGCCCCCCAACCACTTCAAACGCGCTCGCGCTCGCCGTCCAGATGGCCCGGGGCCGGGGTCCGTGGTGTCGCTCACCGAGGCCGGGCCCCACACTCCAGCCACCCTGAGCCTCCTGCTCGGAGCTGCCCGCGGGCTGCCAGCGCAGCGGAGGCTGGGCCCGGGGCAGCCTCGTGCAGCTCCCGGAGCGCCCTCCGTCCTCTGCTGACCCGCGAAGCGAAGGCGGAGCGCAGAGGCTGGGGCCGTACAAGGCGGGCCGGCAGGCGCCCCAACCCGCGCCCAGCAACCCGGGTAGGGCCAGGCAGGCGGGCGCGGCGGGTACCGGGCGCTCCCGCAGAGGCTCGCTGTGGCGTTGTTTTAAAGCTGTTAGAAGGAAGGTTCGGGAAGGGCGTCGGGGCCGGGGCTCCCCAGCAAGCCAGGGTAAGAAATGGTCCCCGACACGCACGCTGGCCGAAGGGTGGCATCTCCACGGATCTTGGCGGCATGTCCTTGGGCACGGGCGTCTCCAGGGGGCCCCGACTGTCCTTACACTGGCGGTCCGGACACCGAGACCCCTGCCCGCGCAGCTCCCCAGACCCCAGGCCTAAGCTTGCGGGCCGCGGTGCAGACTAGCTGTGCGCCCGGGGGCGGCCAAGACCCACACAGGTCGAGGAGGCTCCTGGCTGCGTCCTCATCTTCTGGGAGCGCATCTGGGACTGGACTCGCCTCTCTAGCCCCTCACGCCCAGAGAGAGAACCCCCCAAAGCCCAGTGGGGGCCGATCTCTACGTTGAGGCGTAGACAAAGCCAGGCTTGGCCGGGCCTAGGGCTCGGGGCGGCCTGAGAGTGCCCTGCGTTCGGGGTGGGGGCGCGGGCGGCGGGCGAGGACCCGGCCCCCGGGATGCCCTCCGCGCCGGGGCCGAAGGGGGAGGCAAAACTGAAAGTGCCGCGCCGGGGGGCGGGGGCGGCCGGCGAAGGCCCCAGAACTTGTCCTGCCCCCGGCCACCGCGGCCAATCAGCGCGCCGCCCTAGCTCCTGACAACTATTTAGCAACCCAGCCCAGCTAGAGTTTCCAAAAAAGTTAGAATAACTTCCTCTCCCGGAGACCTCGGTTTTGCACAAGCCGGCCTTGAAATCAGAGCCTTTCCAGCAACTCCGAGAGCGTGTGCTCGGCGACCGCGGGCTTGGCCAGCGGCGCGCGCTCGGCGCCCCGGCGCCCCCAGCCCCACGCGCGCCGGGCGGGCGCCATGGAGGAGGGCTCCAGCTCGCCCGTGTCCCCCGTGGACAGCCTGGGCACCAGCGAGGAGGAGCTCGAGAGGCAGCCCAAGCGCTTCGGCCGGAAGCGGCGCTACAGCAAGAAGTCGAGCGAAGATGGCAGCCCGACCCCGGGCAAGCGCGGCAAGAAGGGCAGCCCCAGCGCGCAGTCCTTCGAGGAGCTGCAGAGCCAGCGCATCCTGGCCAACGTGCGCGAGCGCCAGCGCACCCAGTCGCTCAACGAGGCCTTCGCGGCGCTGCGCAAGATCATCCCCACGCTGCCCTCTGACAAGCTGAGCAAGATCCAGACGCTCAAGCTGGCCGCCAGGTACATAGACTTCCTCTACCAGGTCCTGCAGAGCGACGAGATGGACAATAAGATGACCAGCTGCAGCTACGTGGCCCACGAGCGCCTCAGCTACGCCTTCTCCGTGTGGCGCATGGAGGGCGCGTGGTCCATGTCCGCCTCCCACTAGCGCCGCGCCACCCACCTCCGGACCGGCGCGCCAGGGTAGGTGCTGCGCGCGCGACGGGCGCCCTCCGCTGCGGGGGGCGGGCGGCAGGGGCGCAGGGGCATTGGGGCCTGCTCGTGTCTCCTCGGCGAGGCCCCGCGGGCCGCGGGGGCTTGGATGCCGTGCGCTTTTCCTCTTAGCAAGGAAGGCGGGCGGGCGGGACGCTCACAGTCCCAGGGACACCCCTGAGTGCAGACTTCCACGCGAGGGTGTCAGTTGGGAACCGGCGGACCGGTGACTCCCCCGGCGGGTTCTGAAGATACTTAGACAGATGGTCGCAGTTTTCATTCTCGGTGGTGTGTGGGTGTCCGTGGTTGGCGGTGGAAGGAGCGAGCATCAGAAAAACCTCCTGGGGCCGGCTGGGGACTGGGATATGAGGACCAGCTGCCCTTTGCGTCCGCCGCAGCGCAGGCCGCCCGCGAAGCTGCCCGAGCCGGGTGTTGCCGGGCGAATGGCTTCGCTTTCTTCCTGGGCAAGGGTAGAGCGCGTCCGTCGGGCGGACACTCAGATCTACCCAGCTGCTCGCGCCTGGGGTCCCCGGCCGTCGGCGCCCTGGCCTGCCCAGTGGGCGTAGAGGTGCGGGCCTGCGGCTCCAGGGTTTGCCTGGGGAGGACGGGAGGAAACTGCCCTGCGCTTCGGGGCCAGAGCAGCCACAGGGCCGGGTGTGCCCGAGAAGGGCCCTGGGCCGAGAGCGCAGAGCCTGGAGCGCTGAGGCAGGCGGGTCCGACGCAGCCGCGCGGAGCCCCAGGGCGCCCGCAGGCAGGTGGAGCTGACCTAGGAACTGGGAGCCCTGAGTCCCAACCTTGACCCTGGAGTACCCGGGAGGGGCCCCGCCCATCCAGCCCCGCAGGGATGGGCGAGGGGTCCAGGCTGGGAAACGGGTCTGGGGGACAGGGAGGCTGTGCGCGCCGGGCCCTGCGCGAGGAGAAGGCTCGGGGGACACAGCTGCCAGGAGCACTCCAAGTTCTGGTTTCCTCTGGAAGAGCGATTAGGGCGTCCTGCACCGGGTCCTTTTCACCAGACACCTTCCAAGTCCCTTTAGACAAGCTCGAGCCACGGAGGCGCCGTCCTTAGGCTCTGTGAGCAGGCGAGCCCCTCTCTCATCCGCCATCCAGGGCCATGGAGGGGCACAGAGTTCTTTTTGCTGGGGCCGAGTTAAAAATCCTTCCCCCTTAGTATGTTTTAGTTCCTCGCACATCTTGCGATGTTTTTATAAAAGACTCTACTTCACACAGAAGGAATTTAGATTAATCAAGAGCACCCGGCCGCCTATTCTCCCAAACATATCTATTTCTTTTTTTATGTGGTTCTATAATATCTGCGAATGTTGTTGCTGAGGCCACGAAAAGCTGATCCAGCACAGGTGGGTTTTATTTCATTTTTTTAGCTTTTATTTTGGTGTCACTGAAAATTCTGTAGCTGCAGAGCCTCCTGAGATAATGATAATTGTATAGTTTTTAAAAAATAATTTTCAGCAGAAAATAACTTGTGGGAATCTTCTCCTGTCTTTGTCAAAAACAGATGGAAAGTGTCTCAATCACATATTTCTCTAGGAAAGTTTGGATTGGCTGAGTACTAAACGCTACAGTGGGGTAATACATTAATTCTGGTTTTTGCTGCCTAAATAATGAGCTTCCATTAGTTACTTCCATTTATGCTTTACCTCATTCATGGTTTATAGCACATCTGAAATAAGAACAAACAGATGAGGAATGTCATCTTTTTAAAAACACACACATTGAGCCGTGTTTAAGGAAAATGTCACTTTAATTATCGTTAAGACTGCCCTCCAGAAAATTACTGAAAACAAATACCAGTAGATATGATGCTGCTAGAATTTAGTAGGAACATTTAAAATTCATTTAAAAATAATCGCACTCCTCAAAACTTAGAGAATCAGCCATAGGTAACCATTAAAGATTATAGAAAAATAAAATGCAATACATGTAATAAATAAATAAAAACAGTGCCAAGAGCTTGTTTGGAAAAAAGCCCTTGAAAATATAATAGATAATTACACAGTTAGTGGGAGAGCTGATGATCTATAAGGAGCCTATTTATTTTTATTTTTACATACTGGACTATAACTGAGTAGTTCAAACAAGCTAGTTTCATTAAATAGATACTCTAAAAGAAGAGAAAAGAAATATGGAAAAATTTTATCCATGAATGATTCTGGACACACCTTGTTTTTATTTATCAGGCACGTTAGGCAGACATCTTGTCATTCTTTTTGTCTTTAACTCATTATTCCCTATAAGATCAATACGATTATAATTGGTTTGATTTCCTGAAAATGTTGCTAAACAGCATTTGTTTTTATTTGTAGCATTTCTAAGAAGCATTAATTATATGCATCAGCAAAGAATCTCTAGACATTTCAGTACATTGTAAGTGATTTTAATGTTTGATGTGGGATGTTTTCACGTATGTGAAGAAAACTGTCAAGACTAACAGCAACAGCAGCACAAAGCCTAAATTGTCCTCTGAAAGGAAGAGAAACGCAAGAGATGGTGGAGTGCGGGTGCTGCCGATATCTATCCTGCCTTTCTTCTTTGGCCTGGTATTTAAAAGCACAATTAGACAATAAATCAGGTGTCTTTGTCCAGTCAGTTGGATTCATCTAATAGAAAAATCTCAAAAGGATTTTTTTAGTATTCTCATTAAATGCCTGAGTCTTCGGAGCAGGGTCCCAGACACCTGGCTTGGAGGGTGGGGGAAGGTGACCATTACTTATCAGACATTTGTCCTGTTCCCTGCTGTGTGGTTAAAGAAAACATCTTCTCTAACTTCTGCATAGTGTGCACAGATTTTCAGTAGATTTCCTCACTCAACAAACTTTTTTTTTTCTGAGAACTTTTAGCTACTTTGAAGAAATTGCATGACCCCTTCACCATCTAATATATGTGAGCCTTTTCCTCCCTCCTGAAAATTTACTTCTCATAGGTGTTTGTTAACTGCTGTATTCAGGATGCTAGAAAATCAGTTCTTCGTGGAGAAGAACAGAAATGCAGAATCCCAATGGAGCTTTTGCTTGCCTAGAAGAAGTAGAATGAAAGGCTGAGCTCCCTGGAATATAAGCAATGTTTGGTTACAAAATACCCATCAATAAGATCTGATGTAGGGATTTGACCTGTTAATGTGGGTCTTTCCCCTTAAATATCAGCAGTCCTTTCGGCCTTGCATCAGGGAAGTCTTGCTACTCATCTTGCTGGAGAGGGAATTCCTCAGACTTCAGTGGCTCTTTGAGGCCATTTGAGATAGAATACTTCACTGAGGTTTCCTGAAACTCATATTTTCATACAGATCTTGAGCTGAACCATGTTCTTGTCATCCTTGCTTCACTCTGTTCTGGGTAGACGGCACAGATGCCGGATTCCTTTTGCCTGGCAAAAAAATTTAAAAAAAGAAAAAAAAACACCACACACATAAAGTAAACTCTTTCTGAGCAGAGCACTATAACTCATAACTTTAGTTTAAATCTGGGCTTTAAAAAAAACAAATATTTTAATAAGCCAATTTTAAAGGCTGAACTTTTATGACGGTTTTTAAGCTTAGTATTTATATTAATCTATTCTCACTGGTGTCTTTAAAAACCCTGTGAATGCATGCTGGAATGTCTGTTTATGTTTGTGTCTTTTCCTGGGAAAGGATAAATGTGCTGCAAAAAGCAAACCAAATACAGAACTCTCCGCTAGCAGAGAGTTCACAAATGAGGCAATAAAATTCAAAGAAGAGATGAATAAGTTACTGTAGCCAAGGACTGGAAAACCATAAAGGAGAAACAGAATCTAAGAGATACAGACATGGATGCTTTCAAACGTAAAGGCAAGATGAAACACTACAAACAGAAACTGATTAAAAAGATATTCCACATGGTCACCTGAGTCTACACGTGATAAAATTGCATAGCACTAAACACACACACACACACGCACATGCACGTGCACACACATGTACACACGAGTGTATGTAAAACTGGTGAAATCTGAATGAGGTCTGGGGACGATATTGACGCCAGTTTCCTGATTATGATAATTGCAAGATGTCATCACTGGGAGAAGGGAGTGAAGATATGAGAATCTCTGTATAATATTTCTTGCAACCTCATGTGAATCTATAATTATCTCAAAATTAAAATAAAAAAGATATTCTACAAAAGTATTAAATCTATATATTTAGATAAGCAAATTATCTAAGAAATTACTACTAAGATTTATCTCAGAGTAATAAACTAAAAATGTGACTTGAGCAAAACTCCACATATTTTTTCTGACGCCATTTGAGGAATCTCAATATATTTCCAATATATAACTAATTAGAAGTGGTTCCCTGTAAGTCTTAAATAAAGAATAGTATCCCAGAAATATGAAAGGTGAAATACCAATTATAATAGCAATACATTTATTCCTATACTAATAAAGAAAATATTTTACACAAAATTTTGGGAAATATCTACCTTAAACTGATACCTGTGTTATATTTGCTTTTTAAGATACTAATTTTATATTAACTTTCATTAAGCATACACACACAATTCTAAAGCCAATGATTTATAAAAATTATTCGCCAAGAAGTATAGAGATTGAAGTTTTAGTATTTGGAGCCATAAGCAGTGAGAGGGAGAGGATATAGCAGAGGAGGGAGGGAGAGAGAGAGAGAGAGAGAGGGAGAGAGGGAGAGATGGAGAGAGAGAAGGAGAGAGGGAGAGATGGAGAGAGAGAGAGAGAGAGAGAGAGAGAGAGAAACTCAAACCCTAAGCCCAGTTATAGTTATTTTTAATGAATAATTGTTTAGAAACATATTTTCTGTTTTTGTTTGGTAGTAACCCTTTGGATGAGATTGAGTGATATTAAACTATGCCTTACCTGAATGCTGATTTGGAAATGAGGGCGGTAGCATTAACAAGGTGAATTTTAAGCTCTTGTAAACTGAGGCACAGTGTGATTTCTCTTCAGCGATTATTAATGGTTGTCACTTCGAAAAGAGACTTGGATCTGAAATTGGAAAAGCCAACACATAACTTGATTCCAGCATGAGGAAAATGTTTTAGTGCTTAGTTAAAAATAGAGTCATTTTGAACCCAAACGGTATCTGACGTGCTTCAGATATCTGGGCTATTTCATCCTCAACTGTGGTGTGATAATATGATGATCCTGTGGTGATGAAGATGAGAGAGCGCGGCTGCGTGAGCTGAGTGCAGTGTCTGCTTGTCTACCGGGGCTGTCCCTCACTGAGCGGTTTTCTATCCTAATATTGTTTTCCTCTGTTATTTGACCAGGGAAAGATTCAGATGACCCAGCTTCTGTCGAAGCCTCATGGAGAACTATAGTTTTACTTCTCAGACCCGAAGAGCAGTGCCTTTAAACTTGGACACATCTCTCCTTTCTTTAGTTCAGATTTTCCCTTCACTGAAATGAAAGACAGGGTTGAACTCAGAAGAGCTTTCGGTTATCACATTCGATTATCCTGGAAAATACTCCTGTCTTTTTAGTTCACATTCTGCCTTAAAAAAATAGCCATCAGTATCTTCTGGGAGGAAATGGTAAATTTTGTTATGTGGTCTGGCATTAGAGTCCTAATTCTCACTGTCTAATTTGACAGACGGTTCACCTCTGTGTCTCTGGATGTGCAGGTCTGGTGTGCGACTGACGGGAAAGATTTGGGCAAACCCCTTGATTTGTATTAACCCTTCGACCTTGACTAAACATCAGACCCCACCCTGTGGCTGAGGTCTGTGGTGTGGTCACAGGCAGAGTCTTTCCGGAGCACCAGGCAGAGCAGCTCCCCCCAGGAGGGGTTAGGGCAACTTTTTGGCCTTTTGCTGTGAGAGGGGAGGGTTAGAGATCCTTTTGCTCTCTTCCCCGTGGAGAAAAAAATGTTGAAACTTTCGTCGTTACTACTGTTTTTCTGTCGCTATCCAGACAAAATGCCACCCTAGCATTTCTGTTAAATCTCTGTAAGTAGATGCCCCTGCTGAAGGGTGGAGAGATTTTGGCCCGCTTCCGAGGCAGGGGCTCCATGAGGGACAGCTTGGAGCATGAACAACCTCCTAAAGGAAAGCACAGGCCAGTCATGTACAATCTCGGGCTCTGCTGCCACGGCAGCTTTCTTTGTCTGTTCTACTTTGAATTAGCATATTCTGTATGTGAAAATGCAAGCAGGCAGCGTTTTCTTTGAATCACGAGATCTACAAGTACCGTTTCCTTTCCTTCATCTCTGCTCTTTGAGTGGTTCGTGTGGCCGGTGCTCAGAGGGCTCGGAGTGGCAAGCTGGCTGCCTGCGTGGACTCCCTGGACCTGCGACTTGTCCTTTACTTCCACAACTCAGACTTTTAGCTCGGCGGAAGAGTGCACAGGCGCAGCGCAAGCTAGCTAGCCTGCAGGGTTGGCAAAACCTATACCGACTGGGTCCCTTCCGGAAAGTTTGTGTGAACTTTAAATCTCAGTCTCAGGGAGACTGTTTTGTCTTGATACATAACAGAATAAGGCAGTTATCATTTCTTTGGGAAATGCCTAAAATACCGCAAATTGGAAGGGAAGGGAAAGGAAGGAGGAGAAGGCATACTCCTCTTTCTCAAATCGGGCATCTACACGTCTCTGTTCACATCATTGACACCAATGGGCGAACAGTGTCTTCATTGAGGATTAATTTTCCTGAAATCAAATAATCCCAAATTGCATACTACATATATACTGGTTTCTAACTAGTCAACATCTTCAACATATGCCCAGCCGCCTGGCTTTCCTCTCGTTCATGATAATCTGCATGCGTAGATGGGAAGCTAGGAGAGAAAGATGTGATCATTTCGCATTCCTTGTTTTCTGTCTGGTGAACATTTCTTCTCCAGCAAGTGTTTCCTACCGCTTCCCCCAAACCTGCATATACTCTTCTATATTCTTTAGTTGAAACAGCATCTTTTAAAAACATGATTAACTGAAGTCCGCTTGAGGTTTCACTTTATAAAAAAGTAATAGAGGAAGAACGAGAAGCCCACCATCAGGTCCCGTGATAGCTCAGTCACACGTGGAAATACAGACTGTAAATACAGAATGGCCGAGGACCCTCTGAGCAAAGGTCATCTAGGGGCTCCCGAAGCCTCGTGCGGCCCATAGATGTGTGCTCAGCACCCCCGCCTCAGTGTGTGCTTGGCGACTCCCTCTCCTTCGTGGGCTCATGTTACTATTTTCTAAAAGTATTGTTTCACTGATACCAGAACAGGAGTGCTCCAAACAGATATCTGTACCCTAAGAATCCCAGGGTGCCCTGTTTTTGTTGATTTCTCTGGTGCAGAAGGACCTGTTTCCACGATCCCCAAACTCCCTGGGGGCCGTGCGGTGGCTGTGGCAGAGGGGGTGCATCCAGGACTGGCGTTTTATGGCCCCCGAGGTAGGGTCAGGAGAGAGCTTATCTTGAGGTCCCGTCTTGTGTGACTGCGAAGGTGTTAATAGGCAGGGTCCAGGTGGCCCATGCGAGCTGGCAGCATTGGAAGGGTAGAATTAATTGAAGGGCATTTTACTGGGTGTTAAATTATTGCTAATTCCAAAACTTTCTTTCAGACTATTTTTTTCTGAGAATAGAGATTTCCTTCTAATTAAACAACAGGCAAAAGATGAGCACGGTTACTCACCTCTCTGCTCGTTTCAGTGTTGCTGTATGTCATCTCCTTTCTTGTTTTACTACAGTTCACAAGTGAATAATATCATGTAATTTCAGTGTGGAACAATGTAATTTCCATGTGCGTCCCCAGCAACCCTGTGTACATTAGTCTATCATTTATAATTTATAACATGGAAAAGTTTTTTTTTTATGAAGGACAAAATAAAAGAGAAGGTTAGGATGTGAATAGGTCAAGTGATATATGAAGAATTTCACAAGGGATCAGGGCTACGGAAGGGACTCAGGTCTCTTAAGAATAGGTCCCATTCTGTATTTATCTTCAGGATTGTGTTGGGGCCGTGTGCCTCTCTCTGCTGCTGGCCATGGGAGACCCGGCACCTCTTCCTCAGTGTCCCTCAGAGACATAGAAGACAGCAGTTTCTCAGAAAAAGCACCCTTCCTGCCGTTCTCAGAAAAACAACACTGTGAAAATCCAGCAGGGCCCCTCCACACTGCTGCAATAGTGCCACGAGGGAGGCCGCTGCAGACACAGTCACTTGAAGAGGACCTCAGGTGCCTTCCCTTCCTGTTTGGTCCCAGGCATCAACACTGCCCAGCAAAGTGTGTCCAAGAAGCCCCAGAGGGGGCCGTGTCTCTGAGGGGCCTGTGACAATCGCAGGTGATTCAGATGCCAGAGAAAGCAGAGGCCCCCAGAGGAAGGTGGTCAGGGGGCCATCTGCTGTGCCTGGGGTCAAGGACCACTGGAGGGAGCTTGGGTTGGCCTGAGACTGTTCAGGGGAGGGGCACCATGGGCATGGTGCCCCTGCATGACGGGCGGGCCCTCCCATGAGAGAGGAAGAGGGGAGCAAGAGGAAGGACGCTGCTGGCTGTTTGCAAGTAGCTGTCCCACCACCCTGGCACTTCCCTGGTCCCTGAGGCTGGACGGGCCTTGGAGCCCATCTTCGCTAAGGCCCAAGTCACCTATCAGCTCGTGCTGATGAATGTCTGAGCATGAGCCCAGCACGGCTCAGCATTTGCCAAGGTTAAGGAAAGGAAGTGGTAACTCAGCATTGATTTCCTCCCCCTGGATTTAATAGCGATAGATCTAAACCTGCAGTCAGATATCACTTTGAAAGCCTTGGCTCATCTAAAGACAGCTTCCAAGAGACGATCAGGCCAGGCCACTGCTGCGGTTTGCAGAGGAAGCAGGACCAGCCCTGTCTTTGCTGAAAGAAGCCAAACGACCATCTTGTCTGTCTCGTAAAGCATCCTTCTGCTTGAATAGCAGAGCTCTTTGAACGGCAATAAAATATTACATTGAGGCTGGGCGCAGTGGCTCATGCCTGTCATCCCAGCATTTTGGGAGGCCAAGGTGGGTGGATTACCTGAGGCCAGGAGTTCGAGACCAGCCTGACCAACATAGTGAAACTCCATCTCTACTAAAAATACAAAAATTAGCCACGTGTGGTGGCACACGGCTGTAATCCCAGCTACTCAAGAGGTTGAGGCAGGAGAATCACTTGAACCCAGGAGGCAGAGGTTGCAGTGAGCTGAGATCGCGCCACTGCACTCCAGCCTGAGCGACAAAGCGAGATTTCATCTCAAAACAAACAAACAAACAACAAGCAAACCAACACCATTACATTGGGCAGATGACAGACTTTGTCCTCCCGGCTGGTTCCTCCAAAGCCAACTGGCCTGGGGGTTCTCTGTACCAGGCTCTTGGACAATCAGCTTGTGTTGTACTGTTTCCTGAAAGTTGCAAATATTGTTGAATGTTAATTACATAATTTCACTTTTTCTAACCAGAAAGAGGAAAAGAGGAAGTGGGGAGGCAGAAAGTGAAGCTGCTGTGCATTTCTGCCTCCCTGGGCGCATCCACCGGGCTTTCTCCTACTTGGTTCATCACAATGTGAAACCATAATTAACTAATTCTGAGAACTTTTAAATGCTTGTGACTATACATGATCGGTGTGACTCTCTACAACAGATTTTGCAATTAATTGAAGTCACTGTTTCTGGAATAAGTCATATGGGATTCTTCCCTTTAGTAAGCTTTTTTGAGGTGGTATTTTTCTAATTTGGGAAATTTTAATTAGGCAGAAACCAAAGGCTGTTGACTTTGCGAGAGGCAAGCTAGCTCCCCAAGTGACTCTCTTGGTCAGAACCCATTGTCTTGTGTCTGGGGGATCCACGGTTCAGAATAAGACTTGACTGAAGTTAAGTCTTGACTCAAGTTAAGCAGTGGAGAACACTTTTCTGCCCTCAGCCTTGCAGTTTCCCATGTGGTCCGAGGCAAGTCATGGCCTCTCTGGGCCTCAGTTTCCCCGTCTGTAAAATAATGGACTAAGTTTCTTATAGCCCTCTGGCTACTAGAATTCTAAGAGCCAATATAACCCTGCAATTCCACTGCTAGGTATATACCCCAAAACACTGAAAACAGTTTTGTTCAAACAAAAACTTGTACATGAATGTTCATAGCAACATTATTCACAATAGTCAAAAGACGGAAACAGCAAAGTGTCCATGAACTGAGGATCAGTAAAACGTAGCCCATTCGTACAATGGAATGTAATTCAGCCATAAAAACAAATGAGGTTGGGCACAGTGGCTCACGCCTGTAATCTCAGCACTTTGGGAGGCTGAGGCGGGTGGATCACCTGAGGTCAGGAGTTCAAGACCAGCCTGGCCAACATGGTGAAACCTCATCTCTACTAAAAATACAAAAATTAGCCGGGTGTGGTGGCGGGCGCTTATAGTTCCAGCTACTCGGGAGGCTGAGTCAGGAGAATCGCTTGAACCTGGGAGGCAGAGGTTGAAGTGAGCCGAGATTGCACCACTGCACTCCAGCCTAGGCAACAAGAGCGACACTCCGTCTCAAAAAAAAAAAAAAAAAGTGTAATATGTGCTACAGCATCGATGAACCTTGAAAACATTATGCTAAGCTCAAGAAGCCAGATGACTACATATTGTGATATTTGGGATTTCATTTATATGAAATGTCCCAAATAAGCAAATCCATACAGGCAGAAAGGAGACTGGAGGCTTCTCGGGCTTCATGGGAGGGGGTGTCGGGGGTGAGTGCTGAACAGGTGTGGAATTTCTGTTTGGAATAATACAAAACGCTCCAGAACTAGGTAGTGATGATGCCTTCACAACAAGGTGTATGCACTAAATTCCACTATGCTTTAAAAGCTCAAATGATAAATTTTATATTGTATGTATCTTACTACTATCACCAAAAAAAAAAAAAATCCTACTTCCCAGACCATGTGCATCTCTGGTAACTGAGGTGTTCAGTTGGGGGTGGAGGGGCTAAGGGGCTAAGCGTTCACCCATCCCTCACTTTTCAGAGATGTTATCCAGTTTATCCTCCTGCTTCAGCACTTATCCAACTCTTCTAGTTGTGCCTAAGAGCATTTTCGACATCTAGTTCCTAATGTGTTTATTCACACACACACATGCATGCACGCACACGTGTGTCAAACAATTCTGAGGCACACTGTTTCTTTTGCCTGCCCTCTGCTTTTTGTGACATGTTGAGTACACCTCTTGAAGCCTCTCCACAGTAGACTGAGTTCTCACCCTCTGGGGGCCGAGGCAGAGAGGGATTCACGCTAAGCCTCCATGCTGCTTGCAGTCAGCCTCTAGATGAGAGCCAGGAGCATTTGCCATATCTGTAGTGGGGGAGTCTGGTACCTGATGGGAAGACACACAAGGGTGGCCCATGAGTGCACACCTCTCGCCTCCATCAGCAGGCTGTCCACAGCCCAGGGCTCGTCTGCCCGCTCGGTGGACCGCTTCAGGCTGGTTCTGGGCTCAGAGGCCCTCAAGGGGTTGGTGCCACCTCCAGAGTCATGGGATTCCTGCTCTTCGTGTGTGCAGGTGCTGCTCCCAGAAGACAGGGAGACACCTGGAGACATCAGGAGGGTGGCACTAACTCGTTCAGCACCAGTTGTGTGTTTTCCTTCGGTTGCTCATTTTTCTTTTCTTCCTCCCTGATCTGTGCACCCTTTACATGCTCCTCAGCCACCTGTGTTTGAGACACTGTCAAAACCGCCCACCCAAGAGGGATGGGCCAGAGAGCTGCTCTGAGTGCTCCCTCAGCCATGACCCCATCCTGTTTCTTTTTAAGACATCATCACCTTTGTGGCATTATTCAGCCAGATTTTGAGACACTGATAGAAGCCCCAGAGATGGTGTTGGGCTCCAGGATTGTTTGAATTTTCAGAATCCAAACTGAGGGATCAGGAGAACTTGGAGCAAATCCCAAAGGATCTCACCAAGGGTTGAGTTGCCAAAAGCAGACAAAAACTGTTCCGGGCCAGGCGCAGTGGCTCACGCCTGTAATCCCAGCACTTTGGGAGGCCGAGGCGGGTGGATCACCTGAGGTCAGGAGTTTGAAACCAGCCTGGCCAACATGGCGAAACCCCGGTTCTACCAAAAATACAAAAATTAGCCGGACGAGGTGGTGGGCACCTGTAATCCCAGCTACTCGGGAGGCTGAGGCAGGAGAATCGCTTGAACCTGGGAGGTGGAGGTTGCAGTGAGCCGACATCGCGCCACTGCCCTCCAGCCTGGGTGACAGAGCAAGACTCCACCTCAAAACAAACAAACAAACAAAAAACTGTTCTGTGTGATGCTGCTGTTCCCCCATTCCCAGTCCCATTGCTGAGCAAAGAGGAAGCCACCAGGGAGGAGGTGCAAAGGGAAAGAGATTCCCAAAAGCTGCCAAGAGAGAGGACTCCAGATGGAGATGGGAGGACTGGCCGCCGGGGCCCTGGCCTCTTCCTTAGTTAAGTTGTGCAGTCGGCTTGACAGGAACATGGGTCACCCTCAAGCCAGACACATCTTGGTCTCATGGCCCCCATCAGTCACCGCCGCAGGGGTTCTTCCCACAGCTGCCGAGGCGCAGAGCCCAGCTGCTTTGATTCATGAGCACGATATTCACATTCGTAGCACAGCACACTTGCTTTTCCTGGGGGATGCTCTGCTCTCCTTTCCGGCCACTTCTGCTTCGTGGTAACTAAATTGGAGGCTCTACCATGTCCAGCCTGTGCTCTGTATGCCTGGGGGGACACTGGAGCCAGCGCCCAGTGAGTGTAGGGTAACTAGAAAGGGCACCTCCATCACTGATTTTCCAACTGACTTTCAGAGACACCATCTGGATGCTCTGAGGCAAGTCGGCACCCTTAGGCGCCCGGTGGGGGTAGTGTTCCGCCCTTGTCTCCTCCACTCCTCCTCCCTATCTCTATCTCACTATCCCTGAAGGTGAGACCGTGGTGTCAGAGAATGCACTGAGTCAGCGTCCCTTTTAGCACACCTGCCACCACCTGACTAACAGCAAAGCCAGGCTTCCTGGTGAATCCCGTTACAGCCGTCCCGTTTATCCATGGTTTCGCTTTTCGAAGTTTCAATTACAGACAGTCAACCACAGTCCAAAGTTATTAAATGGAAAATTCCAGAAGAAAAATTGATACATTTTAAATTGCACACCATTCTGAGTATCTTGATGAAATCTCGAGCTGTCCCGCTCCATCCCCCCAGTCTCTGGGTCATCAGACAGAAAACACATACAGTATATATAGGGTTCCGTACCATCCTTGGGATCGAGCATCCGCTGGGGGTCTTGGTGTGTATCCCTGTGGATAAGGGGGCCTACTATAATTTCATCCCACTGAGGTGCCATGGCCCAGGCCAGCAGGGACAGTCACAGCTGTGGACGGAACACCACAACCACACGTGGACGGAACACAGCGGGACATCAGGCCAGTGTCTTACAGGTGGCAGTGGTGAACATCCAGTGAGCTGAAGTGGTGTTTACTAATGCAGGCCTTTCCGACCATCTGCTTCCAAAAGCTGACCATTCCAAGTCCAGCAATCATAAATAAAATAGCAAAATAATAACTCACTAAATTAAAATTGTAAACTTTTATATACCAAAAAACTATGACAATCAAAAATTTTAGAAGAACCAGGAAGAAAATATTTACAATCTGTTTTGCAATGGGTTAATGTTCTTACTAGAAAAAGGGCCTTTAAAAAATTTAAAAAGACAATTACCCCATATGGGCAAAAAATATGAATTCATAAAAGGAGAAATTCAGTTGGTCAATAAACGCGTGAAGTGTTGAACTTCAACAATAATCTAAGGAATTAGAAATAAAACAGAAGGATATTATTTTTTATTAAATTGGAAAAAATACATAATTATAAACCCCAGTATTGAGGAAGGTGGGGGAACCAGGCCATCCTATTTGCCAGAGGGAAGAAAAGCTGCACAAGCTTTCTAAAGGAATTTTGATGGTAGGTAAGAAAAGATCTAGGACTGGAAATACCCTTTGCATGAACAATTCCACTTCTAGGAATTATCTTAAGTGAATAATGGCAGAGCTGCCGAGCAACAAAGAAATTCATATCAGCTTCATTAATATTGGCGACAAAATTAAAATGTCCTGGGAAATAGGTGGGATAAACTCTGCTTGGTCCATATGCTGGAACACTATGCAGTCAGCAAATGTGTGTTGTAAGTGGATGTTTAATAAAGTGACGGCCATGATTGTAGGATGGAGCAGTTCATACGATCTCAGGTTGGAAGATCAAAGTGTGTGTGTGCATGCACGGGTGTGTTTGTCTGGAGAGACAGTGGCAAGAATGAATGTCTCTGGACCAAAAGTTGATGAAAGAGCTTCCTTTCCTTCTTATGTTTTTTTTTTTTTAATTTCTAGATTTTCTACAGATGCCCTGTATTACTTCTGCAATTTGAGAACACAAATCCAGAGGTGCCCAGTGCTTTGTAAAGATAGTGTGGCAGGCACATGCTGACCGACCCTCCCTCCAGAGAAGGGCAACTACTCCCAGTCCCATCATAAGGTGGTGCAGTGAAAATACAGCTGCCATCCACATAGGAATGCCCTCACCGCAACCCCCACTCGGTGTTAGGACTTAGGTACTTGCTGAAGTAATACAAAAGAGTGGCCTTCAGAATATATTTTTGTATCTTCTGCAATCTACATTAAAGATGCCCGTCCATCATTTTCAGAAGAGGCCTTTCGTGTTAGGATAATTCAGAAGGATGCACCCGGAATGTACCAGCGCGGCTCCCTGATGGAGCTGGCGACGTCCTTTGGCAGTGAGGGCTGTGCGGTTTCAGCTCTCCTGGCTGGCCTTTACCCGCTGGGCAGTTCCCAAATGGCGCTTCATGATGGGACTGGCGCTCATCCTCACACTGTTAGTGTTAGCATCCTCATTTCTTCTGCCTTTTTTTCACTCCTCTCTACGTAGTTGGGGATATCTGTTGTTAACCATAAACCACTTCAGCTTTGGGGAAGCAAGTGGGAAAAAACCTCAATGAACCCCTTAGCTGTTCCCCGAACCCAAATTGAGAAGAGGTGCTTTGACCCCGACTCACTCAGTGGAGCTAGAAAAAGCCCTTTCTTAGCTACTAGAGACGTTTTATTCACTTTTTACCAGGATCAAAAATGAAAACCACGTGTCCCCCTGGCCTTGTATGATGAATGACAAATGTGTGGGACTGAGGAGAGGTCGGCCGTAGAGTAGGTCTACCCCCTATCCTGGGGGCATCCCTGTGTGCCAGCTTCTCCAGAACCTACAGGGAGGAAGCACCAGGCGGCACCTCCCCAGAGGCTGGAGACCAACCAGGCACAGAATCTCTCATTTCCTTTCAGATTCTTCGCCATAATCTAATTTTCGTTAAGCCTGTCTTCCTTTACACCCTGGGCTACATTTGACGCATATTTCTGGCAAATTCTGGGACCACCTTTGCCAGATGACCAAATCCTTTTCGGAGAGATGACTGAAATATTTGTAAGTTTCCATCAGCATGGGGGGAAGGGGCTGGAGGTGAGGGGGGACCTCTCGGGCTGTGCCGTGGTATCCTCTCTTCTCCACATTACACCCCAAGCACGCGACTGTGAGCGGCGATCGGGGCCTGATCCTCAGTTCGAAGACACAGATGCTCACTGCTGTAGAGACATAAAGAAACCAAGAGGTTAACTGCCAGGGTTAGTCCCCTCCGCGGGCCTCCTGCATGAATCAGAGCCGACTGGGAGCAGGAGTGACTCAGAGCCGTGGCTTTTTGTCCTCTGGCTGTGCAAATAAACAGAGCAGGAAGGTTTGAATGGGCCAGGCCTGGAGCAGAGTGCAGGGTTGGAGGCGGCTCCCAGTTCCAAGGCGCGCCCCACCCGGCCCCCAGGCCAGGTCAGCCTGGGGAGGGGAGAACTAAGGGCACCAGGCAGCCCACCCGGCCCGGCCAAGACCAGCAGGACAGGGGCCCAGAGGCTGGTACCCTCCGAGGTGCGGGAGAAGAGGAGGTGGGAGGGTGCGGGGCCGTGGCTTGCTCTGTGGGGACACTGCCCTGGGGTCCACCCTGCCGCGGGGTCCACTTGGTATAGGCACCCACCAGGCCTGCACCCTACCCTGGGAAACACCTGTGGGGCTGTCCCCTTCTCTGAGCATCTGTGAGGGGTTTTCCTCTCCTTAGGGACCCCTGGAAGGTCCAGAGTGCAGGGTGTGTGGCCAGGCCAGGCCTGGAGATCCGCCAGGAGCAGAGAGCTCCGGAAGGCCTGCCGGGAGGACCTGGAGGATGCATCTACTGCCAGGCTCGGTGGGCCTGGCCACCCGAGGGGCCTCTTCTCTCCCCCTGCAAACTGACATAAAGGGTTTGAGAAACGATGGCAAAGCCACACGGGGTCACTCCACTCGTTGAAAGTCCACCCAGCAAGCATGCAAGCACTGGGCAAGCAAAATTATTTTCATCCTCAGAATGGTCCAGTGAGCTGGGTGCTTTCACCCCCATTTCACAGCAGGGGAAACTGAGGGACCTACGTAACTCCTCAGCTGAGAGCATAGACAGAGCTGTGGGCAGAGCCAGGAAGCAAACCCAGCCAGTCCAATTATCTAAAAAATGAGATTTTTCCCTCCATGCCAAGTATGGCCCCATCCTACTGAGTCGGGTCATTATGTCAGGGCTCTCTGCTTTAAACGACGGCGCACAGGGACCTCCCCATGCAGCAGGGAGTACCCCGGAGAGTGAGGGGGGCCTGGATCCAGCCGGGCACCTGTTGGCGTTCCTACACCCCTGCAGTCTGCTCTCAGGTGCTCCTGTGTTGGGAGCAAGGCCTGAGGCGCTCGTGTCAGGATTCCCTGCGGGAGATCGGGTAGCTTCAGCCTGGGCACAGAAGCCTCTGGGTCCAGAAGTGAGCAGATCAAACCCCTGCCCTACTCACGTCACCCACCTGGCGTCTCCTGGCTTTGGGTGGCCCAGCCACATGCCTGCAGGTTGAGTCTTTGAATTTGCAGGGCCAGGGCCAGCTGTGCCATCTGGTCTTTTGGAACTTTTTTTTTTTTTTGCTGTGGCATTAGACAGGCATCCCCTAACCCAGAGAACCCTCACTACCACTGCTCAGAGGTCCCTTTTTATACGTGGTGCCAGTGAATACACCAATTTAGATGCTCTGTGTAGGTAGGAAGCAATCCCCACAGTCTGTGCGATGTCACCTTGTGTGGTGGAAATGCCATTCGCTGTGATGAACCCTTTCCAGTCACTCCACCGTACAGTGCCCCGCCGGGGTCGGATCGGCCCTTCTTCCTGGTCCCATCTCCCGGGATCTGCTGTCCCCTCTTCAGGCCCTTCTTTGTGTGGTTAGCCTGGGGTACCTTTCCCAGTCACTGATCTGACTCCGTCGCTTAACCTGTTAATGGAATAGCATGGACGATGCACCCCACACTGCATCTGGTGTTACTGGGACCCACTGAATGTAGGTTCCTTTACCCCCATTTCACCTGCTGCCAGCAGGATGGCCAGGCCTGCCAGGCACCGCCCAGGTTCCCCATGGCACGGGCCCTGCCTGCTCTTCTGTGAGCTGCCTCTGAGCCCTGGGCACCCTCCATGGCGAGCTCCCCAGGCCAGGAGCATGTCTGTCCTTTTCACCCTGTACCCAGCACTTGGAGCAGTTGCCAGTAAGAACAGGGGTGAGGAGATGAGCAAACCCACATGCTTGTTCTTAAAGCATGGCACCTTCGGCCAGGCACAGTGGCTCACACCTGTAATCCTGGCACTTTGGGAGGCTGAGGCAGGCAGATCACGAGGTCAGGAATTCGAGACCAGCCTGGCCAACATGGTGAAACCCCGTCTCTGCCAAAAATAGAAAAATTAGCTGGGCATGGTGGTGTGTGCCTGTAATCCCAGCTACCTGGGAGGCTGTGGCAGGAGAATTGCTTGAACCCGGGAGGCGGAGGTTGCAGTGAGCTGAGATCGCGCCACTGTACTCCAGCCTGGGTGACAGAGCGAGACTCCACCATGGAAAAAAAAAAGAAAAGCACGGCGCCTTCATGTTCCATGCCTTCACGCTGCTCTCCCTTGACTGGAATCTCCCTTGTGCCCGACAGGACTACCTCCAGTGTCCCCTCCTTGGGGAGCCTCTAACCACCCTGCTGGCATTTGTGGTGACTCCTGAGGCCTCGTATATCCCCTAGCGGCCTGGCAGCTGCGACGGTTTGTCTGCCTGTCACCCCGGGAGCACCTTCAGGACTGTGTCCTTGTCATGTATCCGGATGCCCGGCTCAGCCCATGCCCTGCACAAGTGGGGGTCATGGAGGGAGCCTCTGTTTCCCCACCAAGTACACCAAGAAACTACACTGTGTCTGATGCAAACGCATGTTTTCTGTGCATCTGTGATTTACAATTCCCTGGCTGCCTTCCAAGCAGAACGCACCTGGCAGCCTGGGGGTCTTGTGTTTGCCCCAAACAGAGGAGCCAGCCTCTTGTTTCGAGGGCCTTTTCCGTCCTCGAAGCCAGCAGCTGGAGGGAAGGAGGCTGGCTGTAACATTGGAGGGGCCACAACCCCCGAATTTCTTCTGCAGAAGAGAAGGGGTAGAGGTGGAGAAAGAGGGAGAGGGAGGCAGGGAGGGAGGGGGAAGCCACTGTACAGCCTAGCCTGGAGACATCTTGGGGGAAAGTGATTCATCTGATCTGGGATGGAAGATTATTCTGGGGAGTAAAATGTCCTGCCTTCAACACACACACACACACACACACACACACACACACACACACACTCCTCAGTAAAATACCCAGTTCTCACCAGGCTTTATGCAGTGGCTCTGGGGGCAGGGGCACAATAAAGAGAAGTCCCAGCCAGCTCCCGGGGTGGTGTGGGCTGAGGAAGAGGCTGGGAGGAGAGAGTTGTGGCTGGGAACCCTTTGATAAACAGGAAAGAATATTTTCACTTTGGCACAGGCCTGGCACGGAGGAGCTGTCAGCAAGCAGGCGTCCGAAGATTGAGATCACAGAGGGGTGGCCGAGGCTGGGGCACAGGCTGGATGCAAGGCAGATGCCACATGGAACCCTTAGGTATTGAGTGCCCTGAAACTAGAAACTGAAAAGGCAGTCACATCCTCATCAGAAAGAAATTGATGGTGAGTTAGGAGGCCAGGAGGGAAGCAGCCGTTCCCAGAGCTGAGGGGCATCCCTCGAAGGCGGGAGGGAGAGAAGTGGGAGGCAAAGGCTGGGGATGGCCGGATGGCCCTGGGACCAGCAGAAGGAGCAGGTGGGCTGAAGAATGTGTTGGAGCAGAGACTGTGGTCAGCGGAAGGCATGAGAGGGGCCACCCTCCTGCATGTAGTGAGGCTCGGGAAACGTGGAACGAAAGAAAGATAGAAAAAATAAATGCAGTATAATGGAAGTTCCAAGGAACACTGCAGTTAGGAAGGTGGCTGGCATTCCGGAATTACCTCCCTGACCAGTGCAGTGCCCCACAAAGGTGGCATCCCTCACACATCAGCCCCGTGCCCTGGGTTCCCTCTGGGTGCACCTGCCCAGGAGGTCAGGCTTTCTGCACGTGGCTCCCAGGGGCTCTGCTGAGAAGCCCTTAGACATCGTCTAGTACAGCCCCTGGGCCCTCTCTGGGGTGCAGACAAGCTGGTGAGCTCCAGGTCTCAAACCTGACTGCCCAAGTGCCGGGAGCCCCCCGCCCCCCAGCCTGCTCTGGTAAGCGTCGGGCTTCTGTCCAGATGACACAGCTAAGCAGGGTTTGGAAGAACAAAAAACAAAACCCAAGCCTGCCCACTTCGGACAGGGGCAGGGTGGAGAGCCTCAGTGGGGGATGGGGGACTGGCTAAGTCAGGCAGACTCAAGGGGTATGGCCAGACGGATCCCAGTCTCCTCCCATTCCACGTCCCTACATCATTCTATGGGACCACAGGAAACCAAACTGGCCCTTCTTGAGACAGAGATGGAAGATGCTGTTTCCCACAGTGGACACCAAGCAGTCCTGGCTGTGACTGTGTCTGTGGGACAAGCCGTGTTCCAAGGTTGGTGACTGTCCGTGATCACCAGCTGCCACCATGACCAGTATCCTCTGTTGCCCACACACTCGGGCATTGTTGGCTGGGCTCAGTGTGGTGCCAGTGTGGGCTGATCCACAGGCATGGTAGGGCCGGGACACAAGCCCACGGCTCAGCAAGGCTGGAGGGAGCGCTGCGTGCCGGCCGGTGCAGGGGCTTGTGTCCATTTGATTCTCAAGATGGTCCAGTGATGGAGGTGGCATCCACCTGCATTCTCTCGCATTTTCTAGAGAAAGGAAGTTCATCTCAGAGGGGTCAGTTGGCATCGGTGTCTGGGTTGTGAGAGACAGTGTCGTCCGCACCAGCATCAGGCAGCAGATGGCACGGGTAGGTGCGCGGGCAGCAAATGCTTGGCAGTTTAAGTGGTTTCCTTGCAAAGGACGAGGCTGGGGAGCACGCCACTGAGAGAAAGGCATCGACTCCTGCAAAGCCTGCTTCCGAAGCGAGCAACGTGGACTTGTTTGCACAGAATGGGAAATAGGTCCAAGTGCGGTGAGGAGTACTTTAAAGAAGGGATTTCACAAGCGGTGCTGGCACAGGCCACTGCAGCTTGTTTACTGCCACGGAGATGGAATTTCATACTTTCAAAAGGAACAATCTGGGATCTCTCAATAAAACTTCCAGGGCACAGGCAAGGAAAACAAAAATAGACAAATGGGACTACGTCGAACTTAAAAACTCCTTTGTATCGAAGAACACAACAATGAAATGACAACCTGTGGAATGGGAGAAAGTATCGGCAAATTATCCATCTGATAGGAGAGAACTATCCAGAAGAGATGCAGGACTCCTATGATTCAACAATAAAAATTAGATAGCCTGCATAAAAGTAGGCAAAGGCCTTAAATAGGCATTTCTACAAAGATGATATACAAATGGCCAACAAGCACATGAAAAGATGCTTGACACTACCACCCATCAGAGAAATGCAGATCCAACCAGAAAGAGGTACCAGCTCACACCTATGAGGTTGCCTACTCATGCCTGCAGTCCCAGCATTCTGGGAGGCTGAGGCGGGAGGATTGCTTGAGGCCAAGAGTTTGAGGCCAACCTGGGCAACCTAGTGAGATGCCATCTGTACAAAAATGAAAATAAAAAAGTAGCAGGGTGTGGCGGCCTATGCCTATAATCCTAGCTACTTGAGAGGCTGAGGCAGGAGGATCACTTGAGTCCAGGAGTTTGAGGTTACAGTGAGCTATGCACACCACTGCACTCCAGCCTGAGCAACAGAGTGAGACTGTGTCTCAAAACAAACACAGAAAATAAATGTTGGTGAGGATGTGGAGAAATTGGAATCATTGGGCACTGCTGGTGGGAATGTAAACCAGTGCTATAGAAGACAGTACGGAGGGTCCTCAAAAAATAAAATGCAGAACAAACAAAACGACAAAACGTGGTGTGTACACAGACACACCATACACCCCCCACACACACACCACACCCCATACACACCACACCCCACACACACCACACACCCCACACACACATCACATACCACACACAAACCACACACCCCACACACACATCACATACCACACACAAACCACACACCCCACACACAAGCCACACACCCCACACACACATCACATACCACACACCCCCACACACCCCACACACCCCCACACACCCCACACACCCCACACACACCACACACCCCACACACACACCACACACCCCACACACCCCACACACCCCACACACACATCACATACCACACACAAACCACACACCCTACACACACCACACACCCCACACACACCACACACCCGACACACGCCACACACACACCACACACCCCACGCACACATCACATACCACACACAAACCACACACCCTACATACCCCACACACCCCACACACACCACACACCACACACCACACACACACACCACACACCCCACACACACATCACATACCACACACAAACCACACCCCCCCACACACACAGCACACACCACACACAAACCACGCACCCCATGCACACACCACACACCACATCCCACACACTCCCCACACACATCACATACCACACACAAGCCACACAACCCCCCAGACACCACACCCCACACACACAGTACACACTACACACAAACCACACACCCCATGCACACACCACACACCCCACACACACCACACCCCCACACGCCACACACACACCTTACCCCACACACACCACACACACACCACATACACACCACATCCCTCCCACACACCACACACACACCACACCCCACACATACCCCCCAAACCCCACACCCCACACACACCACATCCTCCCACACACCACACACACACCCCACTCTGACACACACCACACACACAGCACACCCCACTCACACACATCACACCCACCACACACCCCACACACAAACACCCCCCCCACACACACCATCACCCCCCCCAACACACACACACACACACACCACACCCCATACACACCACACCCCACACACACCACACACCCCACACACACACCACACACCCCACACACACATCACATACCACACACAAACCACACCCCCCCACACACACAGCACACACCACACACAAACCACGCACCCCATGCACACACCACACACCACATCCCACACACTCCCCACACACATCACATACCACACACAAGCCACACAACCCCCCACACACCACACCCCACACACACAGTACACACTACACACAAACCACACACCCCATGCACACACCACACACCCCACACACACCACAACCCCACACGCCACACACACACCTTACCCCACACACACCACACACACACCACATCCCTCCCACACACACCACACACACACCACACCCCACACATACCCCCCAAACCCCACACCCCACACACACCACATCCTCCCACACACCACACACACACCCCACTCTGACACACACCACACACACAGCACACCCCACTCACACACATCACACCCACCACACACCCCACACACAAACACCCCCCCCACACACACCATCACCCCCCCCCAACACACACACACACACGATGGAATGTCATTCTGCCTTTAAAAAGGAAGGTTGTCTCGATAGGGACCATAGCATGGATGAACCCTGAGGACACGGTGCTGAGTGAACTAAGCTGGTCACAGACAAACACTCTATGACTCCACTTACACGGGGAACCTCGTGCAGCCGGATTCATAGAGACGGAAGGCAGAACGATGGCTGCCGGGGGCCGAGGGGAGGAGTGGGAAGTGCGTGTTTAGTGGGGACAGAGTCTCAGTCTGAGAGGAGAAAAAGAGTTCTGGAGATGATGGTGGTTAAGGTCACACAGCAGCGTGAATGTCCTTAATGCCACAGAACTCTACGCTTCAAAACGTTAAGACGGTCAATTTTATGTCGTGTATTTTACCAGGATTAAATTATTTCCGGGGATGTTTCTGCCATATTAACCGGAAGGCAGGTGACTCCTGGGCTGGGGGGGTCCCACAGTGGGTCCTGCCTGCCCCCATGCTCTCTATCCCACTAGCAGTCCCTGGCCAAGAGTCCCGGGCCACTTTATGCCCTCAGACTTGTTGCTCATTTAACCTTAGTCCAAGTGGGTGGTGTTCCAGGGTGAGATTTGGGCTGGACACTGGGCTGAGCTATGTAGGCCAGGATGAGGGCCATGCCAGTGTAGGGGGATTGCAAGGCCAGAGGAGTGGTCTCAGGTGCACCACCCTGTGCACATCAGGGCTTCCAGCACGTTCTACTTGGAAGTGATGCTTACAGATTCTCAAGAAGGTTGAATCCAAACCCTTGTAAAAATTGGGTCCTGTTGAGTGTCTTTTTGTTTGTCTGCATTTAGATCTAGTAACATTTTGGCCAACGCTGTGCAGGGAAGGGCGATGCTCTTTCTTTTCCAAGAATTGGGGTTAATAGTCCATGAATTTGATACAAATATGAGTCTTCAAGGTCATTCTGATGAAAGCTTTCAGGCATTTTTGAAGCTGTGAGTTATTAAATACGTAGCATCTACCCATGGGGGGAAGTAGGGCACAGGCCTAGCCACGGAGCAGGTACAGTTGCCACTAAACCCCTGGCACCAGGACGATTTACTGGACAGGTGACCAGTGTTGTTCCCATTCTGCAGATGGAAAGTCTGGAGGTCACGGGCATACGGCCCAGAGGCACACGCTCCGCAGATGGTTTTGCGTAGCTGGTATCATGTGGGGCAGCTGCAGGGTCCTTCGTGTTGCCCTCACATTTACTGAGTCCTGGCTGTTTGCAGTCCTTCTGCTGGGTGCTGGAGACATAAGAATGACTAGAATCTGTCTCTCCTGTGGAGGACTCACCATTCACATCCAGCCAAGGAGACAATGGAGGACTCACCATCCACATCCAGCCAAGGAGACAAATCTACTGACAGCCATTCATAACACTGCATGTAGCTGTTGTACAACAATGGTTAGCAAACAAAGAAGACAAGGATGCCTCCTCCTGGACACAGTAGGGAGGCCAGACCAAGGGGTGGCACTTTGGTGGATCTGTCGTTCAATCAACAAATACTTGTTGAGAGCCTCCCACGTGCTGGGCTCCACATTAGAGACCGGGATGTGGCGGGGAAGAAGTCAAGGCAGTTCCTGTCACCATGAAGCTTGCCATGGGAGGGGAGGGGAGGGCAGGCAGGAAACACACAAGACAGCAGATGTGGGCTTGCTGACCATGGGTGCTGAGAAGGAAGCAAGAGGATGGGGAAGGACATCTGAAGAAATGACGCTTGAGCAGAGAATGAATGGAGTGAGGGGTCCTGCCCAGGTTGAGGATTAGGTGCGCAGAGCCTGGCGTATGCTCTGGGGGTTGGGAGTGGGCAGGGGGATGGCTTCAGAGTAGAAGGGAGCTGCAGAGATGTGCACGCATGAGCGCACACAAGAGCTACGGGGTCCTGCTGAGTGAGATGTTCTCAGGAAGGTGCACACCGTGCACAAGGAATACACAACGGGCAGGTGGGTCCGAGCGCTCCTCCCTGTGCCCAATGCACGGTGCCAGGGGAGGACAGAAGCAAAGTTGGGCTGAGAGTCAGAAGCAAATCTGGGCCGAGAGTCACGCTGGTCTTGGAAAGGCTTGATGAGTGGGCCTGAGGGTACGTTCCGGAACATCTCGATACCAGAAACAAAATAATAAAAAGCCTTTGTTTGTGTCTTGCTCAAGAGAAGCTGGAGGCCTGTGATTCTTCTCCTTTACCGTCCCTGCCTCCAAATCCAGACTGGAAATGGGAACGTCATTGTGCATCAGCTCGAAACTGGGTTGGTGGCCTGCTCTAAACTTGCTGATCCATGTTCCATCAAGGAAAAAACTCACTTGCGGCTCTGTACCTCTCTGAGATGGGGTTCATGCGTTAGAGGAGTTAGCAGCCTGTTTGGAAGACAAGGGGCCTGAGCTGCATCCCAGGCAGGATGTTGATGGAGGGGATGGCGATTGTCTGTCAATGATGAGGGATGGGATCCCATGTGCAAAGAGGACCACACTCTCCTGAGAATTTGGGGACCAGGGCTGGTGACTCAGGGAAGTGCAGCTACCACTGTTCAAGGGAAACACAACTTGGGAACACGGCTACCCAGATGCTTTTATTCAATCCTCATCCTTTACGGAATCCAGGACATGAAAACCTAATTTGTTTAAAAACTCAACTTTCCTGCTGTGGGCATCTTAATTTCACGTGCAGTATTTCTCTTTAGTTCCATGTTATCGTGTCTTAAAATGTCCAATTTAGTTACTTAAGGCTCTTCTTTTGCAAAAGAATAGAAAGAAAAATGTTAAGGATGCAGGCCCAGGAGACGTTGTGTTATCCCAGGACTTCCACAATAAAAAAGCGAGCTTTCGAAATGATGTGTATCCTGGTTGGACGACTCTCTCCCTGGTGAATGCCGGTCTGCACCAGCCCCACCTCCTGGCCACTAAAAATCTTTAATATTACATAGTACATACATTCGTTCACCAGACATAGCACGTTGAAAAGGCCTGGAGGAGTTTCTCTAAAGATGCAAATCTTGGTACTTTGCTTGTTTCTTGGAGAATCTACAGGGGCTCTCTGCCTTGGATGCTTACCCAGGATTCAGGTAGAAGAGTTGCCTGCCCTGGGCTCCCCACAGCACTTGGGTGTGCACCTGTGATTCAGGTAGGAGAGGGGCCTGGGCTCCCCAGGGTACTTGATTTGTCCTTCAGGTGCAAGTGAGTTCTCGGGTGAGGTTCTATGTTTTGGTGCCTCCCTCTCTGCCACACGGCCCCTTCTTTGTGGAACATGTGTCCTCTTCCAGGCTCTGTTGATGACTTCATATAGAGTGCACAAAGGAACAAAAACAATGAAGTTGACCAAGGAGGAAGCTGGCTGGAGGGTTTGGAAGGACAGCAGAGCAGGCACAGCTGGAAGGATTTATTTTTCTCTTGCTACCAGAAGACTCAGGACACAATGCAGAAAATACGAAATACATTCATTCATTAGCTTTCCCATCTCTTAAATGGTTTGACCCAACTGGGCAAGCCCTGGCTGAAGAGATTGGACATCTGGAGTCCATCACTGTCTGAGGCCATGGTGGACCCAGCTCTTTTCTTTTCTCTGGGGTGAGATATAGTGGACACTCAGCCCTTTAAGGAGCCCTGACCACAGATGAGACAGAAGGTGCAGCTGTGGGTCTTCTCCAAGAAGAAGACGGCCTCTTCCAAGACTCCTCCAACAGCACCACCCACTGGGTCAGACTTGTCACTGAGCTTCCAGCAGCTTTCTCTCTAGCGGAAAATGGATTCAACCAAAAGATCAAAGATGAGGAAATTTAGAAGTCCATGTGATGCTGGCCAAGCATCCCAGTAAAGGGTATATCCTCTGTGGCTTTGTTTTTCACGTTACTGGCATTGGTTTGCTTTGTTGGGAAGCTATGCAGAGTTGCACATCACCTTGTAACAGAGGTTGGCTTCCAGTGGGCTGGACGTTTACAAACAGATGGGAGCCAAGAAAGTGCCGTGAACTTCAGCTCCCTGACCGGGGTCACGGGAATGCCATAAATCAGGCCAGACAAATTCCCATGATGTCAGTCACTCAGCCGAGTTTCTGGGGGTCATGAGTCTCTTCGCATTTCTCCCCTGTCCCCAAGTTCCAAAAAAACAAATAAATAGATGGAAAGGTTACCTCACAGATCCTTGGCAAAGACCCCTGGAATAGCACAGCTCTGTCCCGAGTGAAAGTTTACTTCAGAAGATTCTGATGCAATAGAGAAAAAATAAATCGGGTGAGGGAGCCTGTGGCTTGTGGGGCTCTGCTATCCAGCAGGGCTGGAGCAGGTGCCAGGGTGCAGGGAGGGTGGGGGACCCCGAGGCCCTGGCCAGGGTTCACATCGTCATCCCACTAGCTGTGGACGTGGGGGACCCTGGCAGAAAGGAAATCTGTCTCAGTGAGCTGTGCTTGTCAGAAATCCTCCCAGTGCACCGGTCACTGCCCCGTTGGGTGGGTGTGGGTGGAGGGCGGATGGCCACACAGCCGCTTGGGAAGTTCAGGAACGGCTGAACCTCACTAGAGTGAAATCAAGTCAGGCACCCAGGCAGCCTCTGCAGAGGGCACTAGGGGACTCTCAGCAGCTCAGAACTGTCCTTACTCCTAAGGAGTTTGAAATTAGGAAGAATAAAACTTAGGGGAAAAAATGACTACAAAGTGTCTCCTGAACTGGCCCTACAAGAGACTGCAGGCTCCAAGTGCTCCCTGTCTGGGTAAACACCTTCTGCTTTCTAGGACTGTCCACTCAGTTATTAAGCCCACTGCTGTGTCAGGCCGAAGGTGCAGTGATGGCAGAGACAAAGTCCCGCCTTCGGGGACAGTCCCCAACACAGCAGCAGCTAGATTAGAAAAAATAAAGATGAGAAAGCCTCTCAGAGCATCTGTCATGGTATCTACCAAAACCTGTCAGGGATAGGAGAAACTCTCTCTCAGTAGGAGCTTAGATTAAATTCTAGATAAAATATAAGAAACGTACACTCAGCAATATGCCAAAAGAATAGGGCGCTGTGAAGAAGGTGGATTTATTAGTGGAATATCAGGGCATTCAGATGCCTTTGCCAGGTTTTTGACACACTTTGGCAATATGTGTCAAAAGCATTCAGATTGCTCAGATTCTTGGATTCATGTATGCAATGAGGCACATCTATAGTCAAAAAAGGGAATAAAGGGAATCGACTCGAGATACTAAAATGCATCTGAGAAAAATTTAACATATTTCTGTTATTAAAACCTCCCTGTCTGATGTTTAAAATCTCAATAAGCTATCATAAAGAGATTCTTCCTTACCTTCAGCGGATCACCTGAGGTCAGGAGTTTGAGACTAGCCTGGCCAACATGCTGAGACCCCCGTCTCTACTAAAAATACAAAAAATTAGCTGGGCGTGGTGGCGCTTACCTGTGGTCCCAGCTACTCAGGAGGCTGACGCAGGAGAATTGCTTGAGCCCAGGAGGTGGAGGTTGCAGTGAGCTGAGATCGTGCCACTGCGCTCCAGCCTGGGAGACAGAGCAAGATTCCATCTCAAAACAGCAACAACAAAATCCTAGGTAGCACTCAAGTCTTTTGTATAAAAGTCAGCAGGTTTCTCGCCAGTATACTGTTTTGTAACATTGTCTCAAACTTTAAAGAATGATTCTATATGGATTATGAAAAAGAAATAGACATAGGGCTATTGGCAAGCAGAAGATAAAAGTATTAACATTTGTAGATGATACAGTTGTCTACTAAGAACCTTGCTGTCTACCCCATATCAAAAAAAGAAATCATTTGAAAATCTTTAGAACAAATGAAACAATTTAGACTGAAGGCAATTGCTAAGTGAAGATAATTTTTCACAAGCATTCTTACACACACCAGCAATAAGCAATTCAATCACATAATGAAACAAAAAGATGTCATTCACACAAACAAAAATATTTATGCTTATGAGATCCTTATATATGTTTAGTGAGAAATATGGAGGACTTTTATGAAGAAAAATCTCTTAGCTAGAGAGTCCAATAGAATATTTTTTGAATGAGGAGCTCTATTTATTAGGACTCTGTTTGGAAATACATACTACTGTGAACATATCATTTCTTTTACAATTTAATTTATATATTTAATGAAATGTTTAATTCAATAAAATTATTTTCAGGTGCACCTGGAAGACTAAGAGAGCAAACACGTCCAAGAAACTTATGAAAAAGAAAAGTGAGGAGAGAGGTTTTGTGCTGCCAGGGACTGTAATCCAGAACTTTAATATTCAAATTACTGGGTGCACTGGGGGCCAGGCAGAAAACGCAATGAAATGGAACTGTGGAGAGCTCAGGAACAACCCTGATGTTTGTCCTATTCAGGTACAGGGTAAAGGAGACAATGGCCATGAAGACGGTGGATTATGCGGAGCATAATTCCAAAAAGGAATGACCTGGAGGCTGGTTTTGTGCAGGTCTACCCAAGAACAGCCCAGGATGTCGTTAAAGGCTGATGTTCTCTGTTAGTTGGTAAACAGCTCTCATGGTGCCCTCTCCCCCACTGTACCCCTCCCTGTCCACGCACCAGCAATTCAATAGTTAACCCCTGGATCCCTGTGCCACCAGTGGGGGCCCAGGACATCAGCCACCCCAAAGCTCACTTATCTGGGTCTGGCTTGCAGGCAGCCCACTCTTGCCTTTTACAGTTATTGTTACACTTTACTTTTTCCTACAATTTTCTAATCTAGAGTGAAATGGCCACCAGAGAGTATAAACGCCAGAGTGTGATGAGAAAAAGAGGATGTCGGCTCCTCATCCTAGTGCAGCATGGCCTCCAGAGCTTATTAAGGCCATGGGAATCTGCAGACCCATTCGGCATCCCAGGTCCTGGTGATTGTCAGAGGCCAGCCTGTGGGGACAAGGGTCACCTCTCGCCACTTGCTGTAGGGCTCTGGCATGGTGTAGGTAGCAGCCCCTGTTGATCTTTTTCTGCAGTGAAGTTGTGCTCCTCATGTTAACCTGGAGTTTATTCCTCCAGGAGGTAACGCAGAACACAAACCTTTCTCTGAGAACAATAGCAATGCACAGATTTAATTCTGAAACACAGGCGCTAATAACTGTCTGTGACCATGGGGACAAATTGAGTGGAGAGGAGAGGAGGCTGTCCCAGCAGTGGGGGGTCCGTGCTTTCAGCTGGAAACTCAGTGTGTTCTCTCTTTATAGTCCTCCACCTTCAGGAGCTGACTTTCCTCTAATGTTTCTTTAAATGTTAATGTTGGAGCCTGCAGTAAGAACTCAGATAATTAAACATACCAATGAGGGCATGTAATTGTGCAGAAGGGCTCAAACACCCAAGGATGAAAAGTGAGACCATAGTTTAAAAAAATTCTAATTGTATAATACCATGTCGCATGTATGCTTTATACAGAGAAGAATCCAGCGAGCACAAAAGGCAAGCTGACTGAGGTTGTCTCGGCCGTCCTGGGCGGACACACAGCCTTCCTGGCTCTGTCCCCTCTGAGACTGTGAGCCCCTCCTGGTGGGGCTCTGACCTTGCCTTACCTAGACCCATGTGTCTTAGAGAGGCTTGGAGTCAGTACCTTCTTGATGAGACCAATAATCAGGGCTCTGCTGGGCTGAGTGGGGGTGGGGGTAGAACATCAGAAGTGGATGACCTCTTGAAAAGGTGACAGTCCCTCCCTGTCAGCCCACGACTGTTCTGGTTTCCTCTGGTTCTCCAGTCGTGATTATTAATAGTGCCCCTTTCACTCCCAAAGCTTCTCATTCTACATGTTGGGTCATGTGGTCATCCTGTCCAGCAAATGCACACCTCCCTCCAGCCGGGACTACCTGGCCACTAGGCCACACTCACCACTCCTTAGGGTCACTTGTGGAGTTTCCTAAAATGCCCCTTCCTTGCTCTGCCCCACTACCCATCCCCTATTCTGACATGCCCAGCTAGGAAGGCATGCGCTGCAAATCACTTGCCCAGAAACCAGGGATCTAGTGTCAAGTTAGTGGTTAGCAGGATCCCCTGGCCATCCTGCACCAGCTGGGTCAAGCACCAGCTGTTGAGTTGTGGACATGGACAGCCCTGCCAGACCTTGCCCCACACAGGCAGTACCTGTGGGAAGTTCCCTGGACCTGCAGAAGGGCATGATTGGCTGTCCTGGTGTGGTGTGGTCAGGGAGGGCTTCCTAGAGGAGGCAGCACTGACCAGCACTCAGAGGTGCAGAGAGCATTCTGCACAGAGGGAGAGGCAGAGATAGTTTATGTGGAGGATCTGCTAAGACTGCCAGCTGGGGCATGGTTCAAAACCCAGGAGGAATGAATTCCCTATGGAGAGTGCTTGCCCTGCAGGCAGAGAGGGACCTTCACGGGGCTCTGGGCTGCCAACATTGTAGGGCGTTATTTAGTGTGAGTGTTAGTGTTAGTATTAGTGTTGGTGTTAGTTTTGATATTAGTGTTAGTATTTATTTATACTCGTGCTAGCGTTAGTATTAGTGTGTTAGTGTTAGTGTTAGTATTTATTGGTATTGGTGTTAGTGTTAGTATTTATTGGTATTGGTGTTACTGTTAGTATTAGTATTAGTGTTAGTATTTATTAGTATTAGTGTTAGTATTTATTGGTATTAGTGTTAGTACTAGTATTTATTAGTGTTAGTGTTATTGTTAGTGTTAGTGTTGGTATTTATTATTATTAGTGTTAGTGTCAGTATTAGTGTTAGTATTTATTTGTGTTAGCATTAGTATTAATGTTAGTGTTAGTATTTATTAGTGTTAGTGTTGGTAATATTTATTAGCATTAGTGTTAGTGTTAGTATTTATTAGTATTAGTTACTATTTATTAGTGTCAGTGTTAGTGTTAGTGTCAGCATTAGTATTAGTGTGTTAGTATTGGTATTAGTGTTAGTGTTAGTATTTATTAGTATTAGTATTACTGTTAGTATTAGTATTAGTGTTATGTTAGTATTAGTGTTAGTATTTATTAGTATTAGTGTTACTGTTAGTCTTAGTGTTAGTGTCAGTATTAGTATTAGTGTTAGTGTCAGTATTAGTGTATTTATTAGTGTTAGCATTAGTATTAATGTTAGTATCTATTAGTATTAGTGTTAGTGTTGGTGTTAATATTAGCATTAGTGTCAGTGTTAGTATTAGTGTTAGTGTTAGTATTTATTAGTATTAGTGTTAGTATTTATTGGTATTAGTGTTAGTACTAGTATTTATTAGTGTTAGTGTTATTGTTAGTGTTAGTGTTGGTATTTATTATTATTAGTGTTAGTGTCAGTATTAGTGTTAGTATTTATTTGTGTTAGCATTAGTATTAATGTTAGTGTTAGTATTTATTAGTGTTAGTGTTGGTAATATTTATTAGCATTAGTGTTAGTGTTAGTATTTATTAGTATTAGTTACTATTTATTAGTGTCAGTGTTAGTGTTAGTGTCAGCATTAGTATTAGTGTGTTAGTATTGGTATTAGTGTTAGTGTTAGTATTTATTAGTATTAGTATTACTGTTAGTATTAGTATTAGTGTTATGTTAGTATTAGTGTTAGTATTTATTAGTATTAGTGTTACTGTTAGTCTTAGTGTTAGTGTCAGTATTAGTATTAGTGTTAGTGTCAGTATTAGTGTATTTATTAGTGTTAGCATTAGTATTAATGTTAGTATCTATTAGTATTAGTGTTAGTGTTGGTGTTAATATTAGCATTAGTGTCAGTGTTAGTATTAGTGTTAGTGTTAGTATTTATTAGTATTAGTTACTATTTATTAGTGTCAGTGTCAGTGTTAGTGTTAGTATTAGTGTCGGTATTTATTAGTATTAGTGTTAGTGTGAGTATTAGTGTTAGTATCTATTAGTGTGTTAGTATTAATGTTGGTGTTAGTATTTGTTAGTATTAGTGTTGGTGTTAGTATTTATTAGTATTAGCGTTAGAATTTATTAGTATTAGTGTCAGTGTTAGTATTTATTAGCATTAGTTAGTATTTATTAGCATTAGTGTTAGTATTAGTGCCAGCATTAGTTCTGGCTGGGCTGGGCTGGTGTCCTGGGTCTGAGCTGTCTGCATCCCCATCTCGGCCCCTCTTGAGCGTCTCTCACATCTGCAGTCCTGCACAGCCCAAGTCCCAGCAGGAATGCTGCATCTATAAATCCCTACATAAGGAAATGTTATCCGGAGGAGCCACTTGGCCTTTAGATGGGAACACTGGACATGACGAGGGCTTGAGGGAGGAGAAGGTGCCACCTGCTGTGTGCCTGGGTTTTCCATCCATGAGAGCCCGTGGGCATCACAGCCACTCTGTGAAGGGACTGCCTGGTTTTTCTCTTCCTGTCTCTCTCTCCATCTGTCTCTCTTCCTCTGTCTGACTGTGTCTCTCTGTGTGTCTGTCTCTGTGTCCCTGTCTGTCTGCCTGACTCTGTTTCTGTCTCTCTCTCTCTGTCTGTGTCTCTGTGTCTCTCTTATGGTCTTATTTAGGGGCACATGGCAAGTCAGATTTAACCCTGGGCCTCTGGCTCCCAGGTCCCTGTTCATACACCAAGCCCCACTTGCCTTCTTTTCCCTGGGGGGCTCTTTTCCCTCCTCTCCCAGCAGCAGCCCAGGTCTCCTGAGCCTGAGGGTCTGCTGTCTGCACAGTGCACTGTCCTGTGCTTCCCGAGAGCGTGGGAGTCCCTGGCCTCTTTCCAGCCCATCCAGTGCCTACCTGTGTTAACTGGACCCAAAACCTCTGAGACCATTCAATAGGGTGGTGGCTGGAAAACAGATCAGTACTTTTTTCCACTTTTAGACTGCAGCCTGGACAGAAATGCAAACGCCTTGTGTCCTGTGCTGTGCCAGGGTGCCCTGCCTTACAAAACAGACAGCTCTGGAGAAGCATGTGTAAATTTAATTTGGGGTAACATTGACTCATGTTAGGATCATTTGAGCCTCTTCACCTTGACTCCGATTGGCCTCCAAGGCAGCACCGACTCACACTCCAGCTTAGCTTGCCTTGGTGCCCTGCCTTCCAGACCAGGAGTTAATGATCTGTAAAAACACTTAAATTCATGGGGAAAACTCCTTCTTGAAAGGAGCAAATGCGTTTGTAACTTACATATTCCTTTTGTCCCATGATGAGGGAACTTCCTGGGAGCCTGTCTGCTTGGAGTCCTGGGAAGTGATATCTTGATTTTAAAAGTCCTCCATGATCAAAGCTTCTTTCAACAAAGTCAAAGGATGCTTTCTGGGTTGCTCTGCTGGAAGCTGGGGCAGTCAGAGCTGAGGGGCAGATGACCGTGGTCCAGGTGTGCCCCCTGGATGGATGTAGGTCAGGGAGGTGTGGTCCAGGGTGCAGATGTCTGAGCCCTTCCTGATTTGAGGGCAGCTCTTGACATCATTCCCTCCAGTTTGGGGGTGAGATGGACATGAATGTTTCTTCTGTGATTCCTTCTCCTCCAGGTTCTGTTTTTCTGTGAATTCTTCTAGAAACCCGAGCAGGGCCTTTGCGTTTCTGAACCTCCATTTTCTGCTTTTTTATTTACTTGGGTAGTGCTCGAAGTTCCTTGGAGGACAGCCGCGGTGTTTATGTGACTCTTGTTTTATTACCAGGATTGGGCTGGTGACGGTTCCTCCCCCCAGGCAGTCACCCCTCGTGGACTGTTTATCCTCGTGGAGACATGCAGGATCCACGAACACCGTGGGAGCCAGCCAGGGCCCCACAGGGCTGCAGATGGGCTCCGTTCACCACATTGCTCATTTTAAAAATTCTCTGCTGATTTAAAATCCACTCAGCTTGCTGCTGTAGCTGGTCGTCTCTGAGGAGCTGAGCTGGCTCGCTTGACATTAAACAGGAAAAATAAGGGAAGAAAAAAACAGAAAGTGAGGGGAGAAGGGACGGGAGATGCCAGAGCTGCAGAGCGAGGCGGAGATGGCCCAAGCCCAGCCTTATCACTCCCTATCCTTTAACTCCAATAGAAGGAGAAGGATGGGGATTTTGAAGACAGATCAGGGAAAACATTTAGCATTTGAGCAGAAGAATTTTCTAGAAGCCTGGCCAGGAAGGGGCTCCGAGCACACGGAGGGAGTTGAGTAAGAAGAATTCCCAGCTCCAAGGATCCTGAGAGGACCCTGGGGAAGACCATGTTGATTCCATGCCTTGCGGAGAGGGAGGCGGTTTTCAGGAATGAAAAGCTGACAGGGTTATGTTGTTGCTGGTTTCCCAGCTGTAAGATGCACATAACTGTGGCTTTTCTCTCCTCCTGCATCTGCAAGGCTTCAGTAATTCATGGCCGATCAGAGTCGCTGGGTGAAGCCGGAGTCGTGAGCCGCGCTGTGGTTTCCGTCCTTCCTTCTCCTCTGCATTAAATGTGATTGGCCTTTCCCCTGGGGTTAATCTGAATTCCCCTAGGGTTAATCCAAATTCCCCTAGGGTTAATCCGAATTCTTCCAGCCTTCCTCCCTTCGGAAATCTGTCCTCAAAGTTCAGCCCCTCCACAGAAGGCACCCCGAGTGCCTACTCAGCTGAACATCTTCTGGGAAACAATGGGGCCGGCACTTACAAGCCAGTTCTTTAAGATGGGGTCGTTGGCTGCCAGTTGTGCCTGGGCTGAAGTGCCAGTGGGCTGCCAAGTCTGCCCCAGGGATCCCAAGGCTCCTGGGCCTGGGATTGCAAGACTCTGAGTCAGGGCTCTCCACCTTCACCTGGAGAAGTGAGGTCCCAGTGAGGCCAAGACCAGGCCAAGGTCCCCAGACAGCAAGTGGCACAGGTGAGGCCGGAGGGCCGCTTCCCATGCGAGTGGCTTCATGCCATGGGCATGTTCTGAATCTAGGGCTCTTCTCCGTGTAGGGCTTCTTCCCCTCCCCTGCCTGGCCATGCCATAGAAGTACAGGTTTAAGCCCCAGAACAAGATTCTAGGCATGGTCTGATTCACGGGCACGTTCAAGGGTGTGGTTGCCACCCGCAGGCCACCGGACTGGGCTGGCGAGGTGAGAACGGCACCTTCACACCTGCCAGGGGGCTGGGGCAGGCAGCAGAGGCGAGGCCCATGGAACATAGCTCTATCATGGAGAAGGGCTCAGATGAAGGGTCCGGCTGCTGCTGTCCCACGGTCCAGCAGACCTAGCCCCCAGTGCTGGCAAAATGTACCTCGCAGGCCTCCCGCAGGTCAGGAGCACAGGGAGCCTTCCGGAAGCATGGCCGGAAAGTGCCTGCTCCCTGGGGCCGGCTCACTGCTGCCAGAGGAAGATTCCAGGGCTGAGCTGCGCACACCCAGTTGACTCTTCCCAAACCCACCAGTCTGCAGGTCACTCCAGCTCCCCTGAGTGGTGTGGGTAAGGGGCAGAGCAGGCCAGGGGCATCAGTGGAGCGTCCCCCCATGGAAGAGAATGTCCACACGCTCGTGGAGACACGTTTCTCCTGAGAAGCCTGGAGCGGGTGGGGGTCAGCCCTGGTCCGTTAGGAGCTTCTGCACCTTCTCATGCCTCTCAGCCCTCAGTGCCCTCCCAGATTGTGCAGATGCAGGGAGGCTGCACCACTGTGAGCATGAGGTGCCCCCTCCCTCTCAGCGTCCCCATGGCCGGGTCTTCTGAGTGGAACCCTGATTCCCGCCCTGCCTCGTTTGCAGGCTGGAGGGCCTGGCTCCCCTGGATGGTGGTCAGTCTTCCCTCTCTCCTCCTTCAGTGCCACACAGTACCTGGCCAAAGCCGTCATGCTGCCCGACTCAGCTTGCTTTATTTAGTCCAGGCAAAGTGGTGGAAAATGAAAAAACTGGCCTTTTGTGGCTTTACAGTGCACATTTGACCAAGGGAAGAATCAGCCCAGAAATGTACACTGATGAGTCTGCTATTTCTTGCTAGCTATCTACTGTCCTTGACGTCTACTGCGTCAGCCATAGCACACAGAAGATGTCTGGTCCTAGACACTGCACCGTACCAGTGTCTTGTGGGTGTTTGGTGCCTGTGAGCAGAGCAGGAGAGATTCCAGGTGCCATTGAGAGTGATGGTACAAATTCACCATCAGGAGCCCCAAGAGTCCTGCAAGCCACATTATAAATGCTTTGGCTAGCCCTGGGGAGATGAAGGGAGTATGACTGGGAGGCTTATCAGGATCACATCTTAAAGAGAACCAATGGGTTTTATACATTTTAAAGTATATTTGTAATCTCAGTTTTAAAATCACATTACTGGTTAGGCGTGGTGGCTCACACCTGTAATCCTAGCACTTTGAGATGTTTGGGGCCTGGAGCTCACCAGCTCCAGTCTGCACCCCCAGAGAAGGCCCAGAGGCTGTACTGAGGCCTAGACAACATGGTGAAAACCTATCTCTACTAAAAATACAAAAATTATCTGGGCATGGTGGCAGACGCCTGTAATCCCAGCTACTCAGGAGACTAAGGCAGGAGAATCTCTTGACCCTGGGAGGCGGAGGTTGCAGTGAGCCGAGATTGCGCCATTGCACTCCAGCCTGGGTGACAGAGTGAGACTCCATCTCAAAAAAAAAAAAAAAAAATCACATTACTGATGATTTTCTCACTAAGATATAAAATGCACCGTGAACTTTGTTCCACAAACAACAGAACAGCTCCCACGATGACTGCCTGACCCTCTACTGGGCTCTGAGTCCCAGGCTGCAGGGAAAGGACATTATCTTCTGAAGCACCAAAAACCCCAGGGCAGAGCTCTTCTTAGTGTTAATTATGTTTTCTACTCAGTTCAGATACCCACAACTGAGGGTAGACTGTTTGGGGAAAAAGTGGTTTCTTTCTGCATCCTTTTGTTTTGCTAAAAGTTTCATTTATGAAACTTCTCTGGTCCCTCGTACACAGTATGAGGGAGAATTCGAATTTCCTCTCAGAAGATGCCGTAAGGGTTGTTAGTGCCTTAAAGATGAGCCCATGTGTACGTGGTATTCCCTCCCCCAACGCAAGCTCACCTCACCCCAAATCTAAGGAAGTACACTTCTGGGCTATTGTCTGGAGCCCCGGGGGCATGGGAGGTTTGAGGCTCCAGTGCTTATCTCGGTGAGTGATTCTGGGAGCCACCTACCGGTTGAGTGGAGCGAAGGGTGGAGACAGAGGGCAGGTGGGGGTGCAACGTTGGAAGGGCCATGTGTTTGGGCAGTGGGGGCTCTGTTCTCACCACAGATTTCCAGTAACAAGAGACTCTTCCCACCAGAGGAGATTCTGAATGATGCTGCCATTGCCAGACCTTCTGCTACCAAACAGAGCGAAGAGGAAGAGGGGGCAGTGTTTGGTCAAGACAGCCCACGAAACGTTGGCGGGAGTGAGCACATTAGCAATGGCTAAGAACATGCTTGAATCATTTGTAACAACCCAGGACAGAGATGCCACAAGAGGACTTTGGGGAAAGGCGAATCCACTCATACATCTTGGAGTTGTTTTTTCAAGTTCAGAAAATGAACCTTCACCAAGGTCTTGGAACATGAAGCAGAGACTCTGGTGCTGACTCTATCATTTGAGCTCCTAAGGGTACTCATGCCCAGTGGAGCATGCACACCAGCAACACTGCCAACACCATCTCGGTGTCCCACCCCTTAGAGGAGGAAGAGGACACAGAGGGGCGCCCGGTAATAACCCTCATTTCCTCTCTTCCACCCCACCACATCATCTTAATAAAACATGAAGGTAACTGAATGAGTACGACTCCCTCATTATCAATTTAATCCTGTGTCTCTGTTGATGTAGGTCAGTTAAGCTTTTTCATGGGCTCATTCAGTATCTCGCTCTCTCTGTCTCTTTCCCCATGAGACTTACACTCTTCCGGCCAGATTCTGGTGCCCTGGGCATGTTTAGGAATCAAATCCTGGCATTTGGCTGAAATTAATGCAATTAAATTATCAGTTTCTCAAATGCCATCTACAAATTACTTTTTTGTTTGTTTTAGACAATCCTTTGTTTTAAAACCCTTGCTTTGGCACTGGAGGCAGACTTGGTGGTCCTCTGGAAAGTCGACTCTCTCCCTTCACACTCCTCAGAGCCCCTGTGGTTAGGCAGGGCCATAGGACTAGTTCCAGCCAATGAGATTTGGGAGGAAGCCTCGGTGCAGCTTCCAGGCTAAAGTTCAGAAGAAGCTGTGTGCAGGACGTCAGGTCTCTTCTGCTGCCCCAAGTGCCTGAAGAGGCCACAGGTTCTCAAGACTGTGGAGGCTCTACCAGCCTGAGTCCCTTCGTGACTGCGTGGAGCAGAGTCCCTGCCAACCTGAATGAGCAAGAAGCAAACGACTGCTGCATGAACCTCCTGAGATTCAGGGGCTTCTTTGTTGCAGCGTGAAGCCTAACTTGTTCTGCCTGACACAGCACTGACATGAGCAGGAAAACCATCTCATAACCCACGGCCGCCTCTCGTGTTGTCCTGAAAGCCTTATGCAGGCAGACTTTGCATGTGAAACGGGTGGGCCATTTAAAATTCATGTGAGAGGAGCTCAGTTCCGAAAGACACTTTTCACTCAAGTTTTTTACAAATCACAAAATGTTCCCAAGGTGTAACCATAGCTTCATTTGTTATTTACTAAATGTGGCTCTGTATGCCAGATTTCTTTAAAGTAACTCAAATGTTAGGATGTTGAGAGATGTAACCATTTTGCACTTTGCCTAAGCATTATTTGAATTCTTATCTTTGGCTCAAGGTCTTCTGCCCTGTTTTCAGAGTCCTGTCTCCATTTCAGGTTTTGTTGAAGTGTTCTTCCCTCTACTCACTTTCATCCTTCTTGTTTGATTGCAGGGCCGTGCTTTGTTTTAAAGCAGATTCAACCTGAATTCTTTAAAACTGCACAGAACATCTGCATCACATCTATTTATTGACAAAGCTTGATTAAAGACAACCTGGGAGGGAGGTGGATTTCTGGACCAAGGATTGAAAGTAGATGGCTGGATTCCCTTATAAACATCGACTTTGACACCACTCTGTATATTCATGGGGTCTGTATTAGAAAAAGAAATTACTCAAGGATGTTGAGATGAAGTTTAAGTGGTAATTACATGCATTAAAAATGGCCATTTAAGGGAAGGATGATTCCCACGTAAGGAGTATAAGAAGTCGTAGCCCCTGATTTAGTCAGAAATATTGTAGCAAGCATTTGGAGACTTCAGTTCACTATGCAGCTTGCATAATAACGGCGAAGTCCTGTTCAGGATCCCTAGATCTTAGCTCTGCCATATTTCAACCAAAATCAGTCATTTCTGGCTTTCAAACTCAGGCACATTGTTGCAACTCATGAAGAAGTAAATGTGAATATTTGGAAAAATACACAGCTATGCATGTCACACGTGCATATGAGATTCCCACCAATGACTGTCCAATGACTGTCCAGGCTGATTCTAGCAGAGAGGAGGAGACTGGAGATGTTCTTTGACACGCAAATGGTTGTAAATGTTCTCTTAAAAAAATTCCAGTGTCATCCTTGGGTCTGTCCTGGTCACACATTCCCAGGGTGGCAGCAGGCATCATAGGGCAGGAAGTGGCCATCCCTGGAGCCCTGGATCCCACAGAGGACTCCTGAAGGCAATCTTAGAAGTCCAGCCCAAAAGAAGAGCCAGGTTTGATTGGACTGTCATTCAGTTCCCCGAATTACACTGAATTCTGAATCGTGGACTGGGTAGGAACAATGTGAGTGTAAAATCTCCACCCTCAAACCATGAATTCAGTAAATCATGACTCGGGCAAACTTGGGACAAGGGTGGCCCTCCTTAGAGAAGCAGTGTGTGTATATGTGTATCTGCATGTATATATGGTACATATATTTATATATACACACATATATATACACATAGACGTGTGTACCATATGTACATAAACTGTAGATGGTGGGTGTGTATAATATGTGTATACCAGATATATAAATATCAAAGACCCTAAAGCCACTACCAGCCTGCTCTTCCAGAGCCCAAACTGTCCCCCACCCATCCCTGTGTTTCTTGGGTCCAGAGCAGAGCTCCGTGCTCACTTTGCGCATGATAGATATTTGTTGTTGAGTTGTCTCATCTCAAATAAAATTATATTTGTATTTATTCCTTCATAGTTACCTGAGTTATCTAAGCTGCAGTGAATAGTCCTCTACGGCCCCATTGCAGTCGTAACATGGAGTAGGATTCCACCCCTCACAGGCTGGTGGCCACATTTGTAAATGACGGCTCTGATGCTCTGATACTCAGTGCGTTCATTACAGATTTCTTAATATTAAGTGAGCACCTGCTACGTGTTCTCCCACTTGCAGGGCAGGTAGTACCAGCCCATTTTATAGATGAGAAATGGATTGCCAAGGATGATATATAAGTGTAAGAACCCACATGTCGGCGAGGGTGCCCGGCTGGCTGGAGAGAAGAGCTGCCTGGGTGGAGGCTGCCCAGCCTGGCCTGTGCGGAGGCTGCCCAGCCTGGCCTGTGCCTTCACAGAGGTGCAAATGGGCCAGGGGGAGCCTGCTCCCAGGGCTTAGTTTTCGAGGACAGCTGCGTGGAGGATACGTTCTTAAAGACATCCCTGGAGAGCGAGGTTCACCTGGGGCAGTGGAGCATCCGGAGCAAAGGCCTGCATTGGCCTCTGCACGTGGTCAGGGAGGTGGCAGCACCAGGGGATGCCACACAGCCAGGAGCCTGCTGGGCTGGGGTCAGCCAGGCCACCTGCCATGCTTGTGGCCACTCCAGCCTGTATCCCCACAGACGCTGACCGCTGCTCTGTGCAGGACCGGCACAGTGAGAGCACAGCCCGGCCTGCGCGGGGCAGGCACCCTCCAGAGCCTGGGTGAAAGTCCGGCACCTCCCCATCAGATCCTCACTTAGGAGACGGCCACTGAGAGCCCGTGATTGCACAAGCCTTGTAAAAAAGAGGGAACGCATTCTAAAGCCACACGATCCAGGTGATCCTTCCCCACTTAGGGTTTTTGTTCCAGAGGTATGACCAGAAATGTGTGTGCATGTGTGGCCAACTCTCATTCATGTCATTTTCTAGTTCTGGAAAAAAATTCACTGTTTAGGAAAATATAGAATATTCAAAAACACATTGAAAATAAAATCAAATGCCATAAGACTTGTTGGAGCATGCTACAGTTTATAAACGGGGTTTTATTGCAGGAATGCCGAATTTTTAAAAATTGAGTAATCACGACTATATTTCTGTATCTCTTTACTTGACCCTTGAGGCTGCGAGTCTTCTGGGGCAGGGGGATTAGTCTCTAAGCTCTCGCATCAAAGACAGCCTGAGAAGGCTCTGAGGGATCTGTTCTCCCAGGGTCTGCCCTTCCCAGATTGAAATCGTTCTGCCCACCGTCATCACAAACAGCACTGAGACACTCGACTCCTTAAAGTTCTCAGATGCCACGGGGTAGTCTCACCTGCACCCCGGGACCTTGCCAGCTATTTGTGGGCTGATAAGAATCCGTGCACTTTCACTCCTGTTCTCGGATCCCCCGAGCTTCGGCGTGGTCCAGCTCTCAGTTCTGCAGTTCACTCACCACTTTTAGACGGAGGACGTCGATTAGATTTGTGGATCATGACATTCGCAGTCTGATCTCAAAAATGAAATGTCAGGAATTGCAGCCTTTTGTTAGAGTCTGATGCAGGAGATCTCGAACACGTTTTCCAGAGCCGTCCCCAGCTCCAGGTGCTCTTAGATCAGCGAGGCCACCTTGACCCTATCGGGAGCATTCGGACTCCTGGTAAACCTCTCTCAGTGGACAGCAGAGCTGTGCTTGTGAACGGCCTTCAGGCCCAGCGCCCTCACTGTGCCCAGTGGGGATATCACTGGTCATGGCTGATGACTGGCCGAGCACCTGTGTGTCTCCTCAAAAGGAACCTGGGGCTTGGCCGGCATGGCCTATTCCTTGTTCTGGTCTGCATTTCGGCCTGGACTTCTGTGTCTCTGTGTGCTGTCCTGAGGCCTGCGGGCTCCCAGGTGTCTGTGTTCCAGTGTAGGGGGAGCTGGAGGGTGAGAGGACGGTCTGGCAAACGTCCTTCCCCTGGCAGATCTAGGAGGCATGTGAACAGGGGGACGGTTTCCCCCAGGAGGAGGCCGAGGTCCTGAAAGGCAGGTGGGGGCCTTGAGACAAGAAAGCGAGAAGGTTCGAGGGTCATCCTTGGCTGGCTGACAGCACCCTCACTCTGGGAGCTGGAAGCTGGGAAGGCAGAGGCGTGCACATTTTCCAGGCTTGAGTCCAAAAACCCCGCTATTCTCCGTGTCTCCGCTGCCTCACTGCCTTCCTCTGTTTGCTCCTAGAGACCCAGGCGCTGGGTCTGCGGAGTCCGCGGGGATGTCTTTCTGTGTGAATGAGCAGCCACTGCGTGTGGGAAGATTGGGCTATGTAGGACAAGCTGTATTTGTGCACCTGCGCAAGGCGGGACCACTGAAATTTAGCCCTGGAGTTCGTTCACGGAGCCGCTGACCACTTATCCCTTCCTCTTCAGCATGTGCTTGCCGCTGAGCCATGCGGGTGCTGTGTTCTCTGTTATGTGCCGGTGTGTGGACTGGAACCCGCCTGCAGCAGCCACTCCCACCTGCCCTCGGGACCCTGACTGTACATGGGCTGAGCCAGGCAACCACCGGAAGGGTGAGTCCTTCCCCAGGACTCAGCGGGTGAGAGACTCCGGCTCACCTCACGGCGGAACGCAGACACCTGAGAGCCCGCAAGCCTCAGGACAGAGAGAAACAGAGGTCCAGGTGGAAATGCGGAGGCGGCACGAGGAGGGGGCCCTGGCCTGGGAGCACGTGCGCTGCACCACGTGTTACCCGTGAGAAGATACACAGGTGCTCCGCCGATCACCAGCCAGGACCTTCCCCAGTCGCCTGTCCAGCCTGGGCTGTTCACTCATCCTGTCCTGCCCCTGAAATTTACTTTTTCCCTCTAATATGGTTTTTTGTTTGTTTTGTTTTGTTTTTGTTTTTTTTGAGATGGAATCTTGCTCTGTCGCCCAGGCTGGAGTGCAGTGGCGTGATCTCGGCTCACTGCAACCTCCGCCTCCCAGATTCAAGCAATTCTCCTGCCTCAGCCCCCCGAGTAGCTGGGACTACAGGCGACCACCACCACGCCTGGCTAATTTTTTGTATTTTAGTAGAGACGGGATTTCACCATGTTACCCAGGCTGGTCTTGAATTCCTGAAATCAGGGAATCTGCCTGCCTCAGCCTCCCAAAGTGCTAGGATTACAGGTGTGAGCCGCCGCAACCGGCCTTCTAATATGTTTTTTTCCAATCACCACCACAGGCCTCTACTAGCTGATTTTACCTTAACTGAGGCAAAGTCTTCAACACTTAGTGTGTGCTAGTTGATTTCTTAATATGATGTGTTTCTCAACAGAGATCAGTTTTATTCATGTGGTGCAGAAGTTTGAGAATCTGAAATGGGCTAAAAGTAACTGAGTCCAGAGCTTGGGAAGCAAAAGGCCTGTCCCTGTTGCAGAATGGTCTGGTTAACCACGCCCCCAACTGCTCCGCCAGAAACTCCAACTCTGCAGGCCTAAAAGCACCTCTGCCACACCTTCAGCTGAAATCTGAGTTCCCAGGGATTTCTGGGACCTGGCATTGAATTATAGGAGGATTCTTCCCATTGCTTAGGTTTTTGCATTCTTCTGAATATAGGTGAATAGATGCAAAAAATTTCAAAAATAGCTTATTTTATCAGAGGCATTTGAAAAAAAGACTGCCCAATAAAACATTTAAGTAGAGTTACTCTTGTACACAGTTTCGCATTTTAAAAACGGCCTATTTTTTTCAAGATTAATTTGAAGGACTAAAAGCTGGCCCTGGTTACAGATATGGCTTATGGTCAGCGTTGTTTAATTATTCAGAACAGTTTTATATCCCCCAGTTAAAAATTGTTCAAGGGAGACAGTCCCAGAATCATTCTGCCACACTTTCCAGGCCCCGCCCTCCCCAGAAGCACAGCCTGTGCCTCTCCACTCTGAAAACAGGCCCCGGAGCCTGGACACCTAGGCTTAATTCCCAGGGCTTTGTTCCTCCGCTCTCTGAGCAGAGTGGCTTCCTGCCTCTCAAAGCCTCCGTGTGCTCAGGCTCAGAACCTGGAACACGGGCGCACCGATTGCGTGAGATGGTTGAGAGTCTTCAGCCGAATCCCAGACATACAGTGTGGGGTCCGGCACTCAGGAAGCGCCGATCGCCGGCCGCCATTGTTCGCAGCTTCTGGCACTTTCGCTGTCCCACCAAACGTGTGGAAGACCATTCCCAAGGAGCGCCGACCTCCTGGCCTCCGCGGCAGCCTGCACCCGGCTGAGCCTGCTCTTCTGAAGTCCTGGACCCTGGTGACCTTTACGACGCGCCGTCCTCCTGCTAGCAGGGGGTGGTGCTCTCCAGCCCTCCCTTGACACCCCCTGGTGTCAGTTCTCCCCGGCCTTGCCTCTCCTACCACGTGCCTCCTTCCCAGCCTCTCCCTCCGCTTGCCCCTAAATATCTGCCTCCTCCAGTTCTGCCATGGATGGAGGTGTAGACCAGGAATCTGAGCCCATCTTGGGAATCCAGAGGCCTGGGTTCAAATCCTAGCAAAGCAAGCATCTCAACCTCTGTGCCGATTCCTCCTCTCTCCAAGGGGAGAATAAAGTTGGCCTCAGTCTGGAGAATCTGCCTCTGAAGCCCCCACCCTCTTCCGGGGTTCCCAGCATGTCCCTTTGCTGAGTGAACTGCCCTTCAGGGTGTCCTGAGGACTCCAGCAGCTCCACGTGGCTGACACGGGTCTTGTTGCCCCCGAGATGACTCCTCCTCTCTAGATCTGAGTCTAGCTTCTGGGTCAGGATGCACCCAGCCACCCAAGCTGGGCCCCTGAGCGGCCCCTTGCCACCCCCACACTCAGCGGGTCACTGTGTCTGGTGGGTGGCCCCTTGCCGCCTGCACAGCTGCTGTCTCCATGTGGTCCTGGCCTCCCTCTGGGCCATTGGGGGAGCCGCCCTGCCCAGGCCCCACCTCGGGGTCTGTCCCCTGCCAGCCAGAGCTACCTCTGACAGAGAGATCTGATGGTGTCTGTGGCCCCCCAAACCTTTCCTGGCCTCCTTGTCGCTTTGGGGAGTCCCACCAATTCCTGCCTCCTCCCCAGAGTCAATGCTGTCTTTACCCCCAGATCCCTCTCCCCACCTTCCTGGCTGTGCCTCCCATCTCTGCCTGTGCCCACGAGGCCCTTCCACCCCTCTCAACTGGGACTGATCTCCTTGAAGACCTGGCTGCAATCCCGAATTCTGTGACGAGCTCTCCAAACCCTCAGAAACATAACTGTCACCTTCCCTGTATGTTTATTATGGACCTTTTAATCTCTGTATTATAATAATACATTTGCAGTCATCACCTATATTTATATTTCATAGCAAGCTTGTTGCAGACCTGAACGTACTTTTATTGTACTTTTATTATTACATTTTTGTGATAGTGATTTGTTCTGCTGCTTGTCTCCCCATATGAACTGTGAGCTGGCTGAGGCACGTGCCTGCGTCAGGCAGAGCGCCCGACACCGGCAGCCCTTCTGTCCATATTTTCGTTCGCTGCTGCTGCTGTTGCTGCTGCTGCCACTGCCGCTGCCACTGAGAAGGCTGTGTCTTCAGATAGTCATGTGTTCTGTCAAAAGACATTTGTAAAGTTCACGCCCCTGGCTTGGACCAGTGTGTCAGTGCTGTGGATACAAAAGGTATTTCCAGCCCAGGGCTTAGCTGACTTGCGTTCTGGGGGAGATTCTGCACCCACTTGGTGACTTGGGATGTCAGGCCCTTCCTCACTTTCCTGTGGCCCCATTCTCTCCATGTCTGAAAAGACACTGCTTGGCCAGGTGGCCCCCAGAAGGCCCTCCAGCACCACCAGCTGGAAACGGGGCCCGCAGGGCGGTTCGTGTTCCATCATCTTCCACTCATGGGTTTTGTTTGGAGACTGAATTTGGTGGCATCTGGAGAAGTTGTGACTCACGGGTTGAAAGGGTTCCTGGACTTGCAGGGCCCAGGTACTGGGAGCGGTGGGATGCTCTCCTGCCATCTGGCTGCTCGTGGCTGGCCAGCCCTCGCTGTCTCTGAAAGTTGGGAGCGGTCCCTTTGCAGTGCTCCCAGGACACTCATCGTGGGGAAACGGGAAGGTCTCGCAGAGAGGAAGAGGGTGGGGTAGATCCTGACGGACCGGTCAGACTCTGCGGCCTCAGCCCCGGTAGAGCCCGCCCTGGAGAGCCTGGGGGTTGCCAGGTGGACAGGGAGAGGCTCTGCAGGGTGGCCTCTCTGGCAGTGATGCTGGGGGCTCCAAGCAGGAAGGAGCCGGCCTGGTCCGCTGCAGACAAGCTCGCCCTCTCCCCTGGTTTCCTTGGGCTGACTCCTCCTTGCCAGACAGGCCATTCCAAGCACAGTCAGCCTGGGTCCCTGAAGCCAAGCCCAAGCTGAGGGAGAGAGACAGCCTGGCTTCCAGCTGGCGTGAAGTCCTCGCTCCCCTGGAGGAGCCAGGCCAGGCCAATAGCCACCGGGAGCCCCGGCGTTGTAAATATGGTCATTCCCACATTCCCAGCAGGATTCCTCCTTCTCAGGCGCAGCAGGCAAGCCGGGGTCAGAGGCATGAGTCACGGAGGGGGGAGAGAGGGGCGGGGATCCGGAAGACGGCTCCGCAGTCGCCTGACTGCACCCTGCCTACTGACCCTCCAGACCCTGACGGCGAACGCCCCATGTGTGGGGCATCCAAAAGCGTGCCTGCCGTGCCATCAAAGCAGACAGGGATGCAGAAAGCACGGGAGACGTCCATAGCATGGGGAGCAAACAGGCCACTGTCCCCAGGGCCACCAGGCTGCGCTGGAATCACAGGCTCCCTGCAGGACCCCATTTCAAGCCAGTGGTGCCGGAAGTCCCTCTGGAGGCCGCCTGGCCGAGCAGTGTCCTTTCAGAGATGGAGGAACCTGGGGCACAGAAACGTGGGGTGGGGTGTGACTTATCCCAAGTCACCAGCTGGCTCCCTAATATCAGGCTGCCACCTGAACACGTCCTGAGCCACATGTCTCAAAAATTCCCGAGGCCCTGTAAGAGCTCAGAGCAGGCAGCACCTGGTGCATTTGTCTGACCAGCAGACACCCATCAATCCTCTGGGGGTCCTAGGAACTTTGGGGTGTGAGTGGGGGAATCTCACCCATGCAGTCATTCCTGGGAAGGCCTGACTCTCCACAGGGGAATGGGGCCAGCCGCTGCCACACACACACATGCTCTGGGATTTTAGCTCTGGCCCATTTCTTGGAGTACCATGGGCACGTGGTGGCCTCCTTGTCACTCACCAGCCTGCTGAGAATCACAGGGCAGAAGCTTCCACCCGGAGCCCACAGACAGAGACAAGGGGGTCCTGCCTGTAACAGTCACTGCTTCCATTTGGAGAAAAGTAGGCACACCCCAGGGGGAGGGAGGCGCCTGAGTGAAGGAGTGAGGGCAACCTGGCAGAGCCATTCAGGGGAACGTTGTAAAAAACAAATTAATCTCAGAATTCTAATTGTTTCCTGATTCCCATTTGCTTTCAAGAGAGAACAGAGCCTGCTTTCCATCCCTTTCCTCTTAGCCTCACCATCGTCCCACAGAAATATTCACCAAATCCTCCAACGCCCCCTTTGAAAGTCGCTGTCAGGGACGGTATCCCTGCGTTCCTCCTGCCGCACTTCTCCCTTGGTTGCAGACGTTGATTCTTAGATGGTCCTGTGGTGGGACTAAGCGGGGATGGTAAGCTTTTGCTGTTTCCCTTGTGATTTTCTGTCCTCCGCGCGCCCCCCTGCCCCTGTGTCCCCCAAGCTTCCAGGGCTGGGGGAGCCACGGAGTTTGGCCAGGAGGAGGGGAGCCTGACCCCCAAGGACACCTGCCTTTTTACCAAGTGGGACCCCCTTGCCACCTTCCCCCTACAGCACCCAGCAAGGGTGGCAGAGCAGCTGGCTTCCTGACATGCCAGGCCCCACCAACCCAGGCCACCCTGGTGCCTGGTTCCCTAGTGAGGAGTGGCTTTTCCTGCTCAGGGCCAGCCTTGTGCTCAGCTGCTCAGCCTCCGAGGTCCCCTGCCCTGCTTAGAGCTCGCAGTGCAGATGTGGCCTGGAAGGAGGCATCACACTCTCTACCGTGAAAGCAGCACTCTGCATTTCCTCCCCCGCCTCTGGACAAGACATTTGTCAAAAAGACAGTGCACTGGGGAGAAGGCTCTGGGGTGGAGGTGGCCAGCTTCATGCTGGCACTGCCCATCCCAGCCCGGGCTGGCAGCAAGCTGGGAGCCTACCCGGAGCCGTCTGGCCCTTGGTGGCCAATGGTCTCTTTGAACCCTTACCCAGATGGAACAAGGAAACTCGTTCAGCAGAGCAGGAGGGACTCTCCCGAGAGTCTCCATGGGGCCTGCTGCTGGCACCCTGATGCCTGCCCATTGGGTGGGTGATCACTGAGGCATGGTCCACAGGGCTGGACTCGGCCTGGGTGCACAGCTCTGTCCACTGAGTGTCTGGCCTGCCCCCAGGCCCTCCTGCCTGCCTGAGACTGTCTCAAGAGGGCTGGAGGCTGTGTTAGGACCCTTCAGAGGAACTGCAGCTGGCGAACGCGGTCTCAGGGCCCGGGTGCTGGGGGTGGGGCCAGCCCCGAGCAGGGAGCATCTTGCCTGTAACCAGCTGCCCCTAGCAGGGAGCATGTTGCCTCTAACCAGCTGTGTGACATAGTGTGGCCCAGCCTCAGCTGACCCCTCTGAACAGGGCTGAGTTGTCACAGGAGATGAATGACAAGGCCGGATATGTTCAGCCTCATCTTTCTGCCCAAAAAACATCTTAGATGAACTGGAGATTTTGTCAAAGCGCAGATGTTGACTCTGAGGCTCCGAGGCCTGAGACTGCATCTCTGAAAGCTCCTGGGGAATGGTGCTGTTGCTGGTCCAGGGACCAACTGGGTAGCAAGAACTTAGAATGCCCATGAGGCCATTGAGGATGCAAAGATCGCTTGGATCTATTGGATTGGTACAAAAGGGGAGTTCCCGCCAGCCGCTCCTGAGACACAGCTCAGGGTGGGCGCAATGTGGGCGAGAGCTCCTTGGGTGCAGCTGCCCCGAGGGGGCTGGCTTTGCTTTCTCCTTCCTCTCCCCTGAGGTGGGGGTGAGTGCTCTGACCACTGTGGGGAGAAGGCACCCATGTCGGCCCAGCCTTCCAGATAGTGCCCTCGTGCTAAGGGCTTTGAGGCTTCCGTTGGGGTGGGGGCTGGATGGGCAAAGTCCTGGAGGGGAGGCCCCGGGAGAAGTTGGCAGAGGGTCCCGGCCCTTGCATCTTGTGGCCTTTCTGTCTGCCCAGGTTTGCTCAGGCACAGCTTTGTTATTTGGAAGCCTGTAGTCAGGCAGCTCTGGTGCCGGCTCCTGGTGGGCCCCTTGGCACCGTGTGGTGATTGGACAATGTGACCGATGACTGCTCCCCTACATAGTATGTGCCTGGGTCAGAAGGTGGGCAGAGGCTGCCATCTGTGCCCTGCTGCCCTCCGGCGTCTGACCTGGCACGGCCCAGCATTACTGGCCTCTTTGCTGTTGGTATTTACAGCCCTGTCCATCATCTATCCGGTCCTGGCCTCGGCCTGCCAAGCCATGTGACCGCTGGCCACGGGAGCCACCTGCTTGGTCTGCACGGTCCCCGCATCCCTAAGGCTTCAGCTGCTGGTTTCTCTCTGCTTTCTTCATTGTAGTCCCTCTTTCAACAAATATTTAGTGAGCACTTATGAAGTGCCAGGAGCTGTTCTAGACCCAGTTGGGGAAGAAAACAGCTCCTTGCTCTCTTGGGCTCCTGTTCTCATGGCGACATGTGTGTTGCCCATAGACCAGGCAAGGCCAAGCCTTTCTGGTGAAGTAGCTCATTGAGCCCTCACAGCACTGATGCAGCACGCCCTATTGTTACCCTCACTTGGGTGTTTTGCAGAAGTGGAAACTGAGAGCTGGACAGGTTAATCCACTCTCCCAAGGCTGCGCCACAGAGAGAGGCAGCGGGGCTTCAGCCTCAGGCCAGGCTCCAGGGCCCGTCTCAGGGAGAGCTCAGGAAACCAGGCCTTGGAATTGCACACACCCCTCTCTGTGCCCATCCCGGCATGCTCTCACCGTCCCTCCTTTCACAGATTTCCAAATGGTAACATTCTGCATTCCTGGAATAAACCCTTCTTGGTCATCTGGAATTGGTTCTTTAAATACCCGACTTGACTTGATTTGCTAATGTCTTAGGACTTTTTGCATTTAGATTCACAGGCGGCAACGTTCTAGCCTTTGGTTCTGATGCCGTCAGGACAGGTGTCCAAACCGTGTCATCTTTTTATGAAGGATGCTGGGTATGGGTGGGAGCAGAGGGTATATGGGAAATCTCTGGACCTTCCTCTTAATTTTGCTGGGAACCTGAAGTGCTCTAAAAAAATAAAGTCTTTACAAAGAAAGAAAGAAAGAAATATAAATAAATAATAAAATGGGAAGTGGTCCTTCATCTTTAAATTCTGGAATAGTTTAATATAGATGGGAATTATCTGTTCATAGAAAGTTCTGTTTAATTCTCTTATAAAACAAGCGGGTTTGTTATTCTTCGTGGGGTAGATACAGACCTTTGTAACCTGGTCCACATGTCTGATGGCTATCGATACATTTGGGTTTCCTGCTTTTTCTTGGATGAGTTTGGTAACTTGGACAGCATGAGAATTAAGAGTGTGAGTTCACGAATCCGACTGCCTGGTGACAGTCTGGCTCCTGCTGTCCTTATTCATTGTGTGACTGGGCAGACAGAAGCTTGGGGTGACTGGGGACCCACAGATGTGCCCGGTGTGGCCAGAAGCTGTAGGGGTTGCACACCCCCTGGACTCCTGCCCCCAGTTGACTGTGGGCCTCTCAAGATTTTCCTTACAGCCACTTTCCTTCTCCCCAACATTCTTATTTGCTTGTTTTGCACTGGGGGATTAGTCCATCATTTGTTGTCGTACTTGCAGAGAAAGAAGCCCCAGGAATACCTTTCCTTTGGACAGAAGGCATTTCTAGTGGAATTTCCCTGGAGCAGCTGCTGAGCGGTGCACATTCTGCAGCTGCATTGCTTCTCTCGCTCTCCCGCATGGTCCCTGGACTCGCTGGGTATGGACTTTCGGGGCTGCCCTGCTCTTTCCACCAACACTCTGGACATTCTGGGAGTGTCACTGAGTGGGGGTGGTGAGCTTGTTTGGAAGCCAGCATGCATCTGCTGGTTGTCTGGGTCTGGAAGCCGTAGGAGGTTGCCCTACTCTTAGAGCCCAGAGATTTCTTCGTGATTCAGCTGGGTTGCCCCTCCTCTTGTTTTCCTTCCTGGAACTTGGTGTTCCCTTTTAGTCTGAAGATTATCCTGATAACCTGAAGATAATCCTGAACGTGGAGACACGTTCCTCTGCCATTTTTTCTGATCGTTTCTGCCCTATCCCTTCTCCTTCCCCCCCGGCTTTTTTTTTTTTTTTCTGAGTCTCACTCCATTGCCCAGGCTGGAGTACAGTGGCAATCTCAGCTCACTGCAACTTCTGCCTCCCAGGTTCAAGTGTTCCCCTGCCTCAGCCTCTGGAGTAGCTGGGATTACAGGTGTGTGCCAACCATGCTGGCTAATTTTTGTATTTTTAGTAGAGAGAGGGTTTCACCATGTTGGCCAGGCTGGTCTCAAACTCCTGACCTCAAGTGAACCACCTGCCTTGGCCTCCCAAAGTGCTGGGATTCCAGGTGTGAGCCACCGTGCCGGCCTCCTTTGCCTTTTGCTCAGCATGCTGGGAGACTTCCAGGAGCACTCTCTGATGTATTTGTTTTTCTTCATTTTTAAATTTTTTAAAACTTCTCCTTCTATTTGTTTTGTTGTTTCCAGCAGTCCTTGTTTTGTTTCCTAATGGTTCCTTTTTTTGAAGCAGACAATTCTGGTTTTCTCCAGGCTCCTCCTCAGTAGGTGAATTCTGCTGCTCTGAGGCTGGATCCCTGTGCGGAGGCCTCTGCTAGGCGTTCAGCCTGGATGTGCCCCCTGAGTGGCCCTCGGGTCCCTGGGGTATCTCCTTGTCTGTTGTGCACTCACGCCGATGGGAGGTCTCACTGACCACGCTGAGCGGTTCCATACCTCTGGTTGACTCGGGGTGGCTGAGGTGGGTGTCTGAGGGGTCAGGAGGCTGGGTCCAGACTCGGCAGGGGACAGAGAGCCCCCACTGAAGGACCGCGCCCACCAGGCACTCAGGAGAAGAGAGGAGTGGCTTTGTGGGGTGGCCAGGACCCATCGAGACCCATGGGGGTGGCTGGCAGCTGGGACTTCTCCATGTCTGTGAACTCTGCTGTGATCTCACCCTGGCACGTTCCCTAGCCCTGAGCATCTGGAAGCCCAGGGTTGAGGGTGTGGTGGGGGAGGGAGAGGAGGTGGGGGTGAGAGCATTTTTGCATGAACTGGGGGATGCCAGGGTCCTGTGGAGGCAAAGCCTCCTCCGCTGTGATGCCAGGGGCTGAGGAAAGGCAGGGAAAGCTCAGGGTAATGAATGTCCTGGACATCCGCTCCATGCTGTGGATGATGGTCACAGCCCACGCTTCTGTGGCCAGATTCTGACCCCTGATCCTCACTTTTACCCCTCCAGGGTCCCCTGGCAGAACCTCAGGGGTGTGTAATGGTGTGTGTGTGTGTGCAAGAGAGAGAGATATGGGGTATGTGTGATGTGGAGTATGTGTGTGTGTGATGTGTGTGGTAAGGAGTTTGTATGAATTGGGGTGTGTGTGATGGGGTATGTGTGATATGGAGTATGTGTGTGTGATGTGTATGTGTGGTGTGGGGGTGTGTGGTGTTGGGTTTGTGTGAATCGGAGTATGTGGTGTATGTATGTGTGTAGTGTGGGGTTTGTGTTAATCAGGGTGTGTGTGTGATGTGATAAGTGTGTGATATGGGATGTATGTGAATTGGGGTATGTGTGGTGTGAGGTGTGTGTGTGATGTGGAGTGTGAGTGATGTAGGTGTGGATGTAGTATGGGGTGTGTGTGTGGTGTGTGCATGTGTGTGCGATGTGGGGTTGTGTAATGTGAGTTGTGTGTGTTGTAGTGTGTGTGATATGAGTTGTGCATGATGTGAGGTGTGTGATATGAGGTGTGTGATGGTGTGTGTGTGATGTGTGTGTGATGTGGGGTGTGTGTGATATGGGGTGTGATGTGTGAGGTGTGTGTGATGTGTGTGTGATGTAGTGTGTGTGATGGGTGTGATGGGTATGTGCGTGATGTGAGGTGTGTGTGATGTGGGGTGTTGTGATGTGTGAGGTGTGTGTGATGTGTGTATGTGATATAGTGTGTGTGATGTGGGGTGTGTGATGGGTATGTGCGTGATGTGAGGGGTGTGTGATGTGGGGTGTGTGATGGGTATGTGCGTGATGTGAGGTGTGTGTGATGTGGGTGTTGTGATGTGTGAGGTGTGTGTGATGTGTGTGTGATGTGGGTGTGTGATGGGTATGTGCGTGATGTGAGGTGTGTGTGATGTGGGTGTGTGTGATGTGTGAGGTGTGTGTGATGTGTGTGTGATGTAGTGTGTGTGATGTGGGGTGTGTGCTGTGGGGTATGTGCGTGATGTGAGGTGTGTGTGATGTGGGGTGTGTGTCTCATGTGAGGTGTGTATGTGAGGTGTGGGATGTAGTTGTGTGATGGGTGTGTGTGATGTGGGGTATGTGATGTGAGGTTTATGTGATGGGTGTGGAATGGGTGTGTGTGAGATGTAGTGTGTGTGCGATGTGGGGTGTGTCTAATGTGAGGTGTGTGATGTGGGATGTGTGATATAGTGTGTGTGATGTGAGGTATGTTTGAGGTAGTGTGTGTGTAATGTGAGGTGTGATTTAGTGTGTGCGTGATGTGAGGTGTGTCTAATGTGAGGTGTGTGTGTGATGTGGGATGTGTGTGATGTGGGGTGTGGGTCTAATGTGAGGTGTGTGTGATGTGTGTGCATGATGTGAGGTGTGTGTGATGTGTGTGTGTGATGTGGGGTGTGTCTAATGTGAGGTGTGTGTGGGTTGTGGGATGTGTGATGTAGTGTGTGTGATGTGAAGTATGTTTGAGGTAGTGTGTGTGTGATGTGGGGTGTGTGTGATGTGAGGTGTGTGTGTGATGTGTGATGTGAGGTGTGT